>NC_000021.9:42615794-42915794 GCF_000001405.40 Homo sapiens
ACACCACACACACACCACACTACACACACACAGCACACACACCGCACACATCACACACACACACCACACACACAAACGTACCACGAATGCACACTTTCACGCACACACCCCCCACACACAAATACACATACACCACACACACATAAACTTACCACAGATGCACACATGCAGACACACACCACGCACCACCCCCACAGCACACAGAAACACATACACACCACACACACAAACGTATCACAGATGCACACATGCAGACATATCCACAAGCATGCGGACACACATACACCACACACATCACACCATACACATACCACACACACATACATACTCATACACACCACACACCCATATACACAGACACCATACACACACCACACACACATATTCACACAGACACATACACACCACATATACATACACACAAACAGTTGCACATACATACACACAGACACACACAAGTACACACACTACACAGACAAGCACACACATCACACACACACACAGACATGACCCCTAGCCATGCCCAACTTTGCACTGGTCACTAATAATTTTTCTGGTTCTACCAATATTTACCGCTCTGATCAGGGAAGTGTCTGCATTTTTCTATTTCAAAGCTGTTCTGTAGGTATCACGTCGGGGGTGGTAATATTGGCCACCCTACGTCCTGTGTGCAGAGAAGGAATGAAGAGCGATTTGTGAACGCGAAGCAGCAAAGCTACTAACGGGTGCAGTTAAGAAACAGAACAATCAAGAAGAAACAAGAAAACGCCCTCCAGGAAACAGAAACCGGGTGCAGAGGCACTGTCTGCAGACCTACTGGAGCCTCAGGCAACCTGCGGAGGAAAAGCCCCAAAGTTCTTTTCAATCTTTGCTCCTGATAGAGAAAGACGGTGTTGCACCGTTCTTTTCATTTGCATGCGTGGAATTTCCAGTGAGGTCCACGCTCGCTGGCTCGCTGGCAGCTCCGTGGAATCCGCCCCACCCTTGCAGAGCTCTTTCATTGATTTGAAAGAGCCTCTGTGTGCACATAGTGCGACTGTTCCGAAGTCTTTATCACAGTTACTGGTGATGCTTTTTTCCAGATGTCCTCGACGTGCACCCATGAAGGGCTCCACCTGAGAGTGCCAGGGTCCTCCGTGGGATGGGGCTGGAGGGGGTGCTCTTGCCGTCCTGGGCTCCCAAGCAGCCATAGGAACAATAGGGTGATGGGGTCCCAGAGATAGAGGCCAGTGACAGCAGCGCTTTGAACCCCTCACACGGGCACGGGCCCTCTGGCAGGGATGGGCGTCCCGGTCACACGGAGATGGGGGCTGCTGCTGCCTGCAGGTAGAGGAAGGGACGTGTTTGGCAGTCCTGTGACCCCTGGGCACCTCGCCTCCCCCACGGCCGGCTCTGCTTGTAAACAGACAAGTGCACAAGCGCAGCCCGGTGAAGGCACAGCGGTCCCAGGAGGCATCTGGGCTGCACCCCAGCGAGCCGCCCATACACGTGGAGATGCCGGCCAAGGCCCTGCAGCACACGGCAGAGGAAGGCGCGATGGGAGCCATGCTGGGCCCGGAAGGTGCCGCCGCCCGGAGCTGTAGCCATCACTCCAGCTCTTCTTTTAAGTGTTCCCAGAAATTGTGACCCACCAAAATCTGAGAGCACCCGACAGTAAGCCAGAGGACCTTGATGTGAGATCCCAGCACGGTGTGGGGGCGGACTGTGGTGGGTGCTGTCTCGGCCCCCACCCCTTCCACAGGTCGGTGTGCACATCCCACGGCGCCTGCTAAGCTGCAGTCTTCTCCAAAGGGGTCACTCTCCGTGGGAAGGGAGCCACCCGCCCCCGGGTGATGTCCCCAGTCAGTGACTGACGACAGTCCCCAGCCGAGGTGAGGGACCAGCTCCTGCATCCCTCACTCCGGGGCTTGCCTGTGGGCCAGGGTGGGGGCGAGCCTCAGCAGAGACCGCGTCCCCCTTGCCTGTCCTGCCCTGCCTCCCCTGCCTCCCCCGCGCCTCTGCTGAGCACGCCCAGAGGGAGCTGCTTGCTGCGGAATCCCCACGTCTAGAGAAGGCAGCCTGAGACACAGCGGCGGTGGACGCGCACTCAGCCATTTTTCCTGAGATAGGGATGGATTTATGTTGATCTTGCCACATCTTTCTACTGCTTCCTCTAAGGTGCAAATATTTTTAAAACAGCTGTGGCTAGTGAAGTCTCACATGGTCTCAGAATCATTCCAGGTGCAGAGAAAGCCCAGATGTTGAGCCCTAGCATACGGAGGCCTTAGGAGTCAATGACCTGAGAAGCTTCCAGCAAAGCACCAGCACGAACCGCCCCACCTCCCCACCTCCCCGCAAGCGTTGTCGGGACTGACAGATTACAGAGCTCTGCTCCCTCTGCACTCCTGCTCTGCCACCCCCAGGGTGTCAGAATGTGCCCCCCACACAGTTTCCAAAAGATTCCACACATCTGGCTGGGCGTGGCGGCTCACGCCTGTAATCCCAGCACTTCGGGAGGCCAGGGTGGGTGGATCACAAGGTCAGGAGATTGAGACCATCCTGGCTAACACAATGGAACCCCATCTCTACTAAAAATACAAAAATTAGCTGGGCGTGGTGGCAGGTGCCTGTAGTCCCAGCTACTCGGAGGGCTGAGGCAGAAGAATCGCTTGAACCCAGGAGGTGGAGGTTGCAGTGAGCCAAGATCGCACCACTGCACTCCAGCCTGGCGAGAGAGTGAGACTCCATCACAAAACAACAACAACAAAAACCCACACATCCAACCTCCAGTTCTCCCACAACAGAATCCACAGCAGGAAGGACAAAGATGCAAAAGGACGTTTTCACAAGACTTGCTTTTCTTATCAGGGAAGAAAATATTTCCCAGAAATCCCAGAAATGCTCCAGGTGCCTTCTTCACGTGTCTCCTTGGTCAGAATTGGGTGACCTGCAGACTTCTGGCTTGTTCACAGGGACAGGTGGACTGGACAGCCATGGTTGGCTTGCACCAGAAAATAGTTAATCCTGGGGCTGGGGAAATCACTGCTTAAATAAAACAGAGGTTCATTAGCAACAGCAAAGGGCTTAGAGCCAACAGTGCCTGCCACCCTCCACCCTTAGAGAATTAAACCAGTGCTGGAGTAGAGCGTCACCAGGTGGTGGAAGGACCTTTGATGGTGCTGATCTCAGGGTCTATATTTAGTATCTAAAATAATTAACTGGTTGTTCACTGCCCAACACTGTAATTCATTCATTCTTTGAACATTCGTTAAGTACTTATCACTGATATTTCAGACAGTATTATAGATATAGTGATCTTTATCCCGGCTCCTTATGTAAGCAATATTACCAATAATAGAGTTGAAGATAAAAGGAAGGAAGCAAGCTTCCAAAGAAATAACCCAACGCAGAATTTAATAATGTCTCATTAACCTGGTGGTTGTTCATCAGATACTCTGTGGTCTTTATTAAAATGCAGCTGAGCAGGCAGCATCCCAGCACTTTTCCTGTGGTGAGGAATCTCGTTAAGTTGGGGAGCAAGGCCCCCAAGTTTTGCCACAAGAGCAGGAAAAGACGAAGTTCTTTCCTTCTCCCTGGAAGCTTAGATGTGGATTTGTGGCTCTCGGCCAGACAACTTACTGAAACGTTGGTAAGTACATGCGCCTGTTTGAGATGTTTGCCTGTACACCCGTTCATGAATGCTCTGTGAGGTCCTCTCTGGCTATAAGGCCCCATTGTTTTAAAGACAGCAACTTACAATAACTTAAAATGTCTGTTTTGCCTGGACCCACCATGGAAAGAATTGAATTAACGTGAAGTGTGTTGCAGTGAGTTCTGTGATGTATAAATTGCTGAGAACAAAGCAAAGCAAGGGCGAGGGGCATCTGTGACTACACTGCAGAAACGGGAGAGGGGCCGGGGCCGTCTTCAGAGGTGGCTGTGCCGTGACAGTGTCTGCAGGCAACAGTGTTGTCGCAGATGGCCATGGGTGATCTGACTATGCTCTCAGCCGCTGGGCCTGCCTGGGCCCCTGTCCTTTCCTCAGCTGGCTCTCCAGCTTTTCCTCAATCCCATGACTGTTGATTATTCAAGGGAGGCTGGTTTCTGTCGTTTCAAAACAGGAATCCAGGCCCACGTCCCTCACCAGGGAGGATTCCCTGACTGCTCACCTGACAGGTGCTGCTGACTGGTGCACAGGGCTGGCACCCCCAACTGTACACTGGGCAGGTACCTCTGGCTGTAGGTAGGGATGGTGCCCCCCCACTGTACACTAGGCAGGTACCTCCGGCTGTAGGTAGGGATGGTGGCCCTCACTAGTACCCCAGGCCAGTTCCCATGACTATGCAGGAGGCTGGGACCCCTGACTGTACACTCAGATGGGACCCCTGACTCTACCCCGGGGACGGAAACCCTGACCGTATGCCAGACAGGTACCCTCTGACTGTAAACTAGGATGGGATCCCTGACTGTACTCCAGGCAGGTACCTCTGTTAACTGACAAATGATGAGGTTCATGAATTTCAGAAGGAGAGTTTTATTTCTCATAGAGTTGCAGCCTGTGCAGTGGCCATTATGACAGGCTGGGAAGTGTAGCCTCCAGCCAGAAGCCACAAACAGGCACCTCAAGGGAGGAGCAAAGGGAAGAGGAATTTATGCTGGTGGCGTGGCTAAATATATATATTCAATTAGCTCTAGGAAAGCCATGAATATTTATTTATACAAGGAGAAACACATGCAACTGAGCTTCAGGCCTCTCCATGGGGAGCATGTTAAAAAAAAAATGGCAGCATTAAGCTGGGCACGGTGGCTCACGTCTGTAATTCCAGCACTTTGGGAGGTCGAGACAGGCAGATCACCTGAGGTCAGGAGTTCAAGACCAGACTGGCCAACATGGCAAAACCCTGTCTCTACTAAAAATACAAAAATTAGCTGGGCATGGTGGTGGCCATCTGTAATTACAGCTACTTGGGAGGCTGAGGCAGGAGAATTGCTTGAACCTAGGAGGCAGAGGTTATAGTGAGCCAAGATTGCACCATTGCACTCCAGCCTGGGTGACAACAAGAAAGAAAAACAGGCCGGGCGCAGTGGCTCACACCTGTAATCCCAGCACTTTGGGAGGCCAAGGCGGGCAGATCACGAGGTCAGGAGTTCAAGACCAGCCTGGCCAACATGGCAAAACCCGTCTCTGCTAAAAATACAAAAATTAGCTGGATGTGGTGGCACGTGCCTGTAATCCCAGCTACTCAGGAGGCTAAGAGAGGAGAATCACTTGAACCAGGGAGTTGGAGGTTGCAGTGAGATGAGATCACGCCACTGCACTCCAGCCTGGTAACAGAGCAAGACTCCATCTCAAACAAAAAAAGAAAGAAAAGAAAAACAAAAAAATGGCAGCATTAGCACCATCCAAGGGTGGAGTGTTTGGCCCTCTGACATCAAAAGGTGAAGCTGAGGGCACGAACCCTCACTGGGCATCTGAGGGCACGAACCCTCACTGGGCATCCCCTGTAGACCATCTAGATCCACTCCACGGCCTCTCGTCGGGCAGGAATGCTGGTCGGTTGCTTGTTGAAAGCACACAAGGGAGGGGCGGAGTCCAGCGGTGGGTGGATATCAGGGAGGAGTCTGTTGAAAAGGCTGGTTTCTGTTTAGCCCTGAGGAAAGAAACAAGGGAAGTTAACGAGGGAGGAGGCATAACAAGTTATGTCCAACCTCCCATCCCATCAGGGCCAGGAACTCGGTTTCCCTGGAGTTCCTCTGGGCTGAGAGGAAGACATCTGTTCAGTCAGTTGGTGGACTTAGTAGTTCATCTTTCTCACCCGTGACTGTACACCCGGCACATACCCCCGACCATATACCAGGCAGGCATCTCTGACTGTACTCCCGGCAGGTACCCCTGACCTAACATGTGACTGGTACATGAGCTGGTACCCTGGCTGGCACACATTCTTTGTAGGTCCAGTCTTACTGACATGCTGAAACAATTAGCTGTGCTTTTATTTCTAGGTTTCAGACCCATCGTAAGGCCATGGTCAATTTCTCTTACTCCCCAAGGGACACAGTCAAGAGAGATTGTTGTCACATAGGGGCCTTCTTTCAATGAATATGTTTGCATCTGAAAGAGGTAACCCACGATTGCCTGCCAGAAATGAGGGAAACAGACCGTGTCCTGAACTGCTTCCCACATACAAATCACCGCTTGTTTCCCAGGACATCTCAGTGCCAACAACTCCCTCGCAGCACATGACTCCCCCGGCATCTTCCGAAGGCTTGTATTTTCTCCACGAGCCATTACCTCTTGAAAAACTTTCACAAAGAAGACGTAAGGGCTTAAGTGGCGTGGAAAGTGGGTTTCACACAATGAGTCTATTTGAAAAGATCTTCAGGGGCTTCCAAATCCCTCTCTCCGGGAGCAGTTTATACTTCACACCGCTCATGGCAACACTGTCTTTAGGTTAATTCAATTCTTTCCATGGTGGGTCCAGGCAAAACAAACATTTTAAGTTATTATAAGTTGCTGTCTTTAAAACAATGGGGACTTATACCCAGACAGGACCTCACGGAGAATTCTTGAGCGCGTATACAGACAAAAATCTCAAACTGGTGTATGTACTTACTGAGATTTCTGAAATAGGAAAAATCTACTCATACCCCTATGAGGAATAAGCCCTCCTCTTGTCCCCATTGCTGGCAGGGCACACTGTCTCGTGTTCTCTTAGGACAATGCTCAGATTTGACGTGTTGTCACTGTGGGGTGGCCTGCAGTGCAGATTCCTAACATGAATGTGATTCATTCAACGCAGAAACTCTAGAGAGCTACAATCTTTGTCCGAAATGGTCTAAAAGTGAAGGTGAATTAAGGCATGGCTCACAGGAATTATTGTCAACTTGACTTGACAAAAGTTGAAAAGGTTGAAAATGGTGCCAGCAGGCACAGGTAAGCCCTCTAAGTCAAATCATCTTTTTCCCGTCAGTGCTTTCATGTTGTGTGTGACGAGTGAAAAACGTGATATTCATTCCTGCTTCAAAAACTTATAAGGGACTGGCTCTGGCAATAGAAAGCTGGCAGAAATCATAGATTTCAGGAATAAATGTAAACATCTGTCCAAGACATCCCATCTTCTATATGGACGAGTTAAAGCACATCCAGAAATTTATACCATTTTTTGTATTAGTATATGAAAGAAATGCAATTAAAAGCTAAAAATAAGAAAACATCTACTATTAAAACACAAAGACATTTACAAAGACAGCTGCACCTGTCACAGCATAGGGTAAGCGTGGGTCTTAAGCTCACCTGTCCATTGTCAGCAATTTATTGGGACCTTATTGTAAACAAGAAATGGGTTAAACAGTAAAGGTGCCAGACAGGTCATGAAACACCTGATCTCCATCTTCAAGCAGCTTATGCTATAGTTGACTGTCAGGAATCAGGAAAAACGCACTTGTTCTTGTTACCCAAGACGAGCGATTTAGCAGCCTTCTAAATAGCTTTGTAGAAGTCAGATGTTTTATTCTACCTTATAAACTGTGAGTCCAAGGCTGGGTGCAGTGGCTCACACCTGTAATCCCAGCACTTTGGGAGGCCAAGGAGGGCGGATCACCTGAGGTCAGGAGTTCAAGACCAGCCTGGCCAATATGACAAAACTCCGTCTCTACTAAATATCCAAAAATTAGCTGGTTGTGGTGGTGGGCGCCTGTAGTCTCAGCTACTCAGGAGGCTGAGGCAGGAGAATCACTGGAACCCAAGAGGCGGAGGTTGCAGTGAGCCAAGATCACACTACTGCACTCCAGCCTGGGCAACAGACCGAGACTCCGTCTCAAGAAAAATAAAAAATAAAATAAACTGCAAGTCCAACACTCTTGTTTGGCCGTTCAATTCGGGCTGCATAGATGCTGTAAAAGTATAGACAGTTCCCACTTCAATCCTTCTCTACTTTCCTTTAACATCAACACCATTTAGCCAGAATGACAAGTAGTCGGAATGCCAGAGAGCAGAAACAACACCCCGGTGCTTGCCCTCATTCCTCTGGATGAGTGATGCTCACCAATGTGGGCTGCTCTTCTTCCCCAGACAGGGTCTGTGCTTCTCCCCTAAGCCCCGGTGCCCTCATGCAATCCAGTCCCTCCCTGGAGTTCTTTGCTCCGTGTCTGTCTCCACGCCAGGCCTCTATGAGGATGAGCTGTGGTTACTCAACCAGGATCTCGAGGCCCCAGCTCAGTGTCCAATACACGTCAGCATTCAAAATCATACTACTGAATGAATGAGTGAACAGATGGTACATCAACCTATTTGCTATTTTTCTTCACAAGGGCATTGCATAGAGCTCTTCGGTTCAAGATTTAGCCATTGTCATATACCCACTGCTGGTGAACTTGAAGGCATCACTTTCCTCCACTCTTGTACCAGCCTGCCAGTGACTGAACTTGGTGCAGGATGGGTCACTGCCATATCAGAGATGCCAGCTGGCCTCCCCTGTCTACCTGGTCATCACACAGGGCAGGAGGAATCCGTCAGCGTCTGGTGCCACGTGCCTCTCATTAGAAGGCTGAGCCCATCTACTGCCCAGACACTGCTGCCTTTTTTCACGACTTCCTTTAAAACAAATGAATTCCTATGATGTGTCTGGCATCATGCTGGGTGCTGCAGCGATTACAGAGGGAAAAAAGATATACTTCCAGTCCTCAAGGAGTTTGCGGTCCAGTAGGGGGATAACCACATCTAGATCATGTAAACCAAAAGTAAAATCCTAAGGCCCTCCCCCACCTCCACCCAACCATCTAAACGGACTTCCTCCTCAGCCAGGGCAGTGTTAAAATTTAACCTGAAAGCCTGGTTCAGGCCATGAAGGACGTGGGGATCGGACATGCCTGATTATGTTTACCTCTCCAGCATTAACGTCAACACAGACCTTAAGAAACATTTCACAGCGTGTTCTCCCTGAAGCCTGACAGCTAGAAGCTTCATCTGCATGAATAAACTTTGGTCTTTGCAGTGTCTTATCGCAGCCCAAACATTCCTTTCTATTGATCCCAGGTCTTTAGACAAACTCAACCAATTGTCAACCAGAAAATGTTTAAATTCACCTATAGCCTGGAAGCCCCCTACTCTGAGTTGCCTCACCTTTCTGAACCAAACCAATGTCTTTCTTAAATGTACTTGATTGATGTCTCATGCCTCTCTAAAATGTATAAAGCCAAGCTGCATCCCGACCACCTTGGGAACATGTTCTCAGGACTTCCTGAGGCTGTGTCACGGGTGTGCGTTCTCAACCTTGGCAAAATAAAGTTTCTAAATTAACTGAGACCTGTCTTAGATTTTCTGGGTCTACAACCCTGCTGTACCAGCAGAGTCAGGGGACAGCCAGAGAAAGAGGTTCAGGGGGACGAAGCACCCCCAGCAGGGCCAAGTCACCTTCTACAGCTCGACTCGCTCAGCCATCCAAGACCACTTGGCTTTTTTTTTTTTTTTCCTGCACAAGCTGTGCTTTGAAGTGTGTGGGGTCTTAAAAATCCTGCCCATTCTATTTTGATCAGGCTTCTGTCATCTGCATTGCCATCCTGGGACAAGTTGTCAGTCACTGTCTCCCTGAAATGCACGTGGAGATGCACAGGCTAATCTAGGGACAGCTGGATACATGACTAATATTACCGAGGAGCTAACGAGAGCCTGTGACGTTGAGATGCTGAGGAGATGGACTGGTCGTAAGCGTTCCCCAGGTTTATAGCCTTCTTTTCAGCACCCCTCATGCCTTCCTGTGGTTGTCAGCATCCCGGATTATCCTGATCATGGGGCAAAGAGAATGGGGGCTTTCCCCAGGGCCTTGAAGTGGCAGCTGGACCCACATTGCAGGAGGTCTCACCCTGCACCAGCAGCCCCACCCTAGCCCCAGCCACAACACTCTTGGCCCCCAGCTGTATCCTGAATTTGCAGCAAGCAGGAAGCTCAACACAAGGGGAGAAGAGCCTGTGGGTTCTTTAGAATGCAGACTACCAGGCCCACCCTCAGAGATTCTGATCCATTTGGTCCAGGCTGGGGCCCAGGCATCACCATTTTTAACACTCCCCGGCAGATACTCACAGGCACCCAGAGTCCGGCAGGAGTCCCTGCTCTACTGAAGGACTTTCTAAACGGGGGACTCGGAGCCCCAGACAGTTTCCTCCTCCTGGGCTCTGCTTTTACCGGGCTCTGGAGCACGTTCCTACAAACATCTTTACTCAAAACACTGACTTTTTCTGAAATGTTTGAAATAATTTAGCTTATTTCACAGGAGAAGCCACTATTTCTTTTCCAAAACAATTTAGTAAAATGGCTGTTTTTCATACCCACCAATTTCTAAGGTGAAATTTTGTGTAAAATAGACACACACGCTAGTCATGTAACACCAGCCAAGGTTGTTTGTGTGCCTAGTGACATTCTCAGCATCTGTGAAGCAACGAGTGTGCGCGTGCTCTTCCCAGGCGTGGGCTCCGCCGCACGTGGTGGAAGGAACTCTGCTCCACATTGAGGAGCCTGGTTTGGACACCAACAGGCTAAGCTCCCACATACCCCAAAAACACCTGGCCCAGGGATCAGCCCTTCCAATTCTACAACGAGGTAAGTCACGGACCAGCACAGCCTCGGGGGCAGGTCCAAGACAACGGCTGTGCCTTCCGTGGCAGGAGCTTTCGGAACAGAGAGCACGTCATCCCTGGTACCAACCAAATTGTATCTTCTCTCCCCAAATTCATACATTGACACCCTAGCCCCCAGTGTGTCTGGGTTTGTAGTAAGGAGGTCATTAAGGTTAAATGGTGCCCTGAGGGTGGAGCCCTCATGATAAGATGAGGCCCTCATGAGAAGAAATGGGAGAAGCTCTCCTCCTTTCTCTGCCATGTGAGGACACAGTGAGAAGGCGGCCATCTGCAAGCCAGGAGGAGGGCCCTGGGTCTTATGCTGCCAGGCTCCAGCTCTGTGAGCAAGTTCACTTCTGTTGTATAAGCCCCCGCTGTGTGGTTTTCGTTATGGCAGGCAGAGCACACTAAGACGCACCTTGGCCATGCTCTTCTCTCCCTAGCAATGCTTCTCTTTTGCTGTGTAGTGAAGGTCAGCCATTGTTCAGGTAATTAATGCTCTCCCGGGTCTGGCCCCAGTAACTTTCTGGTGTTATCACCACAACCCCATCTTCAAAACCCAACGTCAGGCCAAGCTGACCCACACTGTGGATCGATTCATGGATGGACCCAGATGCATGGGAAGTCCTGGGTACATTTCATGCCTTTTCCAGCAATGCAGAGGGGCCAGAGGGGTGCAGCCACACACAGGGGGCCCTCAGCTCCTGGAGTGCTAGCACTTAGCCCACAGGCTGCTCACTCCCCAGAGCGCGCTCTCTCTGCTCTCTTCTTTAGGTGAATGGTGCCGGCAGAAAGTTGTGTATACGTGCCATAGGTTCCTAATGAGAAGGGTCTTGGACATCACTCTCTCCTCTGTGGAGTTCAGGTTTCCATTAGAGTTGTACATTGCTCTCTAGGTCCCTGAAGTCTTCAATCGTTTTTTGTTTCATTTCATTATCCAGCCTTTATTGAAAGGATGCTGTCCAGGATGCCAGGTCCAGGCTTGGGAGAGGCAGAGCGAGTCCCTGTCTCTTGGAACCTGGGGCCCAATGGTCAATACAGTAATGAAATAAATGCAGTTGGACAAGCCAAGTGGAATAACCTTTAGAAAGAAGGCTTTTCCGTCTTCCTAAGGTTTTATCCAAAGCAAGCCGTGATGCCGGTGTGATCGTAGTCATGGCGGCAGTTCTGAAGCACACACAGATCTACCTTATCTTCCAAGGGCTGTTCCTGAAAGGCTGGCAAAGCCAACTTTCCCCATTGTACTTGAAAGCTCCTTGCAATGAGATCTGAGCTGCGGAAGTCACAGTGCAGAGGCAGGTGCTGTTGAAGGCTGTGAAACCTGAGTCATTTGAAGAAGGAGACGCGGGGAGAAGTGTCCCAGTTCAACCTCGGTGGATGGGAACTGGGTTTGAAGAGAACACCAGCCATGGCTCCAGGTGGGCCAATCACCGAGGAGACACACACGAGCCCTGTGTGCCACTGGGCATGAAAGTTTTCATCTTTTCCTGAAAACAATTGCTGGAGGTGAGCGCTGGTTCCTTCAGCTCTGAACTCCTCTTTTTCTGCCTTGTCTTTACTTCTTTGGTACAGCATTACTTGTCAGATGCAGGCAGGAAGAATAGACATTTAGACACACTTCACACTCGGCTGTGAGCCTGGCGCTCCTCCTAAACATGCTATTCAAAGTGCTTGGCTGCCTGTCTCTGGCCCACACCTGCCAGCGTTGACAAGTGCCACTGAGTTCATGTCAACTCAGGCGCTTGTCAGAGGGAATCTAGACCAGGCTGGGGCTGAGACAGGTGGGCGATCCTCATCCCACTGCCTCCCACTAAGACATAACATTGTGTGGAACAAGGAAGGACTGGTTCAAAGCCACAGAGCTGGTTACAGGCAAAGCCGGAAGCAGAACCTCTAACTTCAGGCTCACGTCAAAAATGCCCATAGAGTGCATTTTTTTCTGTTAAGATTTTAGAACTTTTTTCATTGAATTTAATCATTTCTGATATATTTGGGCTTATGCCTACCATTTTACTATTTGTTTTCCATTTGTCCACTATGTTCTGTACCATTTTTTCTCCTTTTTGCCTTCTTTAGGATTTTCAAGTATTTCTTATGACCATTTTGATAGACAGATAGATGATAGATAGATAGATTAGATAGATAGATAGATAGATAGATAGATAGATAGATAGATGATAGATAAATAGATAGATGCATGGATGGATGGATGGATGGGATAGATAGATAGGTAGATAGATGATAGATAGATAGATAGATAGATAGATAGATAGATAGATAATGGAAGGATGAGAGAGAGATGCACGGATGGATGGGATAGATAGATAGATGCATAGATGGATGAGTGGATGGGTGGATGGATGGATGAGATGGATGACTAGATAGATGAATGGATGAGATAGATGATAGATAGATAGATAGATAGATAAAGAGAGAGATAGATAAGACAGATAGGATAGATGGCTAGATAGATGAATGGACGAGGTAGATGATAGATAGATAGGATAGATGGCTAGATAGATGAATGGATGAGATAGATGACAGATTAGATAGATAGATGATAGATAGATAGATAGATAGATAGATAGATAGATAGATAAGTAGATGAATGAGATAGATGGCTAGATAGATAGATGAATGGATGAGATAAATGATAGATAGATAGATAGATAGATAGACAGATGATAGATGATAGATAGATAGATAGATGATAGATGATAGATAGATAGATAGATAAGTAGATGAATGAGATAGATGGCTAGATAGATAGATGAATGGATGAGATAAATGATAGATAGATAGATAGATAGATGACAGATGATAGATGATAGATAGATAGATAGATAGATAGGTAAGTAGATGAATGAGATAGATGGCTAGATAGATGAATGGATGAGATAAATGATAGATAGATAGATAGACAGATGATGATAGATAGATAGATAAGTAAGATGGATGAGATAGATGGCTAGATAGATAGATGAATGGATGAGATAAATGATAGATAGATAGATAGATAGATAGACAGATGATAGATGATAGATAGATAGATAGATAGGTAAGTAGATGGATGAGATAGATGGCTAGATAGATAGATGAATGGATGAGATAAATGATAGATAGATGATAGATAGACAGATGATAGATGATAGATAGACAGATGATAGATGATAGATAGACAGATGATAGATGATAGATAGACAGATGATAGATGATAGATAGACAGATGATGATAGATAGATTAGATGATAGATAGACAGATGATAGATGATAGATAGACAGATGATAGATGATAGATAGATTAGATGATAGATAGACAGATGATAGATGATAGATAAACAGATGATAGATGATAGATAGACAGATGATAGATGATAGATAGATAGATGATAGATAGACAGATGATAGATGATAGATAGATTAGATGATAGATAGACAGATGATAGATGATAGATAGACAGATGATAGATAGACAGATGATAGATGATAGATAGATAGATGATAAATAGACAGATGATAGGTGACAGATAGATAGATGATAGATAGACAGACAGATGATAGATAGACAGATGATAGATGATAGATAGACAGATGATAGATGATAGATAGATAGATTAGATGATAGATAGACAGATGTCTTCTATTGATCCTGCCTCTCTGGAGAGCCCTGCCTAAGACAGCCACCTTGTCACCAGTTTCCTGTTTGTGCTGTCTCCTGTCTCTGGCCTGCACCTGCCAGTGCTGGCGAGTGCCACTGTGTTCACAGCAACTTGGGTGCTTCTCAGTGGGAAGCACTGGCCCCACCGGCTAACGCTTTTGCCATTGCCCGTGAGTCTGTAAACACGCAATTGTACTTTCAGCCAACCCTACTTTCGTGTGAAGCATTTCGTGGCATTCTGCCCCCAGGAGGATTTTCCTTCTGCATTGTCTTTGAGGGTCACCTGCTGGGTGGCAGTACCTTGGCCCCCACTTCTCACTTGTGTAGCCTACAGCCAGACCCTCTGCTAACTGGGCCTGCCCTCCCCTTCTCCATTTGCTGGCCAGAGAAACCCCTGTGGCCACAGGTGTGGTGGAGGGAGGGCTAGTGAAGGAGCGGGACAGCTTCTCTTAAGTCTGAGCTATGTGTCTTCCAGGTGAATCAGGCCAGCTCTCCCATGTGAAAACTTCCACTCTACAATGGAATTCTGTTGCACGTATCCAAGTTTATGGTTCAGGTCTCATGATCACTTGGTGATCTCCTCTGTTTGGGGTTGCAGCACTCCCTTTGCTATAAAACGTGTCCCCGTTGGAGATGATGGGATGTGAACACCACAGTGACTGGTGAGTGAGCTGTTCTGCAAATCCCAGAACAGCAGTGCCAGCAGAGGTGCGGAGGCCAGGGAGGACACATCGATTTGTCCCTGTGAGGATGAAGGGCTGTCCCCTCCACAGTGGGAGGGGCTCAGCATAATTAATCTGCCACCAGGTCATCGGTTTGTCCCACCAGGGAAACGCTGGTGACTCAGCGTTTGTCCAAGACCTGGCACTCAGTGGGTTTGGCAGGCAGAGCGGCTGTAGTGAACTCAAGCACAGCCTCCGACATTCCACACATGCAAACTGCTTGGGGTCTTCATTATTTTAAAAATTTTTTTTTAATTTTTTTTGAGACAGAGTCTCACTCTGTCACTTAGGCTGGAGTGCAGTGGTGTGATCATAGCTCACTGCAGCCTCAAACTCCTGGGATCAAGTAATCCTCCTGCCTTGGTCTCCCAAAGTGCTGGGATTATAGGTGTGACCCACCACCCCGGCCTGGTTTTCCTTATTGATTGGAAAAGAAAAGAAGATATTTTCTAGGCAATAGCTACATATCAGGTCCTGGGGCTGATTCCTTCCGGTAAAGATACCACATCTAGAGCCACAGGTGGGTTCCAGCGTCACCATGTGATCACATCTGTGAAGAAAGAGCCACTGTCACACTCTAAGATCCACCTGACTTTTGCACCAACTAAAAAGGGGTGCTACCTGGGCTTATGGTGTAAATCCCCACCCCAGCGTTTCTCAGGCCTTTGCTGCTGCCCCAGCGTTTTGCAGTTTCCCCTGGGGTGCAGTGTAGGACTTGGTTAACTGCTTTGGCAGAGGTGTGATGTGGAGGGCAGATCCAGGGCTTCCACCACAGGCTGGATGTTTCTGCCCCCTACTTACACATATATGTTGAATTTTCTTCCTTACATACATATCTCTTAGGAGGCTACCCACCTAATTCATTTTGTAACCCTGTGACCAGCTAGCCACTGCCACAGATCCCCACCAAACAGTGGGACCACCAGCCCTTCCCATTTTGATGGGGAAGTTGCACCCCCTTGTCTCTGATTGGCTTCTACTACACCAGGATTCTTCTTAGAAAGGCAGAGAACCCCCAGCCCTCCTGCAGACTGTCACTGTCTGAGCCCAGGCTTCGATGTGCCAGCCTAGCAGACTGTCAGCAGGTGCCACTCCAGAGGCTCCAGTCAACACACCTAACCATTGGTTCTCAGCCCTGGCTGCTCATTAGATTCACGTGGGGGTTGTTTAGCAATCCCAACGCCCAGCCTGGCATGGTGGCTCACACCTGTAATCCCAGCACTTTGGGAGGCTGAGGACGGTGGATCACCTGAGGTCAGGAGTTCGAGACCAGCCTGCCCAACATGGTGAAACCCTGCCTCTACTAAAAATACAAAAATTAGTCAGGTGTGGTGGCATGCGCCTGTGATCCCAGCTACTAGGGAGGCTGAGGCAGGAGAATCACTTGAACCCAGGAGGTGGAGTTAGCAGTGAGCCAAGATCGTGCCACTGCACTCCAGCCTGGGCAACAGAGCAAGACTCCATCTCAAAAAAAAAAAAAAAAGAAAAGAATCCTGATGCCGAAGCCCTGTCCCAGAAAACGGAATCAGAAGCGCTGGGGGTGGGACTGAGGCATCTATAGCTTATGCAGCTCTGCAGGGGGCTCCACTGAGAGGTAAGGCCCAGCCCCGTCATCCTGTCCTGCGTCCCGGTGGCTGCCCCATGTCTCAGGATTGGCCTCATGGAGCTTGCGCATGTGCTTCTCTGGTTCCTGCCGACACAAGTGAGAAGGCCTCAAACCCTTTCCATGGATGGGAGGCCGCCTGCCCCAGGGGGTCCGTCAGGGCTGTGTTGCAGCCTGACTCCTCCCGGCTACTCAACACCTGGTCCCAAGCGGCCCTGGGGAGCTGGTTGGTGTGCAGGACCTCTGGCCCCACCCTGCCCCAGGCCTAGTTCATGGGAATCTGCATTTCAATGGAACACCCTGCGGTCGTAGAGACTGGGGTGCAGGTTATAGTCTGAGAAGGGAGGCGCTGGTCTCACTCTCACTGTGGGACTGGTGGGAGGAAGGTGGTTGGGGATGGTAGAGGGAGATGAGGATCTGGATGGCATGAGCCAGTGAGGTCATGGCCTGTCCAGTCATTGAAAGTTGCCATGCAGAGGAGGCCTGGTGTCCTCAGACAAAGCAGCGAGGCTGCCTTGGGGGCAAAGGAGGCTCCGGACTTGGGAGTTCGAAATCTTCAGCACACATGCTCCAGTGCCTTCACCCCGTGTCTCAGGGTCCCACTTCACCCACCGGTGCCCTTCTCTCCAAGCGAGGTTCTCCACCCCACACCGGGACCACTGGGCCAGGTCATTCTTTGCTGTGGGGCCGTCCTGTGCACTGTAGGGTACTTAGCACCGTCCTCCATCTCTGCCCACCAGACACCAGCCGTATCCCTCCAGCTGCGACAGCCCAAATACCTCCAGATACTGTCAAAAGTCCCCTGGGGTGACATCATCCTATTGAGAACTCTGTCACGCAGCCTGAGACCTGGCCACATGTGGAGTGTTCACCATCTGCCCAAACAAGCAGAGCCAAGGGCTGGCCTTTGCGGCACCTTCTCTGGGACTGCAGGTGACACGGGCTCCTTCAGAGCTGCCCCTCTGGTTCTTGACTGCAGGTCCGGCCATTGCAAGTTTTCCTTTTCCTGTGTGGGTAAGGAGAAGCCAGAAGACCCAAACTCTCTTCAATCACAACCATTGCCATAGCAACTCCGGCTTCTCTCCCAGCACCTCAGCCTCCCCTGCACGCCATTCCACACTGACACCAGCAATGATCTGAGTCACGGAGAGGCTGCCGTGCCCCTGTGTACCCACGGCCCATTTCCCCCTGGCAAGGAAGTTATTCCATCTCCTCCAATATGTGACCAACCTCATCCCTGACTCCACCTGGAGGGTCTGCCTTCTGGGCCACTCCTGTGCCAACTACCTGGAAGTTTCCAACAGAAAACGCATCTAGAATGAGGGTAATTGCTGGGGGGAGGGGCATTTGGAAAAGGACCATTATAAAGGTCTGGACAGGGTCCCGGTGAAGCCTAAGGGATGGTGTGGTGACCTGGGGCTAGTCACAGTGGCACTGTTACCACCCTGCCTGAAAGGGGTGTCTGGAGTGGCCACCAGGACCTGAAAGAAGGCTGTCACATGTGGGAGGCTGCCCCAGGCAGAGCCGTGACCTGAAGCAAGGGAGAGGTAACTTCGGCCAGCCAGAGGCAACTTCCCAGGGACTGAGGGCCTGACCTCTCCATCCACCCTCCAAGCCCCAGCCAGAGCTCGCCATCAGCTGAACCCAACCAGAAGCCAGAGATCAGGGGCCTGTGTTGTGTCCACACTGGTGAGCCCAGGACCGGTGAAGTGGAGGAGTTGAGAGCCAACCTGGAGGGGCTGGCCCTGTGCACAGTGCTGCAGCCTGCAGGCCTTCCTGACGTCTAACCCCATTACCGGCAGCTTCGACCGCAGTTCTTCCTTCTGCTGGGGCGCTCTGCTTACCTGTTCAAGGCTGCTGCCTTCTCAAGCAGGCTCAGGTCAGAAGCCGCCTCCCTGGAGGCTTTCCTGACCCTTTACCACCAGCAGTGACTCCCATCCCCTAGCAGGGAAGCCTCATACAGGTAGGAGCCTTGTGCTCCTAACATCAGAAATGGTGCCAGTCATAAAATAAGTGCTCGACAGGTGTGTGTCTGCCTGCCTGCTGACTTCTGTGACTGAATGTATTGACATTTACCTGACCCAAACCTGCATCATCATGTAATAATTCATCCACCCAGATTTGTATGCCTCCATGCATCTATCCAAGCATACGCATATATACATACATATATACATAGGTCTAAGCACTCATGCACACATCTATCCATCCATCATCCTCCTATTCCTCCATCCATTGTCCATCTGCTCACCCACCCACCCGTGCATCTGTCCAAGCACACACGTACATCCATATATACCCAGATCTAAGCATTCATGCATACATCCATCCATCATCCTTCTCTCCATCTGTCCATTGTCCATCTATTCATCCACCCACCCACACATCAATCCAAGCATAGACATATACACAGATCTAACCACGTATACACACATCCATTCATCCATCATCTTTCTCTCCATCCATCCATTGTCCATCTTTTCATCCACCCACCTATGCATCCATCCAAGCATAGACATATACACAGATCTAACCACGTATGCACACATCCATCCATCCATCATCCTTCTATCCATCCATTGTCCATCTATTCATCCACCCACCCATGCATCCATCCAAGCATAGACATATACACAGATCTAACCACGTATACACATATCCATCCATCATCCTTCTCTCCATCCATTGTCCATCTATTCATCCACCCACCTATGCATCCATCCAAGCATAGACATATACACAGATCTAACCACGTATGCACACATCCATCCATCCATCATCCTTCTCTCCATCCATCCATTGTCCATCTGTTCATCCACCCACCCATGCATCCATCCAAGCACACATATATACACAGATCTAAGCACTCATGCACACATCCATCCACCCATCATTCTTCTCTCCATCCATCCATTGTCCATCTTTTCATCCACCCACCCATGCATCAATCCAAGCATAGACATATACACAGATCTAAGCATTCATGCACACATCCATCCATCATCCTTCTATCCATCCATTGTCCATCTATTCATCCACCCACCCATGCATCAATCCAAGCATAGACATATATACAGATCTAAGCATTTATGCACACATCCATCCATCATCCTTCTATCCATCCATTGTCCATCTTTTCATCCACCCACCTATGCATCCATCCAAGCATAGACGTATACACAGATCTAACCACGTATGCACACATCCATCCATCCATCATCCTTCTCTCCATCCATCCATTGTCCATCTATTCATCCACCCACCCATGCATCCATCCAAGCACACATATATGCACAGATCTTAGCATTTGTGCACACATCCGTCCACATGTGCATCTATCCAAGCAAACAAATATACATATATGCTGATCTAAGCATACATATATACAGAGTTAAGTATTCATATACACATCCATTCATCATCCTTCTCTCCATCCATCTGTTGTTCATCTATTCATTCACCCACGCACGCATTCACCCAAGCACAAATATATACATCCCTATATACACAGATCTAAGCATTCATGCACACATCCATCTCTCCATCCATCCATTGTCCATCTATTTGTTCCCCCACCCATGCATCCACCCAAGCTACATATATACATTCATATATGCACAGATCTAAGCATTCATGCACACATCTATGCATGCGTCCATCCATTTGAGCACCTATCCACCTATCCATCACTCATGCATCCATGAGTCGTTCATCCATGAGTCCATCAATCCATTAACCTGCCCATTTAAGATAAATTAATAAGTTCTCCTATTTCTTTCAGCACCAGCATCCTCCCATCAGATGCCTGTGGCTTGTAACATTAACCTCTTCTTCAACTTCTCCCTGGCTTCTTCTCCCAGAGGCTCATGCAGAAACACAGAGTGGCACTGAGCTGCAAATGCTGAGACTGAGAAAGCCTTGCCTCCTGTTGAGGTCTGCGCAGATCGCCTCCTCACCCAGGGCAAAACAGCTCCTTGGTCAGAGGGGCCGAGGGGAGCATCCTCACATCATCCCCTGGGGCGGGCAGGCAGGGCAACCCTCACTGGCCACAGCAGTGTTTCTTATTTGCCCCTCAGTTAAAGCACAGATTAGAACACAGGGAACCTTAGTGCATATTCCCTGGTTTTCATTTTGTTTATTTAAAGACAGTTCTTTTCCTTCCTCCGTGAGGCAGCTAAGTAGATTTAACAGTGATTCATTAAAGCTCTGTCTGCAGATCATCAAATCAGTCAGTGGAAAGGTTTACATTGAGTCAAATCACTAGATATTTCCTCCACATAGTGATAAATTCCCAACGGTGAGTAGCTTTTCCACTGAAGCAAATGGTTGTTTTCATGTTCTGTAACACTAATACTGTAACAATGTACTATTGTGTAATATATTAATTACAGCCTGCAAGCATCATAACTCAGCTGAAGAAGCCTTGCGTAATTTTCCAAAGACGTTTTTGCCTTTTCAGTTTTGTGCCATTTCATACACCGTTGTCTTTTCTTTTCTAAAGCACAAGGCCAGCGTATTAAACCAACCTGTCAAGAAGGACAAATAATGGCATTTATTGTGAGCATGGGTTGGTATCATTTTTTACCATGCAGCCCATGCACATAATTACATCAGGCCCATGTGCCTGATCACAGCATCTCTTAAAAGGATCAATCTAAGTTGCAAAATAAGACAAAGGAATATTTCTAAAGTATTAAAGGACTATGCATTTTCTTAAGCCACAATTATGAGATTTTCAAGGAGTAAGCCTCGGAGGCTGTATGTGTTTTGTAGGTGGGATTAGTTTAATCAGCCTCAGCCAGAATAAGACACTCGTGTCCAGTTCCCACTGGTGCTAAACCAGCTCGTGCATGGTATTCCACAGCACACACACGGGCACACACAGACATATACACATGCACACACACTTACACATGCACACGCATGCACACACACAAATATACACATGCACACATGCACGAACACACATGCACACACACACGCACACACTCGCAGACACATACACACACATACACACGCACACAGAGACACATACACACATGGACACACGCACGCACATACATGCACACACACGCAGACACATACGCATGCACATGCGCGCATATACACGCATGCACACACACATGCACACACACACACACGCGTGTGCACACACACGAGGAAAGCTGACTCCAGTGACCCACACCTCCTTCTCAGAAGTACCACAGCGCTGAGCTCTGATCTCACTTGCGAATTCTGATAAGAAGCGACATATCCTAGATGGGAAGGGGGCGTGTGACCATGAGGCGACGTAGCGTCTGCGCTGCATGGGAGAGGCGAAGGGAACGCAAGAGGCAGACGGTTTCTTCACCCTTCAGCAATCGGCAAAGGACAGCTCGGGTGTCAACAGACAACTGGTGCTGAGGGTCACATAGCACGAGGACGTCACATGTTCCCTGATGGATCGTGCTGGGCAACTTTTGACCAAAATACCCAGGCCAGCTCCGCTGACTCTCAAGCCTCAGACAGGGGGGCTCCTGGCTACAGCTGCAGCTGACAGTGCAGGACAACCCCAGCCAATAGGGCAGCCTGCCCCCACGCTCACCCGCCCAGCCCCATTGCAGGAGGACAAAGCCAACAGGAAGAGCCTCAGCGCTACCCCAGAGGGAACCCTGTTCCAGGAGCTGACCCGGCACCCAATACTTTAATAATGCACCAGTGTTACCGGCTGGACTTCTGGGGGCCCTAACCAGGCTCCCTCAGTCTGGCTTGGGGACTTTTCAAAGAGGCAGTCACTTTGGACGACAGGCAGAACAAGGTGCCTTTCAACATTGTGCTTGCGAGTTCCGTTTTAACCCTGGGCTTCTCGTCAGGAGGCTCACAGCTTAACTCAAAATTAACGCATGGTCTTCTTCCAGCCCATGGAGGGTCTCTGTTCTTTTCACGCCCTCTCTGGGTTAAAGATTCTCTGGCTTGTCTGACAGCCCCTTCCAGTGTCTTTATATGTTTTCTCACAGCCTTTGCTGGCTTGTGGAGCTGGGCACACTCCTCGCCTCCCACACGTGAAAACATCCTTCCTATCATCTGAGCCTCGAAGCAGACCCGCGGCGTGCAGCCTGGGCTGAGAGGAGGAAATGAGCAGCTCTCCGGGCCCCTTATGGAACATTCTGCAGAGGAGTGGCTCAATTGTCCATGAATTTCATGGCTGAAGTTTAGCTCCTCAAACACTGCTGGGGCTCAGCCTCCTGGTCGGGGAGGAGGGACTGTTCTGCAGCCACGGCCTTGGAGCCGGGAACAGGGTCCCACCCGGACTCCCTAAATGGAAGCAGTCACATCCGATGTGCCCCTCCCCCACCCTCCCTCGCCGCCACATTCAGGTGGCTAGGTCCTGTGCGCCCATCCCCCGGCTGGCTGGCTCTCCAAACTTCCATGCACATGAACGTTGGAACCACACAATTCAGCACCGCATGGCAGGTGGCTTGGTCAGCTTCTTCACTGCTGGGGGGGAGGTAACACATGAGCAAGAGGAGGCTGGGGTGGTCCATGTGGCAATGGATTAGAATTGAAGGGACCAATAGGAGCTCACATCTGACTTAATATACACACAGAGGCTGGGCACAGCGGCTCACACCTGTAATCTCAGCACTTTGGGAGGCTGAGGTGGGCGGATCATGAGGTCAGGAGTTCGAGACCAGCCTGACCAACATGGTGAAACCCCCGTCTCTTCTAAAAATACAAAAATTAGCCTGGCGTGGTGGCATGCGCCTGTAATCCCAGCTACTCAGGAGGCTGAGGCAGGAGAATTTCTTGAGTCGGGGACGCAGAGGTGGCAGTGAGCCGAGATTGTGCCACTGCAGTCTAGCCTGGGCGACAGAGCGAGACTCCGTCTCAAAAAATAATATATACATACACACACAGAGTGTGTATATATATATATACATACATACACACACACACACACGGAGGCCATATGTGGAATTGGTTATGGATATGTGTACATACCCATGTCAGTGTACACGCAATGCTTTCTTGCTCTGTCAGCCGAGAGGGCCTAGAAGCAGGGACACCCAGTAGCAACAAGCACACCTAGCACCCAGGCCTTGGTTTCTAATACCCTCTCCAGGAATAGGAACCTGGGCTCCTTGGAGAAATGGCTGATTCTACAATTGGGGCAGGAAATATACAAGATGAGCCTGGAATGCCCTGTAAGTGCCAGAATAAAAAGAAGTGCTCAAAAACACAGGAAGGAAAACAGGCTCACTTATGGGGTGTGTCACAGGGCCACAGGATCCAACCGAAGGAGCTCCCAATGGCCAATGCTGGAACACTGGGAGCAACATTTAGTAAAGTTGTATGGAATTGTAGCCCACAGTATGAGTCCATACAGAATAAACAAAAATGGTGGAAGAGACAAATACGTGGGGGAGAAGAAACAAATGTCCCATGCCAGATTCCAAATGACGTGGGCAGACGCCCCCTCGAGGAGGTGCTGTGGACCCCCCACCCTAAGCGTGGGCTGTGCACAGTGACTCCCTTCCAGAGCACACGGCCTGGAGATAGGGAGAGAGAGGGTGACCTTACAGTGGGGAAGCCTGACTCACAGCACCTCAGCCAGGTGGCCAAGGTCAACGTCAACAGGAAGGACTCCTTTGGAAGTGTGTGCCTTTGACATGATTTGGCCACAATCGCCCTGCTCCTTTGTGGTCTTCCCCCTCAAACACCCTTAACCCCAGTCTAATCAGGAGAAAAACATCAGGAAGATACTAACTAAGGGACAGTCTACAAGGTACCTGACTAGGCTTCCTCAACACTGTCAAGATCATCAAAAGCAAGGAAAGGCCAGGAAATCGCTACAGCCAAAGGGAGCTGAGGACACAGAACGACTAAATGTCATGTGGGGTCCTGGATGGGATCCTGGGACAGAGAAAGGACATGTTTAACAAAAAGGAAATCTGAATAAACATGGACTTCAGTTAATAATAAAGTATCAGTATTGGTTCATTTATTTTAACAAGTGTAACTTCCTGAAGGAAGGTGGTAAAACTGGGGTAGGGTCTATGGGAACTCCATGCACTATCCTTGCAAGTTTTCTGTAGATCTAAAATAGTTCTAAAATAAAAATTTGATTTTAAAAATATAATTAGTGAATTAAACCTGCCACTCCTGGGTATTACTGCTTAGAGGGGACCCCACCATAGCACTCAGGGCACCCAGTCCCCCCACTGAAATGGCTCACCGGGGGCCCAGCTCTGCCCTCAGGGTTCTCTCCAGAACATTTCTCATGAAGTTTTCGGGAAGTTACTCTCTTTCTACCAAGGTTATGAGGCTGGTAGGGTGTGAGCTCTGGGCAGCCAGCCAACCCTGATACTGGCCATACGGGAGGGGAAGGCCTTTGGGGGAGGGGAGGGGAGAGAGGGAAATTGAGTCCCTGATTCTACTTGGCGTCTAAAGCCAGATCAATCTCTGGACTATTTAGTTATGAGTCAAAACATAGCCTTTGCTTAAGTTTATTTGACCTGAGCTTCCTTCTTCTGTAGCTGAAAGCATTCTCACACACCTGAGATACGAGCAAGATTTGCTAGTCCTGTGTTTTAGACAGGAAAAGAAAAAAGCTTTGGAGAGCCATGTATGGTGTCATCCAATAATGAACTGAAATTTGTATTGGGCACCTCATCAGTGAAAAGCTCAAATCTGTTTGTTTCTGAAGCACCGGGCTTCCCTGTGCACAGTGGCCAAAGCTCCTTGTTCTTTGTTTATTAGGATGGTTGAGGACCGGCTTGCCTTAAAATAACTAACGTTTTGCTGGTGGGCTATTAGATTTGCTCCTACCACTGTGCTTTGAAAGGGAGTTTATCTGAAAGCAGCAATGGCCACGACCGCCCGCCCCCCGCCCCCCCCCCCGCCGTCCACCGATGTGTTTCAGAAGCACAGTCACAGAGCTACTCCCGAACAAATGTCAAATAAATGTAGACTGTGGTTGCCAGGAAGACAGCCTTGGAACGGTGCTCGTTCTGTGCCCACAGGGCAGCCCAGTGCATGCTTTGGCTGTGGGGTGAGCAGGACCCATGAAGGCTGCAAGGAATGACACGGGGGGAGGGCGCTCCAGGCCTCTGCAATTCTTCGGAGATTTCAGCTGCCCCCGGAGGATCCTCCTCCCAACAGCCAGATGCCTGACGTGGAATTAGCTCCAGAAATGGTTGCAATTCCCCTGATAGGGAGAGAAATTTTCTCTAGAGTGCTCGACTCACTCTAAAGGGGCCTCTTCAGCAATTCGTAAACCTACGCTCCTGAGGGGGAAAGAAACTGCAACTGCCATGGCAACGGTGATCTAGTGCTTGTTCCACAGAATGCGGACCTCACAGGGCCACCGCAAAGCAGCCCAGATTCTATTCATATGTTAGAAAGCAGGAAAGGAGGCAGGGAGAAGAGAGCAAAGGCAGGATAACAGCATCGTTTGTGTGGGCGAAATGCTCTCCACACTTTATACCAGATCGTCCCTGCCAGGGTCCTACTGCTCCATTTTACAGAGAAGAAAACTGAGGCACGGGAAGGCTAAGGGGTGTATCCAGTGTCCCCAGCAGGTAAGAGCTGGATTCAGACCCCAGGGCTGGCTGGCACAGCCACCCCGCAGACCTCTCTGTGCACCTGCACCTAAGTCGGCTCCACTCACTCCATGCCTTTGCCACCTCCAGTGGCTTCTGTCATGCCTAGAACAGAACCCCAATCCGGAGAAAACTGACCCACTGTGGTCCCTGGCTGCTTCTTTCCACCATCTCCCTGCCCAGCACCCGCTGCCTCTGGCCTTCCCTTCCAGAGTCTCCTCCTCGTTCACTTGACTCACCTCTCTGCTCAAATGTCATCTCCACGATGCGTGCCCGGACCACAATATCTAAACCAGCAGCTCCAGGAATTCTCTATCCCCTTTCTCAGCTTTGTTTTTTTCCTTTAGAGCTCTTATCTCTGCCCTGACATTAGACATCTATCAATTGTTTATGGTCTATCTCCCCACCAAAATATAAGTCCCAGGTTGGTAGAGCTCTGCTTGTCTTATTTACTGATGGAGCTTTTTGCACACCTCTTTTGGAGATAGCATTTGTCATGTCCTGCGGCTGTGCAGGGTTGGGTGGCCGGGGGCTAGGGTATTTTCTCTCATTTACATACCTCCCTCCTCTGTCTGCCAGTAAACTCCTCGGAGCTAAGGCCCAGCTGCATGTAGCCCCAACTCCTGCTCCCGACTCCCAGCTTCGGAGCCAATGCCTCACCCTGATCCAGACTCACTGAAGGTTTTTGCTATTGTCTGAATTTGGGTGGGGCCCAGGGGCTGGAAGACCCCTCATTCAGCTTGGCCTTGGTGGAATCCTGGCCAGGCACAGGTCGTCTCCTCCTCATGCTTCCTCGCCTTGGCAAATCCTTGAGATTTCCCCGTCTCCCACCTTATGTAATTTTTCAGTAGACACTTCTTCGAAACACTGCAGCCTCTCCTGGTCTAAACTGGTCCAGAACAGTGTTTTCCCTCATTTAAGAACATCAAGGTGGTGGTGAGAATGGGCCGGCCCCCGAGGACTGGGGCATCCAGGACTGAACTCCAGAGTGCCCTGTCCCACCCTGAGCATACCAGAGAAGGGGAAGGCACACGACTGTGCAGGCCGCAGGTTGGACAGTGCTTAGAAAGCAAATCCAAAGGGAATGAGAGAACAGAAGAAGAGAAAGGAAATGGTCCCTCAAGGCTGGGGATCTTGACAACAGCCATTCCCAGGCAGCTGCAACCTCAGAGAGGGACCCTTCTGAGGGGAGGCGCTTGCAGCTGGGCCACCGGAGACCACGTCCAGGTGAAGGCACTGGGTATTCCTCACTCCACCGGGCTCTCAGATCCAAATTACTCAAATGAGAAAATGCCAGCAAGGGCTCCACTGCTAAGAAAAATAAAGGAACAGAATTTTCCTACCTGTTAAGAACTTGGTTTTCTTTTTTTTTTTTTTAAACAGAGTCTTACCCTGTTGCCCAGGCTGGAGTGCAATGGTGCGATCTCAGGCCACTGCAGCCTCTGCCTCCCAGGTTCAAGCAATTCTCCTGCCTCAGCCTCCCATGTAGCTGTGATTATAGGCGCGCACCACCATGTCCAGCTAATTTTTGTATTTTTAGTAGAGGCAGGGTTTCACCATGTTGGCCAGGCTGGTCTCGAACTCCTGACCTCAGGTGGTCCACCCACCTTGGCCTCCCAAAGTGCTGGGATTACAGGCGTGAGCCACTGTGCCCAATAAAGAATTCAGTTTTCTATAATCCTGCAATCTGCGAAATATTATCTTACACACGCTTGGGGAGGGGTGCTTTGGGTCTGTTTGCTTGTGTTTTCAGAAAGCAATAGAAGAAGCGGGCTGGCAGGAGCCCTGTGCTCTCCCTGCAAGAAAGGGTCAGAGACCCCCTCTGACCTGAGCAAACACCTGGTGTTTCAGACAGGTAGGAGTGAGAGGGCCTCCAGCAGGCGGCTTCCTGCTCATGGGAGCAGGTGGTCCTTAAGAAATTAATCGGAGGCCAAGCGTGGTGGCTCACGCCTGTAATCCCAGCACTTTGAGAGGCTGAGACGCGCAGATCACGAGGTCGGGAGTTGAAGACCAGCCTGGCCAACATGGTGAAAACCCATCTCTACTAAAAACACAAAAATTAGCTGGTCATGGTGGCATGTGCCTGTAATCCCAGCTACTCCAGAGGATGAGGCAGGAGAATTGCTTGAACCGGGACCTGGGACGTGGAGGTTGCAGTGAGCTGAGATCTTGCCGCTCTACTCCAGCCTGGGCTACAGAGCCAGACTGTCTCGAAAAAAATAAAAGAAAAAGAAAAAAGAAAGAAATTAATCGGATAAAGCGTGGCCACAGTTTCTTTCACTAAAATAAATACAAACTCTTGCACCTAAAACTAGCATTCATTCAGTCCATTTCTAAAGGAATGTGACAGGCACTGCACAAGTCACTCAAAATAAACAGGACGCAGCCCTCTGTACACAGCTTGCTACTGAGTGGGAATGACAGGACCTATGGATCTACGCTGTTAGGGACGATGGAGCTCAGGTCTGAGGACAGTTAGGATTCCAAGTCCTATTTCTGGAAATGACATCATCAGTTTGCAGTTTCTTGCACTTTTGATGGCTGACTCAATTTGGAGTCAGGCCTGAGCAGAGGGGTCATTTGGCTTCTTGGATCAGCCTTGACCCTCACTTATAATCTGCAGCTGCTCACACGGTCACCTTGGGAAGCTCCCGGAGGCGAGGGATGCTAAAAAGAGACTCAGACGCCCACCACTCTCCCAGGGCCGGCCTGAGAGGTCCACACAGAAAGGCCCCTGCCTTTTGGGTTGGCTTCTCACAGGAGGTCATTTCCCACCAAGGAACTTTCTGCGGCTGGAGGAAATGAGATTCTTACAGAAACACCAGCTGGCTGGCGAGCTGAAAGTGCCTGTGGGGGGCTAAGAATCAACCTCCAGGCTACTGTGGCCGAAGCATTCGGGCCCCCAGCTCGCCCCAGCCTGGCCTGCTTGGACCCTCCTCCAGTTCTCTAAGCATCGTTCCTCGGTCTTCCCACAAAAAACGCAGCCCTATAAACCACAACGAGCTCGAGAGGTGGGGTTCACTTGCACCAAAGGGCCCCAAAGCCCCACCTAGGGTGCCTGTCAGTCACACTCAGACACTGGCTCATAAGGAGTGGGCTGGCCCAGAGAACAGCCCAGGTCACTGGAAGGAAGTGTGAATTGAAAACCAGTCAGCGATCCAGAAATTGGAATGAGATAGAAGGTGGGAGATGAGTTGCAGGTGGGCCACGCTCCTCATGAAGAGAGTTAAGCATCTTTAGGCCTAGCTGCGCAAAGGGGATGGGGAGGGCTCCCACCTTAGAGACCATCCTGACACGCAAAGCACTCTGGCCCAGGTGGCCGTGCTGATGGCAAAACCTCGTGACCAAAACAAGGTTATCTTCCCAGCTGCGCTATCCCCAGCTCATGCCGAGAAGGTCACGTGCTACAGCAGAGCCCCGTAACTGCCTTTGGGGCACGTGGCCTCCGTGTGTGCATCTGGGGACCCAGCTCCAGTGGACATAGGCGACAAGAGAGTCACAGGCCCGTGGCTGGGGACAGAGGCCTCCTGGGGTTTGCAGGAGGCAGCACCTCTCCAGTTCAGAAAAGCCATTTTAGCCCAAGGGGGTGGGGGGTGCAGAGTTGGCTTTTCGTATTGTTTTTAATGTTAATGAAGTCAGAGGCAGACGAGCTTTGTACAGAAGGAGCAAGGTTGCACAAAGTCACTCGCTGATGGAACACTGGCCGTCCACTCAGCTCCAAGTGTGGGGCCTGCCTCTGCCAGAGAGGCCCCCAGGAGCCTCCCTCGGTCCTTGCCCTCAGCAAGTTTATTATAGAGTGGGCAGGACCAGCACTGTTGCAGCGCACAGGGTGGGAGCCTTGGGGACAGCCGCATGGCAGCCTCCCAGGAGGCCCCGGGCTGAGGGATTTGCAGCACGCTCCCATCCTCCCAGTTAATCCTCAGCTTTCGGGTTGCTCGTTGTCATCCTCATTTGATAAATGAAAAATCTGCGGCTTGGGGAGGAGACACAGGTTGTCCAGGGTCACACAGCAGGCACCACCGAGGCGTGCTGGGGGTCTCAGGGACCCGGGGAGGAGCTCCTGGGTCTGCTCCAGGGATCCAGGGATTCAAGGAAGATGTGACCGTGTAGATGACACCGTAACAAATCTTAAAGAATAAGGTGACCAAGGGGAGGAGAAATGGAGGGACATTCTTCTCCAATGAGACAATGTGCAAAGTCAGGAAAGTGACACCAGAGAATCTGGTGCCTTCAGGAGTGGGGACAAAGGCTACAGGGACCAGACAACAGAGGCAGGCGTGCCACCCACCCAGGGGTCCTGAAAAAGCCTGGGCATGCCACCCTGGGGGCTCCACAGGAAGCCTGGGCAGGCCACCCTGTGGGGGACCATGGGAAGTCCAGGCAGACCACCCCAGAGGCCATGAGAAGCCCACATGTGCCACCCTGGGAGGCCATGGGAAGCCCACATGTGCCACCCTGGGAGGCTAGTCTCTAATGAGGCCAAGCAGGGACATGACAGGGACGGATAAGCAGGAGAGAAAGATCCCTGGGGAAGTGCACGAGGAAAGGACGGAGGGGGAAGGGGAAGCTGGAGACCTGGAGGCCACCAAAATGCACCGAGAGAAGGCAAGGTGGCCCTGACCCATCTGCTTCCCACAGAGGCACTTGCTGTCCACTAGCGGGGGTCAGGGCAACCAGCAAGCACCCCCTCGTGAAGCGCCACGACTCGACATCGCAACCGCAAAATGATAAGTACTTGCTCAGCCCCAGAAGGCCACGGCACCACTTTGCGTCTACAAGGATCTGTTCTTTCCTATCCAGCCACTTCTGAGAAAGTGGGAGGGTACTGCTTTGTCCTGGCTAATTTTCTGTCACTTTCACTCCCCCTTTCTCTGAGTTTATGGCAAAAATAACCTCACCGCTCAAATTTTTTGGAAATAAAAAATTTTTAAAAAGCCTAGAATCCCACCACTCTAAACACTTCATATCCCAAATCATTTCAACTCTGCTGGATTTCACAAAGCCTGATGCTGGCGTGCAAGCTCAGTGGGGCGGGGCGGCTCTGTGCGCGGGTGGATGGCCAGGCCTGCAGGTGGCATGCACTCAACAAGTGGGCCGTGGGTGCACATGGACAGGCGGCCAGCGTGCAAATGCCCCTGCCGTCTCTGCAGTCACCAGACGTGGCAGAAGCCTCTCCCTCGGCCTCTGTCCCCTCGTCATAGTCACCGTCCTCAATGCTCCCCTCTGTAAGCATGCCAGTTTCCTTTCCCAACCTGGGGAAATCTAGGTCACTTCTTTCTTACTTTTTTCATTTTAATTTTCTATTATAAATGATGCCTCCTTTCTGGGCTGATGAGAAACCCAGAATACCTACAGGAAAAGTGGCACAGTTTTGATTACTTACATGAGGAAAGTTAAAAGACAAGCCACAGACTTGGAGAAAATAGTTGCAAAATACATAACAGCCAATGGGTTACTATCCTTTACATAGACGGCGCTTGTAAAAATCAATAAGAAGAAGATGTTAAAATGGAAAAAAGGGCAAAGAATATGAATTCACTGGCAAGACACAAGCAGGTAGTAGACACAAGCAACATCTTGTCTCGCTTATAAACACAGAAATGAAAATCAAAACAAGATCCTTCCCTCCCTACACTGGAAAAAATAAACAAGACTAAGTCTCTCTTACTTTGTTGAAAGTGTGGTGAAAGGATCCTCTCGTGTTATGATGATGGGAGTATAATAAATTGGTATAACCAATTCAGAGGGCAATTTGGCAAAATAATGTAAATATGCTTTTACTAGCACACAAAGGTGTAAAAAACACACTTTTGGCCAGGCGCAGTGGCTCACGCTTGTAATCCCAGCACTTTGGGAGGCCCAGGCAGGAGGATCACCTGAGGTCAAGAGTTCAAGACCAGCCTGACCAACATGGTGAAACCCCGTCCCTACTAAAAATACATAAATTAACTGGGCATGGTGGCAGATGCCTGTAATCCCAGCTACTCGGGGAGGCTGAGCCAGGAGAATCACTTGAACCCAGGAAGTGAAGGTTGCAGTGAGCCGAGATGGCCCCATTGCACTCAAGCCTGAGCAACAGAGCGAGACTCCATCTCAAAAACAAAAAAACACTTTTACCCATAAATCTTACTTCCAAAAATCAATTCTGAAGAATAGCAACACAACCAACAAAGGATATGGATATGGGTGTTCGTTCACACTGTTTACAACAACAACATATTGGGAAAATCCAAACGCCCATCACACGAGGAGCTGGCCAGGAGTCGGAAGCACACAGGCATCAGGGGCCTGCTGGTCCATGGTGAGAAGGGGTGGGTCTCCATTTTCTTTTTGTTTTTGTTTTTGTTTTTTTTTTTGAGGTGGAATTTCACTCTTGTCGCCCAGGCTGGAGTGCAATGGCACGATCTCGGCTCACTGCAACCTCCACCTCCCAGGTTCAAGTGATTCTCCTACCTCAGCCTCCCGAGTAGCTGGGACTACAGGGACGCGCCACCACGCCCAGCTAATTTTTGTATTTTTAGTAGAGATGTAGTTTCGCCATGTTGGCCAGGATGGTCTCAATCTCTTGACCTTGTGATCTGCCCTCCTCGGCCTCCCAAAGTGCTGGGATTACAGGCATGAGCCACTGTGCCCGGCCTCCATTTTCTCTACTAGAAGAGGGACTTTGCCTTTTCTACCACATTGTTTGAAATATTTACAACTAGTAATAATTTTGCAATTACCAAGACCATAAAAAGAAACAGGTGGAGGGTATATAAATCAAATACTACTACAACAGACACGGAAGTGAGATCTTTGTGCCAGTGTCTTCTCCTTTTGCACAAAAGTCAAGGGCAGACCATCTGCCCGTCTATTTATTGATCCCATCTTGTCGGTCTCCCCCAGAGAATGCCAGCCTCTTCAGGTCAAAGGGCACCCCCTTTCTCTGATTCTTGGTGCATCCCGCCCAGTGGTTATCCTGAAGAGCTCGTCGTGGCAGGTTCATTATACACGTACAAGACAGGCTGATTCCTCTTGGTGTTCAATGGTGCACCTTTCGGAAGGTAAAGTGCCTTACCTCTGCCTGTCTGATTTATTTTAACTCTCTCCCATAAGGTTTCCAGGGTCCAGAGGGCTCCAATTCCGTTTCACAAGCCCTGCCCAGTGCCTGGTCTACAGCAAGCAGGCGCTGAATACATTTTGCTTGTTTGATGAACTGATTTTTCCCCAACCCCCTGCACCACCCCCAGCTCGGAAGAGGTGGTGGAGGAAGTGACTGGAGTCTTTTCAGAATAGTCACGAGAAATGCTGGTTAGACCCAAGAGAGAACAGGCAGATGATGCCCACGGGCAATGGTTCAGTAGCTGCCACTGACCATGGCTCTGACCCGCCAGGCCAGGACGGCTAGAGCACATGCTGGGAGCTGCTGGCCGTGGCAGGACACGCTGCCTGGACACCTTCTTTTGCCTTTGGGAACCCCCTTTAGACTTTCCCGGGGTGCTCGGACTTTCCTTCCCAGTATTCCAATCTCGTGGGAAGGTGATCACTCTTCAAGGATAGGCCAGACCCTTCTCTTCTCCTCATGTGCCTTCGCTTGTCCCTTTCTTGCTGGAGACGGTGAGCTGGCCAGGGACCTGGGAACCAGCAACCAGCTCCTCACTCCGCAGTCTTGGCCCTTCTTCCGGACTCAGCTCCTCCAATCTTCAATTTGGCTCTGATGCCCTAATTTGAAACTCTCCTTTGGTGTGATCTTTTTGGGAATTAAAGAGGGAGCTCTGCATACAGGAATGAGCCTGTGTGCACCCTGGAAGGTACCAGAAGAAAGTGCAGTCTGGGCAGAGAGTGGAGGCAGAGGCTGGACCCACTCGGCTCTTGGGAGCGCGGGGGCTTGGTACCTCCAGAATCTCCTCCATCTCCAGCCTCCTTCCCTGTGACACACGGGCAGAATCTCACACTCTGTCTGAAGTTTCCAGACAGTTGGAAACGTCGCTCATGCATATATGAACTCAGTCACCACGTTCCCCAAAGACCCAAGGCCTGAGCTGAGGAGGCATTCGACCCCAGCCAGCGTCCCCAGCCTCGTCCCCCCAAGGGTCCCCAGCCTCATCCCCACCCAAGGTCCCCAGCCTCAACCCCACCCAGGGTCCCCAGCCTCGACCCCAGCCAGGGTCTCCAGCCTCGTCCCCACCCAGGGTCCCCAGCCTCGACCCCACCCAGGGTGGCCAGCCTCGACCCTACCCAGGGTCCCCAGCCTCATCCCCACCCAGGCTCCCCAGCCTCGACCCCACCCGGGGTCCCCAGCCTGGCCTGCGGCCTGCCTGGCAGAGGCAGGAGGTTCCCTTCGTTTTTATCTTGATTCTGAGGAACGAACATTGGCTGCATTCCCGACAGCCGGGCCAGGAGCAGGGATGTAGGTTTAGGATACCAGGAGACCCTGGGGCTGATGTGGGGGGCACAGAGCAGGCGCCACTTCTGGAACCTTCCCCACCAAGGCTGTTCAGGACCAACGAGCATGACTGCAGGCAGAGCCAGGGGAAGGAAGGCAGAGAATAGGCATAATGCCCACCTAGGAAATAGGCACAAATGAAGACCCCACAACCTCCAACTTGGATGCGGAGTCAACCATTCCTCACTACCTGCACTGGTGAGGTCTGTGTGTCCACCTGGCCAGCCCGGGATGCCCAATAGCTGGGGATGCGCTGTTTCTGGGGGAGTCTGTGAGGTGCCTCTGGCTGAGACCAGCGTTTGCAGTGGTGGACTGTGGCGAGCAGATGCCTCCCTGTGTGCATGGGATCATGCAACCCCTTGAAGGGCTGAAGAGAACAAGAAGGCAGAGGAAGGAGGAACTTGCCTCTTTCCTCCCACCTGCCTGCTTGGGCTGGGACACTGGCCTTCTCCTGCCCTGGGACTGGGTCCCCACCATCAGCTCCCGGGTGCTGCCCTCAGGCTTGCACTGGAGCCACACCACCAGCTTTCCCGGGGCTCCGGCTTGCAGGCGGTAGCTGGCAGGACTTCTCAGCCTCCGTCCTCATGTGAGCCAACTCCTCACTATTGGTCTGCTTCTCTGAAGGACCCCAACTCATGGGTCCACCTGACCGTGGTCCAAGTCCCATCACACTTTGCAAAGCTGACTGCAGCTGCTGCTCACTGGCCTCCCTGCCTGGCCCCTTCCATGCACCCTCCTCCAGCATCCAAGAGGATCCTGTGAAAACCCACGTCAGACCATGGCCCTCTGCACCGCCTCCTGCAAGGCATGCAGTGGAGGAAGAGTGACCTCAAGTCACTCGTGTGACCACGCGGGGTTGCCCCCGTCACCTCTCTGACCTCACAGCCCACTACGGTCCCCCACAGCCCACTCCCTCCCTCCGCTCTGGCCACGTGGCCTCCTGCATAAGGCTGCTTCTGTGCCAGAACGTCCTTCCCTCTGACACACACAGGCTCCTTGCTCCTAACACCTGTAAGATCCCTCCTCCTATGTGACCTTTTGCCTGGCCACTTTCTCTAAAATTCCAACTCCCTCACACTGCACATTCCCTCACACTGCACATTCTATATCCCCTTCCCCGCAGGATTTTTCTTTTTTAGAGATGGGGTCTCACTATGGATTTTTCTTCTTTGCCTTAATTTTTATCCAACACCCTACACATTCTATTTATTTATACCATCGTGTCTGTCTTCCCCAGAGAATGCCAGCTTCTTCAGGCCAGGGATCTCTGCTTATTCTGTTCACTACTGAATTCCCAGTGCCCAGAACAGCACCCAACACGCAGTAATGAGATTGTTGACGAATGGAAGACCGCACTGCTCCATGGGGATCTGGGAGAGGAAAGGGTTCCTCTCTAGGCAGCTGCTGAGGCCTCATCGATCCAGTATCTACACAGGGGTCCAGTCCAGCTCCTAAAAGTGCAAAGTAATTATAGATGCGATTATTCTCCTGAGCACAGAATCAGCCAGGCAGTGTGAGGGGCCAGCCTGCACTGGTGCTGGACGCACACAGAGTCTCAGAGCCACACCCTCCACCCTCCTGGGGAACTGCCCTGCAGAACCACCCCCCATGGGCGGGCACTCGTCCTTCTGGGGCTCTTGGAGGAAATGGTTACAGAAGACTAGGCCAGATGACAATAAGGGATGGAGAATAACTAAGTGCCAAGCCAATGAGCCATCTGCTGGTAAGAACTCCATGCCAGGCAGCACAGGCGGTCCCAACAGCACGATCTCTGGATTAGCCCAAATAGCATCGGAACATTTGACAACAAATTGAACTACTAGTAATAGTGCTCACTTCAATGAGCCGGGGACACAGTATCCCCATGGCGAGTCAGCTGGCCCGCTGTAACCACCCAGCTGGGTCTCCCCACCCCAAAGGCCTCCAGGCTGTCCCCTTCTCATCCTGTCACTTGAAAAGCACAACTCATGGTGCCAAAGCTCTGACACGGACTCCACTGGAGCTGTGGGCAGGGGGTGCCAAGGTACCGAGTTCCAAGCCGTTGTTATTTGAGAGCGTGCCCCCCGCCATGAGAGCAGGTGGGGGGACATAAAGTGACACAGGATGGACTGGCCAAAGGCTGAGGACGATCACTTACCTCACAGGATGATGCCACCCCCACGGACAGGCAAGGAGCTCTCACCTTCCCCAGGACCCCAGCTGCCACCAGAGCTCCAGATGGCCCTGGGGGTGTCTGTAAAGCCTGTGACCGTCCACCAGGTGGAGACCAGGCTGGCCAGGGGAGGGAGAGGAAGTGACCACTGGCCCTGGCACTGGCTGGCCGGCTCCAGCAGGCCCGAAGGGGAGGGAGGAGCCTGGGTGCACCAGACTCTCTCAATAAGCAGCACCCAGACACTTAACAGATGGAAAGCGGTGGCTTGGAACTCACTTCCAACGAAACAATAGCACATGCTCCGGCTGGCTTTGACACTTGCTTCCAAAGGCGACCTGCACCCAGGGCCAGGACCACGGCATCTGAGCCTCCTCCCCCAGCCGCCAACCCCATTCCCAATGGAGGAGCCCAGGAGAACTGGGGGCGGCCAAGGCAGCCCTTCCCTGCTCCGCAGATCCAGAGGATGCCCACAGCCCCCTTCCCCTCCCGCCTTTCCCACACTCCCTGTAGCAATTCACACAAGCGGGGAGGGGACGAAACTGCTGAATCCAGCAGATAGCTTGTGGCGGGGTAATCCTCGGTCCGGCCCCATACAGGACAGAAATAAAATCGCCATTTCAGCTCCGGGCGCAGCTGGAGGAGGCTGACGCCCCCTAGTTAGGGGAAGGCTGTGGGTGACCGAGAAGGAACTTTTCCCGTTTTCTATTCAAATGAAATGAGGGTGGCGGTCGCAGCAGGGAGAGAGGAGCGAGGGGAGTTTTCCCGGCGGGGCTGGGGGGTCCACAGCGGCGCGGCCACGCTCAGCCCAGCGCTGGCTTAGGAGGGACGGGCTGCGTGGGGAGGCGACGGCTCCGGGCCGAAGGGGTCGCTCAGGGCTCTGCACAGCTGTCCAGGGGGCATCGGGAGATAGGCAGCCGACCGGGGGCTGGAGTCAAGGGAAGAAGAAAGAGGGGGAAGGGAGGTGCAGGGAGTGAAGAGGAGGGGAGAGAGGAGAGACGGGGGAGGGAGGGGGGAGGGGGGAGGGGGAGGGGCGGGCGGGCGGCCGGGAGGAGGAGCGCGCGAGCCGGAGTCGGAGCCCGAGCCCGAGCGCGAGCCGAGCGGAGGAGACCCTGCGGCGCGCGGCGGCGGCTCCCGGGCGTCCCGGGCCCGGTGGCGGCGCGGCTGTGGTTGGCTGAGCGCCGCGGGCCGCCCCCCGCCCGCCCCCTCCCCTGCTCCCCTCCCCCGCCTCCCGCGGCGGCTGGCGTCGGGAAAGTACAGTAAAAAGTCCGAGTGCAGCCGCCGGGCGCAGGATGGGATCCGGCTCCTCCAGCTACCGGCCCAAGGCCATCTACCTGGACATCGATGGACGCATTCAGAAGGTAGCCCCTCCCCCACCCAGACACCCCCTCCTCCCCCCGGGTGACAGCGCCGGGGCCGGGCGCGGCGGGGCGGGACTGTCCGTGCGTCTGCCGGTCCAGGCTGCGGCCTCCGTGCGCTCCGCCAGCTCTGGTCGGGGGCGGGGGTCCCCACGCGCCGGCTCCCCGGGGAAAGGGGCGACTCGCCCTGGGGGGTGGGGGGTGGGGGGGCGGGCTAGTGTTTCCGTTTCACAGGCAGAGCTTTTCTTTTTGAAAATCTGATTAGGCTGAGTTTTTACATTCAAGGGCTGGCACATGAAGCCTTTAATTTCCGGTGGATCGGCCCGCCGGGCAGCCCCGGGGTCGTGGTCCGCGGAGGGGGCGAGCAGCCGCCGCTTCCTGTCGCGCGGGGGCAGGTGCGGGGGGCGCCGGCGGGGACACTGCTCCCCCGCAGGTGAGTAGCTCCGACTGCAGAGGGGGACTCGGGCCGCTGCACCTCCGGGGCCCCGCGGAGAGCCTGGGGGGCAGCGGGTCCGGCTCTCCCCTGCTGTGCGGAGATAGGAAGTCCCTCGAATGTCCAGCGTTCCTAGCGGACTTGAGTTACACGGGAGAGGGGTTCAGAATAGACCCCCTTTGTTCGTGGCCCCCTCTGACGGGCAGGGAGGGACAATGAGCGCGCCGGCTTGGAAGGGGCTCTCATGAGCTCCCCCTAAAGTCCCCAGGGAAAAGCCATTGTGAGGAAATCCCTCAAACCTCAGCTGGGCGTTTCAGGAAGCCCTTGCAGCTGCTTCTCACCTTTCTGCCCACGGAGTACTCCACTGAAGGAGGCCAGGGAGAGATGCCCCAGCCAGGCACAGAGCAGGTGCCGGCCAGGCTTGAGTCTTTCCTGTTCCCAGAGGTGCATTTGGCCAGTTTAATCAGTAGATTTAAGCCAACAAGCCTCCCTCACCCTGTGCCCGGCTTGATCCCCGTGAAATGGAAAGTACAGCCCTCTCCCACCGTAGCCCGCTTTGAGAGACTCAGATAACCGGGAGGAGGAAGCATCTTCAAGGACAGGTGGTCACCCCCTTATTTAATCAGTGCTGGGCAGCTGGGCAGCTGGGCAGCGGCAGACGCACAACTAGACCCAGGTCCCTGACTCCAGGACTAGGCGTCTGCAATTGCATGGGACTGTAACAGCCTCCTTTCTCCCCAAAGGAAGGAGTGGCCCTCCCTTGAATATGTCACTGCACCAGCATGCACACTCACACACACACACACATGCTCCAATGCTCACACATCCACTCACAAACACACACACGCACACACGTGCATACACACACGTGCACATGAGCACACAGACATGCACACCACATAGGCACATGCACACACACTTTTTCTGCCCGATAGATGAGAATGTATCAAAGACCTGCCTTTAAAAGCAAAAGTCTTTTTAAAGTGAGTTGTCACCAGATCAACAGTAGCAGGTCCGTCCTAAGAACTTCCTAAAGATGTCCCGGGAGCAGCTCTCTTGGAAGCAGGTGAAAAGTGGAGGAGAGCTTCAGGAGGGGTGGGAGGAGGACGCTGGGCATGGCAGGCCAGGCTGTTATTGTGGGCAGGGTAGCTTTTCACAGTGGACACGCTGAGGTTGGGGTGATCTCCAGAAAAGCAGCCTGCAGGTGGGCCCTGGGGAAGACATGGCATGTGGCACCTTTGCGGGGGAGAGGCGGATTGACTGCCAGCTCTACCACTTCCTGTACCACGAGCAAGCCCCTGGGCTCCCCAAGCTGGCATCCCCGTCCATAAAGAAGGGATAATAAAATCTGCTTTATAGACTGGAATGAGAAGGGAATGAGTGAATGTAAACACTGCCTGGAACACTGCAGAACACGATGAGCATTATTCTTCCCTCAGTTCCTTCCATAAACGTCCTTTTGTGGTGCAAACAGGGAGGCGCCAGACGGGTCTCCAACCCCCACCCCGCCCCCCATCTCCACGAGGTCTGTTGCTTGCTCCTGAGCTGCCCCCGCCCTCTGCCCCTTGCTGTGAACCCCGTTGGAAGCTCCTAGCTGGACTGTGAGTCCTGGTTGAAGCTGAATCGTTTGCCCAAGCCATGTGCCGGGCAAAGCATGATAACTTCTCGCTCACCTCCCAGGCTGCACACCCAGCAGTGCTGTCACGGATGGGTTGCACCGGGCTCAGCTGAGAGCACTTTCAGTGCCGCTGCCATCAGCCGCCATTCCTTCTCTTAAAGTACCAGGCACTGGGTAAATCCTGGAATTTCCAGCGTGAATCTGTCTCCCTGCCATCCGCCCCATCTCCTCTCCATCAAAGGTCATGGAAACAAACCCATGTTGCTTCCTAGGAGGGAGCCCTGGGGGTCACTGGGTGCAGGAGATAAGGGATGTGTTGCTTTCCGTCACTGTGTTCGTCGGCACCACCTGGCCATGAGTCCTGGCGATGGGCACACCCGCCCCTTCGTTATCTCTGCTCTTTGTCCCTCTGGTTACCTGACCCCTGGCCATCTCAGTTTCCCCCTGAGACCGCAGAGACGGGGAGGAAGGAGGGAACATTAGAAACTGGGGGTTCTGCCGAGTTCTGTGCTCCGGCAAAGCTCCAGGTTGACAATCTGAAGTTGTCTGAGGGAGGCCCCGGGCAGCAAGTGCCGGTGTCTCCTGGCTTGGCCTTACCTGTGCAGGTAACCCTGCAGACATGCCCAGTGATTCAGAGGAGCCGCTGCAGCCACTTGGCGCCAGGCCAATGCTTTATTTATATGAAGAAAACTCCAGACACGCACAGGTGTCACATCACCAGAGTGACACAGTGGGAGTCAGCAACAGGAATTTGGGGGATTGTCTTCCCTCCTCAGGAGCTTTTCCTTCAGAGGTTGTGCAGAGGAAGCTGGGCGTGTGAAGTGAGTCGGAGGTTGCCTCCTGAGCCCTACACGAAGGCAGGACTCTGTGCCCTGGAGTCCAACTGAGGCTCCGTTTTCAGTGCTCCCCTCTCATCTCGAGAACCTTGGGTCAGTTACTTCACTCTGTGCCCCTGTGCTGCTGTGCTAATAATTAAATGGGATAAGGCAGATTGCCTGGTCAATGAGCCCGCCGTGTTTATTGAGCATCTACTATGTGCTGAGTGCTGGGGTCCATGGGAAGCTGAGTGCTGGCGGAATGGGAAGGCAACTACAAATGATAAACAGCAGCAGACGTTGCAGGCTGGGTGGGCCAGCCCCGTGTGGGGCCTGATGAACAGGTTTTTTTCCCTGACGATCGGCTTTGCAGGCTTTGTGGGCTTTGTGGGGAAGGAGCCCTTTGTGCAGAACTGGTAGCCATGAGGATGGCCTGGTGAGAAGCTGCTGAAGGGCTGGGGACAGCCTCCACCCAGCCAGCAGCATCTGCACCGGCCTGTTCCCGTCATCTGTTCCTTGGCTTGCCAGGGTGCACAGATCAGGACTTGGCACTTCCCCAGCACCAGGTGAAGCCCTCCTGTCACCCCCAACCCCGTGTCTAGACCCTCAGGTGGGCTGTTAAAGAAGGGGAGAGGTGGAAGCCAGGTCCCCAAACCTAGGGTGCTGAGGTCCTTGCTTCAGAGAGACTGTGTCCTCTAGGAGCTGAAGCGCTTCGTCTTTCCCCAGAGGATTCGTTTTTTCCTTTCCTCAGCTGCCCCTACCCTGGGGGGCCCTGGCTGCAGCACCTGCTCCTTTCTCTTGCCTATGGAGAAAGGGTTTGCTCAGCTGAGCTGCCCATGGAGTGACAGGGACGACGCACTCAGCACTGGGGAGCTGGAGGGGGTCCCACCTGGTGGCACATCCAGGCTTGGGTTTGCCAATCTTCCGAATCGGGGAAGAGAGAGGCCTTTGGGACCCCTGGGCCAGGCTGTGGGCTCGGGTGTGGTGAGGAGCCACATCTGGGCAAGACTGAATGCTCCGGGGCCTCTGTGGTGCCACTGCCCTGACCTGGCGGCCCCCTCGGGACACTCGCACTGTGCGCGGCCTCCCTGGCGCCTCTGGGCTGTGGTGTTCTGGTCTTGGCCTTGCTCTGCAGCTGGAACCCAGGTCTGAACACATCGGTGGCCGCTTGAGTTTGCGGGGCTGTTTCTACTGTAAACCAGAGCAGTGAATGCGCACAGCCCAAAGGGAGGAGCCGCGCTAGAAAGTGTTCAAGCGTCCGCAGAAGTCGGCTCCCAGTTCTTAATAGTTTGCCACCCACCGTGGCTACGCCACACCTACGCTTGCCTCCACCCGACCTATGCCTGCCCCCTTCACATGCGGGAGCCCAGGGCTCCGTGCCCTGGGCAGCTGGTGGGGTCTGCCCAGGCCTTCTCGTGATGCTTCCACCCAGCCTGGTCCTGGCACCCAAGGCCAACCTCTGCGGGCCCCAGAGCTGTGCCTTTTTGGCTCAGGTCCTCCCCGCAGTGCTTGGAGTCCAGGCCTCTGCACCCTGCTGGGGTGGTCTGTGGTCCTGGCCCAAGGGAATGTCGCTCCCTGCTGCCTGGTTCTACTGATCTGTCCTGTTCAGGCCCCTCTGCCTTCATTTCTTGCTTTGGCACAAGCATGAGCTGCTGTTTCCCCCAGCTCCTCAGGGGAGAGGAGTGCACTGCCCCAACCTTGTCTGGTGTGGTTAGCATGGTGGGGCCTTAAGCCCTACCCGGCTCCTGCGTGCCTTTCCCCTCTCCTGCCCACGACATGGTCAAATGCAAACCTCCTTTCATTTTAGAAGGCATGGGCTGCTCAGCCCACACGCGCAGTGCCCTTTCCTGTGGCTGCAGGCATCTCTGCTCAATTGTGCAGGGCTGCGTCCCCCGGCCACACTGACTCCTCTCCAGGTTTCTCGGCTCCAGCACCACTGTCTGCGCCCTCCTTCCCAGGTGGACGGCGGCTCTCCTCGCCATCCTCTCCACTTCCAGCCTATCATCTGTCTGCCTGTTACATGTTTGTAACTTTTGACCTTTAAATTGGTATAAAAATGGTACTGTAAGTTCACTGAACCAAGAAAATCTGCTGAAGGAAGGGGGTCAGTCACACCCTTTTGGGGTTTCCAGTGTATGAATGGAGGGGGTGGCGGTGGTGGAGGGACAGGGAGCAATGAGAGTTGCCAGCCTTATTGCTGTCCTGACCCCTGGCTGGGGACGACTCCCCTGTCTCCACCTGAATTGAAGCTGGGCTGTGAAAAGTAGTAAGAACCCTCGGTTTTTGGTTCCTTTTTCAACCAGCAATCAGCCATGAAGTGCCTGACCACTTGAGAGCTACAGCAGGTGCTGTCTCGGAGAGGGCACAGGAAACTGGGCCCTTCCCAATTTTAGCCCAAGGGTGCCGAAAAGTCAGGGAGCTGCTGGCCTCCACACTCCTTCCCATTGGTGTGGTCCGAATTCCCCTTTAGCCAGACATTTCCAATGTCCAGAGGCCCAGGAGGGGACAGCTGGAAGCCAGAAGCCCACCTGACGCCATCAGGAATTTCCATGAATGACCTGGAAACCTCTCAGACTAAACCAATGCCGCCCAATCTGGGAATCCAGGAGGGCTGGTCCCATAGAGTGGTGGGGACATGGTGCTGAGACGGACAGCCTCGCCTCATCCGCCTTTCCCACTTGCCAGCCGGGAGGCCTGGGCAAAATCACTTTCTCCCCAGGGAAGTGGAGGCTCACTGTGCAGTCCACGCGGAGCAATGGGGTGAAGTTTCCAGAGCAGGGCAGGGCATGTGGGGAGGCTCAGGAATGCCACCCTTGCCCTCAGGCCTGGGCACAGCATAGCCCCCATGACGCTTCTCTCATCCTGGACCCATCAGCCCGGAAGACTCTGGAAGCAGCAGTGGCAGCACCTTCCTGTCACTTGTCTTGTCACTCCCCGAGTCCACTGTGAGCTAGAACCACAGGCTCCCATGAAGAAGGAGCCAGAACCACAGGCCCCATGAGCCCAGGTCCCACAGCCCGCACCTTCGTCTTCCAGCCAGCCTCTCCGGAGCTCAGTGTGGGTGGAGGGGCTGTCTGGCCTCAGAAATGGGCAAAAGACAGCTCTCGTTGTCAGCGAGGTAAATCTAGCGCAGAGGAAGGGCACACTGTCCCCGTCAGACGCCTCAGATGAACTGACATGCAAATGAGAGATGAAACGGGGACGAGCCGGGCAGCTGATCTCAGTGCAGCAACTGGGACACCTCGGGGCATAAGCCGGGCAGGGAGGCGGCAGGAACTGGGCCCCAGGGGGCCAAGACTTCCTGAGAGGCTGGGCCCGGTAGCCCAGTCCTGGGCTTGCTTCCCAGGGGGTGGTGGGCAACCCTGAACCCTCTCTCACCCAATCACCTGCTCCCCTGGGTGCAGGTGACCCAGCAAGCCGCACTCCTGGGAAATTTCAGAAGGTTTTGGGCAAGAAGGGCCCAGAGAGCCCCCAGAGACCAGACGGCACAGCCCGATAGCTGGGCCTGCCCCAGACAAAGCGTGTCTGCACTCCTTGGCTTTCTCCCCAGACAAACCCACCCTGAGCTCAGGATCCCTCCAGCTTCCAGGAGCAGGTGCGGGGCCTGCAGGGACGGCTCGCAGAGAAGGCAGTTTGCGAGTCAGTGCCTGGCTTGTGGAGGTTGAGACCAAGGCCAGTTGGGTGCTTGCATTTCCAGGGGTCCAAATATTTTTGAGAAGAAAATGTTCTAAGAAAGTGCACAGGGTGGTGGATGAAAGACCACGCTCTGGGTACCGTGTACACCGCTCGGGTGACAGTGCACCAGAATCTCAGAAATCACCACTAAAGAACTTACCCATGTAACCAAACACCACCCCTTCCCCAAACACTATTGGAATTAAAAAAAAAAAAAAAGATTAAAATGGTTAAAAATAGAAAGTGCACAAGCAAGGGTCCATCTGCAGGAGTTGGAGGAGCGCATGCCTGTATTCCTGGCACTGCGGGCACAGTCATGCCATGGGCACCAGGGACGCCCAGTGCACTCAGCCACCCAGGGGTGGCTCCCAACATTTTCAAGCTCAAAAAGAAATATTTTCACTTGAGGGTGCAACTTATTTGTCTTGAACCCATCCCTGACTGCCTGTCTCCCCCCTCACCCTGACCACATCTCCCCAAATCCCGAAGCTGGTCACGCAACGGGAGCATTGGCCCTGAACAGAAACCCGCAGTACCCCTGAAAACTCGGTCTAGAAACAACTAAAAGAAGAACCACAGCATTTTATTCCGTTTGCTTTAGATTCTCTGCCAATTTTTTTTTTTTTTTGAGATGGAGTCTCGCTCTGTCGCCCAGGCTAGAGTGCAGTGGCGTGATCTCGGCTCACTGCAACCTCCGCCTCCCAGGTTCAAGGAATTCTCCTGCCTCAGCCTCCGGAGTAGCTGGGACTACAGGCGCCTGCCACCAGGCCCGGCTAATTTTTTATTTTTAGTAGAGACGGGGTTTCAGCACCTTGACCAGGCTGGTCTCGAACTCCTGACCATGTGATCCGCCCGCCTCAGCCTCCCAAAGTGCTGGGATTATAGGCGTGAGCCACCACGCCCAGCCTTTTTTTTTTTTTTAATTTTAAATTGTGGTAAAATATATGAACAATAAACCCTCCCTCCCCATCCCCCTCCCCCAGCCCCTGACCCCCACTGTACATTCCGCTTTCTATCTCCATGAAACTGCTGAGTGCGGGGACCTCACAGAAGTGGAATCACACAGGATCGCCCTGCTGTGCCTGGCCTCCTTCACTCGGATCATGCCCTCAGGTGCATCCATGTTGTAGCACGTGTCCGAATTTCCTGCCTTTTTAAGGCCGAGCGGTATTCCATTGTGTGCGTGGACCACATTTTGTGTTTCCATTCAAAACGGATGAATCGATGAAACTGCCTGATATTTTTAAAGCCTCAGTCATTTTCATTCTTAGTTCTTCAGTTTGCAAAGGGCCGGCCTGTTGTGATGGGTTTATTGTTGCATCTTCTGAAAAACTTTGTGAGTTCCCGAAGGCCTCTCCACGTCTTGAGTCATGGCTGTGCTGCTTTGCGAAGCTGTGTGCATGTCTGTGGTGTAGCCTGTGTACAGCCTGTGATGCGTCGCAGCGGAAGGGTAGGGGGCTGCCCAGGGAAGACAGATGCGCCAGGTTCCGCTCCACGGAGCTCAGCTACCAGCCCTGGTGGAGAGCGCAGATGGGGCCGATTTGTCATTTGTCTGCGCTTGAGCCCAGCAGCTGTGTGGCCTCCCTGGGGCAAGTCATTCACCCTCTCTGTGCCTCAGTGTCTCTGTGAAGTGGGGGGAAGTTTTTGGAAGATTAAGTGGGCTAATACGCGTCAAATGCTAGAACACACTGGCACTTGGTAAATGCTATATAAGTGTTATCATTTTTGTTTGTTTATTATTTATTTATCCATGTCATGGATTTAAGGCAGTCTAATCTCAGTGCCTGGTGGAGACCCGGGCGCCACCCCCCCAGGTTGTCAAGTGGTCCCTGTGCCTCCCACTATCGTCCCCAGCACGGTGCCGTGTCCGGGCGTGCGTGAAGGGCCAGCTCACCTCACAGCTCTGCTTCCCAGGTTAGCTCCCATCCACCCTCCCCCTACCTGTTTCCTCACCGAAGGAAGGGGCAGAAAGATGCCCTCCATGCCCCTTCCGACTGTTGCAGAGGGATGGAGGACTATGGTACATACACACATATACACGCACACACCCACCACACACACACACCATGCACATGCACATCACACACACGCACACACCATGCACACACACCACACACGTACACACCATGCACATCACACACAAGCACACCACACACACCAAGCACACGCACATCATACACATGCACACACACCACACACACCACACACCACACACACGCACATCCCACACCATGCACACACACACCACGCACACGCACTGCACACACATGCACACACCATGCACACGCACATCACACACTTGTACACACCAGGCACATCACACACAAGAACGCACACCACACACAAGGACACACACCACACACACACACCAAGCACACACACACCACACACACGCACACACACGCACACACCCACCACACACCACACACATGCACATCACACACGTACACACCACACACAGCACACACAAAAACACACCACACACACCATGCACATGCACATCACACACATGCACACCACGCACACGCACATCACATGCACACGCCACGCGCCTCACACACAAGAACACACACCACACACACGCACACCACACACACGCACATATCACACACATGCACATCACATACATGCACACACCACACTTACACACATGCACATCACACACAAGAATGCACACCACATACACGCACATCACACACATGCACACACCACACATGCACATCACACACCTGCATATACATCACACACACATCACACACATCCACATGCACCACACCCACCACACACATGCACGCACCTACCACACATGCATATCACACACATGCACACACACCACACACAAGCACATCACAAACACCACACAGGCACATCACACACATACATACACACCGCGCACACATCACACACATGCACACACACCACACACGCACAGTATGAAGATGACAGAGAAGTCAGCAGAGCCCCTGGGGGTTTCAGGAGTTGAGTGGGGACGAGGCAGGTGGCCACACAGCTCGGAGGGAGGGCAGAAGGCACCCGTCTTCGCAGAGTCACAGTGGGGCTTGCCTCCTATACGTGCCGGAAGGGTGAAGCCCCTTATCTCATTGCCCGATGTGATGAGGTTTGAAGTGGTTGAGCTTGGAGGGTATGGGCTGAGCCCACAGCAGACAGGCCTGGCAGTGCCCCCCGTCTTCCCACCCTGCGGTCATGCAGCCCGACTCTTGGGGGCGGGGTGCCACCGTGATGTGCCGTCACTTGCAGCAGTATGTCCTCATGCCAGGCTGAGACCAGCACTGTGTGACCAGCCTGCCCCATGTCCCTCAGCGCTGTGTCACACTCCACACTGAGGCCCCACTGAAGCATGCCAGGCCCCATCCTATTTCTTCCAGGTAGTCGTCTGCCCAGCACCTCCCCTCCCAGGCCTTGCCCTAAAGCCCAGGCCTCTCAGCATCCAGGACTCTGGAATCTCCCAGGTGTTGATGGCTGAGGTCATCAGCTGGATGCCAGGACACCCAGGATGCTCCAGGTCCTTGCTGGGGTCTGGAGTTTGTGATTCAGCCTCAGTCCCTGTGGTGAGTCCACCATGTGTCCTCAGACAATGGATCAGAGAGCCCCCAGAGGACGGCCCGGGGCCGAGTCGGGTCCAGATGCCAAAGGGGCTTCTCGAGGCATCTCCAGCTCCCACCTGCCCCTCGGAGTGCCAGGCTTGGCTTCTGGAAGAGAAAGCTGGGGGTTTAGTGACTCCAGCCAACTGCTGTGAGCCCAAGGCATCAAACTAAAAATAGCGAGGCCAAGAGGGAGTCTTTGTGTTCGGCTCAGTGGGCAATGGTGCCTCACCTCGCAGCATGACACAGGGCTGATGACACGGGGCACGTTGGTCACAAAGTGCCAGTCTCAGCCTGGCACAGGGACGTGCCACCTGCAGGTGATGACACATCACAGTGGCAGCCGCTCCTGATGGTGCTGCTGCATTGAGTAGGAGCCCAGATCCAGGGAGACAGTTGCAGCAGATGAGGCAGGAGGCCAGCGAGGGGTTCTACCTGCTTTCCGGGCTGGCCTCTGCATGGACACAAAGCAGAAAGGGCATAAAGGTGACCCTGGCCACCAAAGCAGACCTGGAGCAAACTGGACCAGCGCAAGGCCCCGGTGCCAGCACTCAGAGACATTTCTTTTCTGGCAGGAAATTTGTGCTTCATTTTCTAATGAAATTCCAAGGCAATCAAAAGGCAAGGAAAGAGGAGGGAAAGGAAGGGAGGGAGGGAGGGGGTTCCATTCCCATCCGAATGGAAGCCCCCAAGGCTTCTGTAGCTCCCCCCATCACCAACTTCACTCACCACTCTTATCTGATGCCTCCTATTTGGGTACACACGGCCGGGTCGGCCTTGCGAGAGACTCAGTTTCCTCTCGACTTCCGCCCGCCTGCACTGTCACCACGTCCTGCCATTGACCTCTGTTCATCCACTCATGGTCACTGCTGTGAGTTGAATTGTGTCTCCCAAAAAAGTGGATTTCTGTGCTAACCTGTGAATGTCCCGTTAGTTGGAAATAGGGTATTTGCAGACATAATCACATCAAGATGAGGTCATACTGCATTGGGATGGGCCTCAAGCCCATATGCCCGCCATCCTTCTAAGGAGAGGGAAAGGCAGACACACATTTGTCCATGGAAATGAGAACGGAAGACGTAGAGACAGAATCAGGCCATGTAAAGACAGACTCAGAGACCAGAGTGATGCATGTACAAGCCAGGCTCTGCGGGCAGCCCCTAGAAGCTGGAAGAGGCAAGCCTCCTCCCTGGAGTCCTGGGAAGGAGCCAGCCCCGCCCATGCCTCGAGCTCAGGCTTCAGGCCTCCGGAGCCAAGAGAGATAAACCTCTGTGGTTTCATGTCACCCAGTTTGTGGTCTTTGTTATAGCAGCCCCAGGACACTCAGGGGGTTGCCTTGTCCACCCCCATCCTGGCCCTCTGAGGGACTGGTTGGCTCTTAGAAGACCGTTCAACCTGCCCTCTGGTCCTCCTCCCCCACCCAGAGACCCCTGGCTACACCCTGCCCAAGGGAGCTCACCAAAGCCCACAGGGTCCCTGTGATCTTGTCACCTGGGCTCCCACAGGCCAGCAGTGTTGGAACCTGGACATCTGGCTCCAGCCTTGGTGGCCACCCCCGACCTTGCTCTGCTCCTACAGCTCCCGGCCTTCCCTGCCCTGGCCGGCCCTTGCTGAATGTCCCCGCTCCTAGGAAGCCGGATGTGTCGCGTGCAGGTGCCTCTCTGCACTGTAATAACTCCTCACCAGGCACCCTTGGAGCCCAGGATCAAGTCACTCACCTTCCAACCCTGCCCCTGCCCAGAGACTGGCACGAGAACCAGTAACAGTTGTTGAATAATGAACAATGGATGCATGCAGCTCACCCGTGAGAGGGCGTTGCTCGGCTGGGCCAGGGATGAAGCTTCTCCCGCGTGGCTCCACCGTCTATCCCTCAAGCTCCTGATGCTCCCCTGGGCACCTCTGCGCCATGAGGCCCCGTTGAAGTCAGTTGGGGAGGCAGTGTGGACCGTGAGAAGGGAGTCCTAAGCACAGGAAACGCTGCCTTCCTGGGGCCCTAAAGAACAGGCTCACCTTCCCCAAGGGCCTTCAGGCCCTGACATCTAAAAAGATGTTCTTTATCAAAGGGGAAAGCAGCCCTGGGGTGGGGGCGTGGCCACCAGTGCAGTGGGCGTGGCCACAACCGAGAGGGCGTGGTCATTCGTGCAGTGGGCGTGGTCATCAAGAAAGGGCGTGGCTGCAGCCGGAAGGGCGTGGCTATCAGCTCCAGAAGGCCCTTCTTGCTGTCCTTGGACTTGGGTTCTCCTTGTCGACGAGGATCTCAGCTGGAGCTGCCAGGGGCAGGGCTGGCACCAAAGCACTTCTGAAGTCTCCCCGCCTCCCAAGTGTGAGGCTGTGGGGAAGGAGGGAGGGCAGCTGGCTTGTTTCTGGATGAGCCCATCTGACTCAGCAGCTGGGACCCAGCAGGAGCGCAGAGCAGGTCCTGAAGGTGCCGAGGCCCCACCCGCAGCTCCGTCTCAGCTTTGTGAGGGCTGCACTCCCCCGTGTGCATCCGGCGTCACAAAGGACCACAGGCCCGGCGGCCTCCACAGCAGACACCAAGGCCCTCGCGGTCTGAAGGCCGAATTCCCAGGTCAGGCTGCAGCAGGGCTGGTTCCTGAGGCCTCTCCTGGGCTGGCACCTCCTCCCCGTGTCCATGCAGGGCCGAGCCTCTGCATGTCTGTGTCCTCGGCGCCTCGTTTTACAAGGACATCTCATTTTAAAGGCCCGGTCTCCAAATAAGGTCATATCGTGAAGTGCTGGGGTCAGAACTACAGCATGAATTTTGACGGGACACAGTTCAGTCCATAGCACCCGCTTTGGGAAGTGGGAATGACCTCTCCCTTCCCCATCTTCTGGCCTTTGTAACCCTAATGTGGGAAAGCAGGAGGGATCCAGAACGACATTGGGTCACCAAAGAGAGCATCGCAGCCCAAAAGGTTGAAAGGCGGCACCAAGGTCCCGCGCCTGGTGACCGCCGACTCGCCCTCCCGGGCTCCAGGCTGTCCCCACTCCCCCCCGCCCCAACCCCAGCATGTTGAGGCGCCTGGTCCCAACTGCCCATTCACTCCCTGTACACAGACTGCTTCTTTGTCCTCCAGCCAGGGGTGAAGGGCCATGCTGGCGAAACAGCAAACAACCCCAACATGCTTTGCAGCCTGGCCAACCACATGACCAGTTTGAGGAGGTTGGCTGGAGATCACAATGAGGAAGTTGGATGAGGGGGTCCAACTTCTAGCAGCCCATAAGCCTATCCATTCAGACACCAAATCCATGGAAAACAGAGAGACAATATACTGATTTTCAAAAGGGAGACATACCCCAGCAAGTACAGACCAGGGAACAGGGTGCTGACGTGGCCACAGTTCTTAAACTACTCGACTTCATGGATGGGGCACAGTTTTTTTTAAAGGAGGATTTAGAATTCTATTTGGCAGGTGGCATGAAAAAGAGTTTTGAATAGAAACACACCCCTCCCTCCCAGTTGCCTGCCCAGTATGTTTGTTTTGTTCTCTTGAAACAAAGGAAGAGAGTGGTGAGGAGGGAGGGAAGATGAACCAGGAAGAATGAAAGCACTTGGCCTGCTTCTCAGATGGTCTTGGACTGTCTCCGCTCACAGGAGTTGCAGGTTTTTGGGTTTTATGCAAGTTCGGATCACAACAGGCCTCTTGCAAGAACCAGGCATTACCTTTATTCCAAAAGCCTTGCTGGGCCTTCTTGAAAGGACTGGCAGCCACCACTTCCCTAGAAACCCGTGGCAAGTTCCCTCCTCCCGACCCCCTGCTGTTTGGTCCAGGACCCCCTGCAGTCCTGACTGGGACCCACTTGGCCCTTCTCAAGGGACCCAGCACAGGACGTGTGTTTCTGCTTTGATGAACCGCCCTTTCCCCCCTGCAGTTCTAGTGGAATCTCCCCTCCCTTATCCCATTCCCACTTGGAAATGATGATGATGGAATGGGCGATGCCGGCTTACCAAGACATCCAAGCTCTCTGGGTCGAAGTTGGAGAGAGGGGTGCACAAAAAGGATTCCACTCCTGTCTGCCTTCCCCTGCCTCCCCGCTGGGGTGTCCCTTTCCCATGGTTTCCTCTAAATCTTTTCACCCATGTCCAGCCACACCATTCTCACATACTGCCTTGAAACTGGGCTCGAAGGGGCTGCGTGCTGAGAGAAGGTCCTCTCCCCCAGTGATCCTCCAGAGGGGCTGCCGCCTGGGTCCCCCGAGCACCTCCTACCCCACCCTCCCCATTCCTGCCATCCCCAGGGTCCAGGGAGCCCAGATTCCAGGGAAGGGTTGCATTAGCTCCCACTCGGAGTCCTGATGCAGCAGAGACAGACAGAGGCCCTGGGAGAAGTGAGCATGAATTATTAAGACAAGACAAGGGTGAGGCCCCAGAGAGGGGGTGGCGGAAGGGTCATGTTCATGCAGCGAGAGTTGCTTCGAGCTTGAACCGCGTATCCAGGAGTCAAGCAGATTGCAACTGGCGAGAGGCCTTCAGAAATGCCCCGTGAGAGTCCTGTGTGCAGAGCTCCATCTCAGCACACTTCCTGTTCTTTTGGTTCGTCGATTTTTGCATTTTCAGTCCCCTGTGATCCATTATTTATAACAGTGGAGATTGGCCTCAGACACTAGCAGTGAGGAAAACAAAAGCGAAGCTACGCAGAAAAATGACAAGAGTGATGAGCACAGCAGTCATGACAAATGAGCCCTGTGCGGAGGCCCGGGATCCGCGCAGATGCCGGCGCGGGGGAAATGGGCCCTGAAATCCCACCGTCAGGCCAGGCAGCTCTGAGCGTGACCTGGAGGGCTGTTCAGACGGTCTGGGTAGCCGTGTCCTGCGCATGAACATCCTCCGTCGGGAGAGGAATTCCCCACGGATTATCAGAGCTGCTCCCTCCACCCCCCGCCACGTCCCACGCGGGCCACATCAACTCCCTCTGCAGCCTCTGGCCAGCGGCTGAGCCCTCCGTGTCTCCCCTCGTTAATGCCTCCTTCACCATCCCCTCCTGAAGTTTCCCCCATTGCATACACGCGCTGAGGCCCACCCGGTATCAAGGACTCCCATTGCTTGCGAAAAAGATTCCACCCCTCTTAGAACAGAGACCAGGGCCGCTGTAGCAAATGGCCATAAATGCCACAGCTTAAAACAACAGAAACGGATTATCTCGCAGCTCTGGAGGATGGAGTCCAAAATCTGAATCGCTGGGCTGAAATCCAGGTGTGGGCAGGGCCGCGCTCCCTCTAGAGGCTCCCCCGGAGATTCCCTTCCTTGCCTCTTCCAGCTGCTGGTGGCTGCCAGCAGTTTGGGAATTGCGGCCGCATCACACCACCTTTCTGTTTGTTGTTGACATCCCCGCCTCCCCTGCCTGCGGGGTCTTAGATGTCTCTCTCCTTCCCACTGAGTTTCACTCCACATTTGAATTGGATTAACTCATGCCATGTTAGGCAAACGTGCCCCTCAAATCCTTCCACTTAACAGACATTTATTGAAGGTTCCTGTGTGCGGGGCCCAAGAGAAGGGACATTAAATTAGGAGATGAACCTTGGGAGGCCATGGCATGCTTCGGAGCCTCGGCGTCAAAATGACAACCCACACCCCACTTGGCGGTTCATCTGGGGCCCTGGAATCAGCAGACTGAGGCTGGAACCCAGCAATGGCACATGCTGGCTGTATGTTCTCGGGCCTCAGTTTCAACATCAGTGACATGGGGATAGAATCTGCCCAGCGGAGTTAAGTCACCGCATCCCGGAGAGCCGAGTGTCTCATAGAGGCTCCTGGTGTGGTCTCCATGCTGCTGCTCAGCACGGAATGAAGAGGTTCAGGAACTTGCCCACAGCCACGGATAATGAGGGACAGAGCTGGAATTGAGCCCGGGAACCTGCACACACAGCCCAGTGTGACCGTGCCTTCTAGAGAGAGGCCAGCCCTGGCACCAGGTGGGCATGCCAGCATCACCTTCAAGGTGTGCTTTAAGGATCCAAGATAATGTGGGTGCTTCAACAGATGCATGGCAATAAAAGGAAAGCACCATGTTTCACCTTCACACACACACACTTACACATTCACACACTCACATACTTACACACATTCTCATACACTCACACATATGCTTACACACATTCACAGGCTCACACATGCTTACACACACATTCACACGCACACACATTCACACGCACACATACACTTACACACATTCACACACATACACTTACATTCACACACATACACTTACATTCACACTCATACACATACATACATTCACACACATATTCACACATTCACACATACACATTCACACACATACACTTAGACACCACACTCACATTCACACACATTCACATACATTTACACACACATCCACACACACATTCACACACATTCACATTTACATTCACAAACATTCACACATACATTCACACGCACTTACAGTCACACATACACTTATACACAGTCACACAGACTTGCACATAGACTTACACACATACACTTACACACGCACTCACACCTTCACACACACAGGCAATCACACATTCACACTCACGTACACTTACCCACACATTCACACATACACACACCACATACACGCATACACTTACACATGCACTCACACACTATCACATTCACACACACATACACTTACAAACTATCATTCACACACATACACACATACACATGCATTCACACACATGCTCACACACTCACACATACACTTACACTCACAGTCACATACACCCACATTCACACACATACACTCACATTCACACGCACATACACTCTGACACACATATACATACATTCACTCACACATACATTCACACACACACGGATGCATTAGTTTTCAAGTCAGGATCCTAGCACAGCCCACACCCTGCATTTGCTTGGTGTCTCCTGAGGTCTCTAGTTATACTTCCCATCCCTTTTCTTGCCATGTATTTCCTGAACACATGTTATCTTTGATCCTTAAACCATGACTTAGAGATACAGATGTATGACAAGCTGAGAGATGATGTGAGACTGTTGTTAATTTTTTCTCCATGTACTAATTACATTGTGGTTATCTTAACCACAAAGGAAGCGTTCTACTCCAGAGAACCGCGTGGAAACAGTGCAGATGGACTAGCACGATACCTGAGAGGAGCTTTAGGATAACTCCGGTGCTGGGGAGGTTGGGGCCCAGTTCAAGCAGGAGGGGAGGCGTGGGGACAGGTGTTGAAGCTGTGGGTGTGCAGCGGAGGCTTCATGACGCTTTCCTCCTGCTCTTGTGTACGTCTGAGCATTTCCATAACAGGGAAGTGTTTTGTTTTGTTTTTTAAATAACATTTTAAATGCCTCTGGCACATGGGAATCCATGGTAATTTCTGTCGTTGTTGTATATTCTTTTTCAAATGCAAGGACCTGAAAAATATCTCCTAAACTGGAAAAGGAAATGAGGCTGAATACAGATTTTATTTTAGCAAATAGAGAAGCAGTGATTGTCTGGCGGTTAACTGTAATCCATTCTGAGTGTGACTTTACTGTTAAGTATTCTAAAAACAAGAGACCAAACAAAATGAACAATATGTCCAAATGTGTATATATATAATTTGTAACTAGAGGTAAATTGCAGATGAATTGCAGATGTACACAGACAGATGGATGGACAGATGATTGATATAGATTGATTGACAGATGATTCATAGATAACTTGCAATGTTTCTTCAGTGAACGCATATTTATTTCTTGGGTAATAAGAAAAAACAATAGAATGTGGAATTTGGGGCTTGGCCTCTTTTAGCTCATTTAAAAAAATATTAAACACTTGGAATTATCGAGCGCTGAAAAAGGCAATAGAAAATTCACCTTTTAACTCCCTCAAAGATAGAAATGTGTGAATCTGCTAGTGGGTTGCGTTTGGCTGGTCCTGCAGGCTGATTTGGTCTGTTCTCTCTCCCAGAGAGATCCCCAAGCCCGGCTGAGATGTGCCTGTTTGTCTTGAGGGCAGACAAAGCCTAGCAAAATCTTATGGAAGCTGATATAAAAGCTTAATAGCTTATAAAAGCTCTAAAAATGATTCACAGTCTAGGATAGAGAAAATAAAAGGAATTTGAATTGGTTTATTTTCCTTTAGAGGAGCCTAAATCAATATTTATTCTGAGTATGCAATCAGAAATATCAGTAATTTGAGAACAAGGCAAACAGAGCTGCACATCCCGTTATGGCCACGAGCCCACCTCGCCTTCGTTCAGACCACAGCTGAAGGTCTGACTTAGGTGCAGCACGCACCCCTGGAGCTGAGGGCCTGGAGCAGGGCCAGGCCGGGCTCTTCTCTCTCTTGTCTGTCCTCGTCTGTGGGGGAATGAAGATGACACAGCACTCAGGAGGTCCTTTTCAGGACCCAGAGTCACTGGGCTTTTAGGGCGTTTGGCTCTGGTTCTAGCCCGAGTGTGGTCTCAGTCCCCATTGGTGGTTGTGGTTGTGGCATGGGCATCATTAGTCACACAACATAAAACCACAGAACGCAGAATTTGCTCACCCTGGTTCACACAGGAGCAAGCTTGGGCACCAGCACCCCCTGAACGCATGCCAAAGGGCAGGTCCAGCTCAGTGCTGGGGTGTGGAGGAACCCACCTGGGGCCTGCCTGCAAAGACAGATGCCCTGCCGTGTTTAGAAAAAGAGAAAACTGGCCTAAACCACAGTGAGGTCAAATGGATCATTTAACCCGTCGAGTTTGGTTTCTTGTTCATCCGACGCGGTTGATCTTATTAACGCATATGTGTTTGTGTTGATGTGGCCTCCAGCTTCTGTCGCACTGTGGACACAGTTGGATGTGGCTGCTAATCAATGCGGGGCTCCGTAGGTCAGTGAGAGCAATCAGAGCCTGCTGTGCGGTGGCATCCCCGAGTTAAGACAGGCTTTTGTCCCATACTCTATTGAAACACCCAGAAATGCTGACATGTTGAAGTTAAGGCCATGTGCCTTGGTGCTACTTGCTTGCGAAACAGCCTTTGAAGGAAAAAGGAGGAGGAGGATCCATGAGTTTCAAGGGTCCCCTCCTGTAATCACGGCTGCCACTCAACGGAGTAAGTAATGTGTAGCGGGCCCTCTATCTGCATGACGAATCCTCCTAACATTCCTGTGGGCGAGGTAGGATTTGTCTCGCTTTGCAGCCGAAGAATCAGAGCCTCAGAAAAGTTAAGAAATCTTCCCTGGGTCAAGCTGGTAGGAGGAGGGACTGGAACTGAACTCACATCTCCACCTCCTCTCTTCCTACTCCTCTGCCTTTCTTGCACCTAGAGCAGTGTACAACATCAACAACTGACCAGGGCGATCCTAGAGGTAAGAGACAGCCGAATGGCACGGACCCAGCCAAGCCCAGGCCTGCCCAGGTGGAACAGAGCCAGCTAGGAGCATTCGGTAGCAGAGGTCAGTCCGCTGATTGACTGTTCTCACTTCCAGGCCCACAGCCTCCTCCACCCTGATGGTCTATGAGTCTAGTGCGGCCCTTTGCACAATTTTAGCAACTGAACCCTTTTCCTCACAGAATTGTGATACCGTCCTAACATATGAAGCATATATAAACAGTTGGGCAAATCATAATAGTTTCCATTATTTCATAAATTTGCATTTGTGGCACCAAGGAGAGAATTAATGGGAACAAGAGGGTTCTTGTGTGAGTTCCGCATTTGGATTTGGGGGTTCGAGGTGGCAGCTATAGGCTCACATTAGTGTCTGCATCACTTTGCTTCAGTTTGTCACGGTGGCCCCCCAAATCCAGAACCGCCCTCCTCGCTGTGTGAGGAGGGTCCTGCCTGCACCGCTTTGCAGACATGGGCCAGCCTGGATGCCTGGGCGACGCTGCCCTGCGACTCGCTGGCCTGCAGGACATCTGCAAAACATTCAGGTCTCACGGCAGTGGCCATGAACGGCCTCACAGACACTGAGTGGACCTGACCCCAAAGAGAATGCGTCGTCCTTGAACGTGTCGATATTTAGGTTATTACACAATGAGTGTGTTGCTTTGCAATTAGTGTCTGAAAGAGTTAGAGCAGATGTACATATAGAAACGAAGAAACGAAATCTGAATCCATGCTGACAGATTCCCCCTCCCCAAACCTTGCTCAAGGTAACACAGGCGACCAGGAGCAAGTCCCGGCCGGCCCCCTGCTAGCGTGGTCTGAGTGGCCCAAGCAGGACCCCTGCCCAGGCTCACTGGACTCTCCTGGAGCCCCCAGACACGACACCCTTCCTCATCACTGAAAATCCACTTCCACAGTGTAGGAGATGCATGGATCTGAGGGCCAGTAGGAAGTGCTGGAGCTTTAGGCTTTAGACATTCTTTTTTTTTTTTTTTTTGAGACAGGGTCTCCATTTGTGGCCCAGGCTGGGGTACAGTGGCGTGAGAAATTCTTTAACACTCTGCCGAGTCCTGGCCCTTGGGGAGTGAGGCCTGGCTATGAGGCTTCTTGTCAGAACTCCGTGTGACTCTCAGGATGGAAGAACAGGGTGGGGGCTGCTCCTCCCCTCCCTCCCTCCAGCCCCTGGCCTTTGTAAAACGGCTCCGCCTACGCGCCTGTAGCCAGTGCAGAACCAGGGAGGCCTCTCCCCTTCCCTTCCCAGGAGGGGCCCCGCCTTGTCCTCCATGCCGGATTCTGTTCGTCCTCCCCCAGGTCCTCTCTGCTGCCTCCCACTGCCCCATTTCCTCCAGGAACCTTCCTCTCTCCTACCACCAGCCTCTCTCCTACCCCCAGACACACACTCTTTACATGCCGATTTCTGTCCTCTGGTTAACTGGCGTTTAATTTTCTCAGCTGCTTGGCTTAATGCCAAAGAGTGTTCTTCCAAATAAAAATGGTAAAGACCTTTTTTCTCCCATGAGAATTTTATGTAAACGCAGTGCAGCATGCTCGTAGGCTGGTTCTGTTATCAATTTCTAAGCTCAGCTTCCAGAGCTAGAGAACTTTTTTATTGGTTATAAAAACCCTACATATTCAGTGCAGAAATTCTGAAAAATGCAGAACAGTATCAGGGAGAAAATAACTCATCCCCCACTACCCAGAGAAAACCGCTGTTAACACCGAAGTGCCACAGTTGCTGGCGTTCTCACACAGGTGTGCGTTTAGGAGTGTGTAAGTGCGTGTAAGTGTGTGTCTGGCTTTCTTTCACATAATTTTGTGTCCTGATCATTTTCACTCAGCATTACATCAGCAGCGGTTTCCAATATAGCATTAAATTGTCTTCAAAAACATGATTTTAATGCCTCTATAAAGTTCCATCATGGAGGCTCACTAAAATGTAATCACTTCATTGTTTATGAGATACTCAGCTTAATTCCATTTCTCTGCAGTGAATAATCCAGAGGAACACGCTCAGTGTGCATCTTTGCTTGCAGCAGGGCAGCGCAGGGCATTGGTTGGGGTATAAATCCGGGGGTGCAGTGGAGATTAGATTAGATCGTCCGTGGAAAGCACCAGAATGGTGCCTGGCACTTAATAAATGCTCTTATTAGTATGTTTATCTTCATTATGTCCCTAAGAGCCATTCCTGGAAATGAGACTGTGAGTCAAAGGGCACAAATACCGCCAACCTGCTTTCCGACAGCGCTGTGTGGATACACGGGCCCGAACGGCGCCAGCCTCACTGCCTCTGCGTTAGTGCCGCCACTTCATCTCAGATACTCTCCTGAAGATAAGAGGAGAGTCCCATGCAGCCATAAGAAAGACAACGGAGAGATCTGTGTACCCTCCACCCAGTCTCCCCTACTGGGACTGTCGTGCAAAATTATGGCCCAGTCTTACAACCAGGGTATTGACAGCGAGACAAGCCCCCATCTGATCCAGATTCTCCAGTTGTACTTGCTGATGTCGTTTAGATATTTGTCCCCGCCAAATCTCATGTTGAATTGGTATCCTCAGTGTTGGAGTGGGGCCTGGTGGGAGGTGACTGGATCGTGGGGTGGGTTTCTCACAAATGGTTTAGTGCCATCCCCTTGGTGCTATCCTTGAGATAGTGAATTCTTGCAAGATCTGGTTGTTTATGTGTGAAGGTAGAAGGCATCTCCTCTCTCTCCCTCACGGGTGTGCACGCCTCCCTTCATCATGTGATATGCCTGCTCCTGTTTCACCTTCCATCCTGAGTGAAAGCTCCCTGAGGCCTCCCCAGAAGCCCAGTGATGTCGGTGCCATGCTTATACAGCCTGCAGAACTGTGAGCCAATTAGAAATTGGCTTTATAAATGACCCAGTCTCAGATATTTCTTTATAGCAATGCAAGAACAGCCTCATGCACTTGTACTCACTTGAGCATGTGCACTTACTTCTGCACGATGTTCTTGCCTGTGTAGACTCTTACATCCACAACCACAGTCACAGTCTAGAACATTCCATCGCCGCAAGGCTGCCTCTTATAACCAACCACATCCCCTACCTGCACCCATTTCCAACACCCCATGCCTAACTCGATTTCCAGCACCCCGTCCTGGTGAACATGAATCTGTTCTCTATCTCTTCAATTCCGTCATTTCAAGAATATTATATAAATGGGATTACACAGTATGTAACCTCTTGAGACTGGCTTTTTCCAACTGGCATCATTCCCTTGAGATCCATCCAAGTGGTTGTGTGCACCTTTTCCTTGCTGAGCCGTGTTCCATGTTGTGGGCCGACCCCAGTTTAGCACTCGCCCATTGGAGGGTTGGAGGGCATCCGACTCATCTCTAGTGTGGGGCAGTGCGTCACCTTCTCACAATTGTCAACGGGATTGTCACTAGTATTTGCCTTCCATGTCTTGGAGGCCAATGTGGCTGCTCTTAGAAATCAGTCCTCCTTATTTTGGTTGGGGAGATTTCTGATGTCAGTTTGACGTTTATAATTAATAAGCATCATCATCAAGTTACAAGAGTAAATAAAAATATGAGGCAGGGTGAAATGTAAGATGCTCGAGAGGCTGAGATCAGTAGCTGTGTGAATACAGCAGGGCGGGCACCAGCAGTGAGCTCCACGGGGCCCAGCGTCCGGCCTCATTAACCAGCTGCCCTTGGGGAGGAGCAGAGCCCGCTCTTCCCTCCTGGGGAAGGGTAGTGTGATGGAAAGACAGGCTGCCCTTCTCTCCTGCAGGAGCTCAGCATCATGCTGTGTACATGCCTGGGCTCTCTTCTTCAGCCCTAGCCACTTAAAACCACTTGGAGGGAAAGATTGTAGAATAATTATAATGAGGAAAATTTCGCTCCAGATTCGTTACTCCAAGTTCAGAGAAGCTCTGTAAAAATTGTTGCTAAGGCAATTGAATAAAGAATGTCAGCCGATGTAAGCGATAACAGCAAGACAATGAACATAATTGCATGTTTTACAACAACCAACCTCAAAGCATGACTTCCCTGACATAGATATGTTTTTTAATGATTTTGAAAGGTAACACAGACATTTTCAGGGATTTGGAGAGGAAACTAATGCCATCCTGGTTTACCAGCTTTATGGGGTCATCTCTCCGGTGAAAAAGACTGCAGCCAGCCTTGCAGAGAGGGCGCTGTCTTAGGGAGGCACCTCCAACTGTCCCCGCGACCCAGCCCCTAAGTGCTTCACATCAACACTGTTCTTTTGTGACGGTGCTGCTGTCTTTCATTCGCCAGCCTGTCATGCTCAACTCAAACCTCAGTTGCCATCCAGTTATCTTTTTTTTTTTTCTTGAGATGGAGTCTTGCTCTGTTGCCCAGGCTGGAATGCAGTGGCACAATCTTGGCTCACCGCAGTCTCCACATCCCGGGTTCAAGTGATTCTCCTGCCTCGGCCTCCTGAGGAGCTGGGACTACAGGCACATGCCCCCACGCCCAGCTAATTTTTGTATTTTTAGTAGAGATGGGATTTCGCCACACTGGCCAGGCTGGGCTCAAACTCCTAACCTTGGGTGATCCACCCACCTCAGTCTCCCAAAGAGCTAGGATCACAGGCGTGAGCCACTGAGCCCAGCCTAGTTATCTTGTTTGTCCAGGAATTGGAGCATTTCTAGGTAGCACCACAAATGTCTGTGCAAGAAACCCACAATTTCCAGTGGTCATTGGCTTTGTGCCAATCCAAACTAGAGTCTGACAAACCCAGCAAGAAATATTCGCGGCAGCTGCAAGGAAGCTCCTCAAATAGAAATAGAAAAATGAACCAGGGTCTGCTCTTCCCTTCCGGGTGTGGAATCAACGGAAGCCGACTCAACACAGAGCCCTGGGGGCGTGAGGGGTTTGGCGGGATCTCTGCCGGCTGCAGATCTCTGCTCTGTTATTACCAGCCCTTCTGCCCAGCTCCTAATTGCTCTGAAGAGGGAATAATTTTCTCAGCAGCCATTGCCAGCCACATTTGGACTGAATAGATGCTGAAATGGCAAGGGTAAATGGGGCAGAGACAGTGAAAAGCCATTTTCTATCTGGAGCCCAAATAAAATCTTCCTCCCACACTCCTGCCTGGCTCCTCCGCAGCCTCAATGCCCTTCTGAGAGCTGCCTGCCCCAGTAGGAGGCCAGGCTGGGACCAAGGACACCCAGTTCTGGGTAACCATCTTCCCATGGCTCCTTGGACAACCACCTTAAAGAAGGGAAAGGCAAGAAGCAGAAGGAAAGCAGAGGCTGGACATTGGAATCAGCCTTTCTTTAAACTAAAAAAAAGTTTTCACATATGTGAATGCGTGTGTGAATTTGAAGTCGTATGTGGAAGGGGCCATATATCCGTCAATGCATGCTCCAAAAATCAGAACTGATGGACGGCAAACAGCATCGGATGTGCAGCCAGCATTCTTCCGGCGGCCACCTCCCGGGGGAAATAGGTGCAGCAGACAGGACCGTCTGTGGGACGGGGACAGGCAAGCATGACAGCAGGTACCACAGATCAGGGTGCACAGACAGGGCTGGGGGAGGCAGCGTGGCACGGCACCCACTTCCCCTCGGCGTGTCTGGGCTGAAGCCCAGTGGACTCCCGCTGATCAGAAGGATCCTCCACTAGAAGGATCTCACTGGACGAGTCCCCTCCAAACTGGAACATGCAGGTGCCTTGGGCTTCATGCTGCACCTTTCAGATAAAAACACACAGGTGAGCTGGGAGAGCTGGAGTCCCATGGACCCCAGAGATCCAGGTCACGAGGAGGGGATCGCGCTGCACCAGGACACATTCACCAAGGTGAGCCCTGGTTCCTCCCCACAGGCTGTGGGCAAGGAAGTGTCGATGCCAGGCTGGCTCAGTAGGTGGAAGAACCTTCCGGAATGCCTGCCCGCAGGCTGCTGCTGGCATCGAGTCTGTGTCCTATTTTCCATTCACTGCATGCATCCTCCAAGTATGATTTCCACTCGGAACCCTGAGCTGCCTCATCCCTCGCTCCGTCTCCCCTCCCTCCCGCCCAGCTCACACTGAAATCACGCCTCGCGTTCAGCGGCTGGAGTCCTGGTGGATTGCTGCTTCGGGGCTCTCAGAAATCCCTTTACTTGAGTCTTGGTTTTACAGGAAGACCATGAAGCACCCCCCAGGAGCTGGAGCTCCTCCTTCTGGACCCAGTGTCTCTTCTCAGCCTCACGACGAGGAGACCTGCTCATGGAGCTGCTGCGCCGGCCTGAGCTCTGATCCCTCCTCCGACCCAGCCTCACCCTGCAAGCAGCACCATGTGGGGCTCAGAATGGGGATCTTAAGGGACCCTTCCCACAACCTCCCGATAAGCCTTTCCACGGAGGGCCCAAGCGGAGACAGGAGAACACTGTATTTGATAAAATAGAGTCAAATCCAGGAAAATGCCTCTGGACCCGGAAAGGAAACGACTCACCCCCCACCCATGAGAGACCCTTCTGTCCTGTCCCTTAACCCAGAGGCCCTGGGCATGGGTTTCGCAGCCCCCTGGAGGCCAGACCCTCAAACTCCAGCCTTGTTTCTTCTAAGTGTGCCAGTCAAGATGCTTCTCACTGCAAGAAACAGACTCTTTCTCAAGCCAGTTCAAGAAGATCTGCGTTGCTGCAGAGGCCGATGGGTGTGGGGAGCAGGCTCAGTGAGAGACTGTCGTAAGGAGGCTGAGAGGTCTTCAGAAAAATCCCCAGGACCTGGGGTGCCAGGAGCCTGGGCGGGCCTGGGCTCTCGCAGCCTGCAGCCCCTCCCCTCCCTCTCACAGCCTCCGCTGCCCCCGGGCTCAGGGCCCCTGCCTGTGCCTTCTCCTGAGGCTTCTCCTTTTTACCTCTCAGGGTCCCAGTGTGGCCAGCCCGGCACTAAACCCATGCGACCCTGGCTCACTGACAGTCGCCACCAGCTCCACATCTCTCAGTAAAAGTTCCCCCAAAAGAGTGTGATTGGGAGCTAGCCAGCGGGGCTTAAGGCAGCCCCCTGCTCCAGTCCCCTTGGCCATGGAGACAGGGCAGGGTTAGCAGGAGGCAAGGCATGCGCAGGACAGCTGGCCGGCAGAGGTCCCGTGTGCTGTCATGGGTGCAGGGTGGACACTGTGACCCTGGGTCCCCCACTTGGAAGGGGTGATCTAGAGGGACTTTTGTCAGAAAGACCCCCACCCAGCCAATCTGACTGATGGGGCCATCACCTTGACAACAGGCTTGGTGGCAAAGCAAGAGGGTACAACCGACCAGAGCCCCGGGTCCCCTGTGCCCTCCTGCACTGCCTGACAGGGCTGGGCCATGGCCCGTACCAACCGTGAGCTGAGCCAGGAATCCAGTCAAACCGTGTGCCTGAGTGACACGTAGCTCTCTTCCTTCTCTGGATTCACTGCTGATCAACCCCAACAAGCAGCAGGACTGTCTTGCTGTGAACCCACCGCTTGCGGACCCCTCCCCAGGCCTCCATTCCCGCCTTTCTGAAGGTCAAGGCAGCGCCCTCCCCAAGAAACGGTGGGAACAGAGGAGCCAGGTGTTCGTTCTTCCCAGCTCCGGAAACGCTGCAGATTGCGCACTCGAGTTCCTGCTGACATAACAGTGGCTGCCAGACAAAATGTGGCGAAAAGTTTTTCTAGGTGCCTTTGTTCACTCAGAGACTTCCTAGAGACTTGTGTGAAAATCACAGGATTTGCAACCAGTGGGGACGTTGAGATTCGTGGCAACTGAAATGATACAAACTTGAACTTTGTGTCAAACCAGTAGTGTTTTGTGTAATTCTTTTCAAACCTGTCATTTCACTTACTGCTTCTCACAGCCCCAAGGGGCAGGTGGAGTTGATGCCATCAACCCTATTTACAGAATGGTAAACTGAGGCTCCCACTGGTTATGCGCTTGCCCACAGGGTTGAAAGAGAAGCCATGGACAAAAGGAGTCACTGGTTACCCAAAGGGCTTCCTGTTCTCAAATCCACTGCTCCTTCCATTACGTGGTGTCTAGAAGGAGGCTCTTTTGGATATAGACATTAAATAATCTGGGAGTCAGTGTATGCTGTGATCAAGCATGTGCGGTCCGCAGCCGATGGCCCAGGATGCAGTCCTGATGTACACTTCTGGCTGGGTGCGTGGGAGCCACACACATCTCTGTGTGCCTTGGTTTCCGTGTGTAAACATCTTAGACTAGTGCTTGCCTGTGGTTGGCACCTGGTAAGTGTCAGCCTTCTCTAATGTAGGCAGCTTGAGGGCTCCCAGACAGTGATGTTCCCGCTGACATTCCCAGGTCTCAGCTGATTATGAAGAGGCATCAATTTCCAGTGGGGGAGCCGCCCTCTGTCTCATCATTTGTTTCTCTCATCTTGCTTTAATATCACAGCACTGCCAGTCAAACCACACAAAAGGGTTTGTGATGACCTGCCGTGCATTCTCGTAAGCTCCAGCCCTGACTCGCCTGCAAGCCAGAAGCCAACATAAAACTTTCGTTTTTCCCTTAATCTTGCTGCCTCTGCATCTCATTTTCAAATTTCATTTTATCAACTTTTTTTGCACTATTTGTTTCTGGATAAAGGATTTGCAAAATTCTTCAGCATGTGGTCAGGAAGCCCTATGGCCTCCTGACGAGGCAGCCTAGGGGTCCTCCCGTGGTCTGAAGCTGCAGCCGGGCTGGCCTCCCACAGTCAGGAGCAGCATCAGGCTGGGTGCTTCTGACACCAGCGAAGAGCGCGGCTGTCCAAGCCCCCATCCCTAGGGCTCACGCCTCATGCCCAAACTCGCACCCACTTTGGCGCCGCTGGAGACTAATGAACAGCAAAAGCTGAAGTCATGACTCTCATCCAGATCTAAAATGACCGTGTGTCAAACATTTTTACTGAACTGATGAATCGAATGGGAACTGGTAAGAAGGTACGACCAGTTCAAAAGAGAAATCCAAGAACCCTAAATGTATAAGGAGTGAAGCAATGTTGAAATGGACTTACAAACGGATGCAGCTATATTCTCCAGTGGAGACAGCCAGTGCCAACTTTTGTGCTTATTCCAAATTTCCTGACAGCCTCCCCACCTTTTTTCCAACATAATCTCAAAGAGAGATTATTCTGGATGGCAGAATAAGGCTGGTCCCCCTAGGTGTGGCATCCTTGCTTGCATAGAGGTGGCAAGAGTGCCACCATACCAAACAGGCCTTTTTCAGTTTGTTTTGCTGGAAGACCTCAGAAGATATCAGAAGCAAAAGCCTCTGTTGTTTGCTATCCTAAGGTTAGGAAGCCAAGCATAAAAAGCTCTCCTCCAGATTTCACCGGCAGTACTTATAAATTTGATGAACCCCTCTCTTCTCAAGGCCCCCACGATATTCCAAAACCCTGGCCTGCCAGAGTAGAGCCTTTTTTCCCATCTTGGAGGCTGTGACCCTGAGAGCCCCTACCCTCCCCCAGGGGACTTTGTGGGCATGGACGTTGCACAGTCACCCTCGGCCCCTCAAGAGCGGTCACAGCCCAGCAAATGAGCGTCGTTCTCACGCACGTCTCTCAGGCTTAGGCTCGGTTGCATAAACCTTCCCCAATTTTATCCTGGCAAGGAGGAGGACAGATCCTTCCGGAACCTTTGCAGATATTGCCACCAAAAGTAAAGCCTTCATAAAAGTTTGCATTTGGGGAGGAAGGAGAGCAGATGGTGAAAATCAGATATCACTTAAGAATTACTCATTTCAGTTTACAAAAAATCTAGGTCGTTAAAGGTGACTGATAGCTTAAGAAGACAGGGAAAGGGCTTCATAACAGAGCCGGAAAGTCCAACAGTACAACGACACGCATGATGCCAAAAAGTAAAGCGTTCCTCACTCATTCCACTCAGTGCTCCGTAACTGATTCTCCACTGGCTCCTGGGCTGCAGCCTCATGAAGCCAGCTGTTCCTCAACTGAAAAGAGCCCTGGAAGCCCTGGGCAGCCCACTGGCAGGGTCTGAATATCATCTGAGCGAGGCCATCAGAAGCTGTCCCCAGGAGTCTGTGCTTGGGGGTCAGTCATCGGAGGTGCTTACTGCGGTCCTTTTCCATGGGGCTCGAAGCTTCTGCATTGAATCACGAGCTCTGGCCTCCAGCCTGGTGCAGAACCTTCCAGGGGGCATTGGAGTAAAAGCTTCTGTAGATGACAGCTACCCCTTTTTTGGTCCATTTTATAGCAGAGGAAATTTAGGTTCAAAGAAGTTGAGTTGAGAGTCCCAGGAGTAAGAAGCAGTCAAGGATCCCCCCAGGCCTCCGGGGCCGCCTGGGCTGCCTGGCCTCACGACCTGGCCCCATGCTCCTGAGATGGAGAAGCCCCAGGCCCATGAGCCTGTTGCCCTTGGCAAAGCCACTTCCCTTCTGAGTAAAGTCAGACGAGCCTGCCCAGTCCCAAGAGACTGCGATTCCGTAATCGCCCTCCCCTCGCCTTTTGAGGTCTTGCTGGTAGGTGCACCCCCTTCAAGCCAGCCCAAGGAGCCATGATTTGAGTCGGTCTTGCCAGATGTGTCTGGAGAGAATTTAACTCCAAGATCATCCCCCGTGCACTCTGAGGGGCTGGGACAGGATGTGGTGCCCTTTGTGCCCAGGAGGAGAAGCACCCAGTGGGGCGGGGTGGGGCGAGGACTTTATAAAGGCGTCATTTGCTGCGGCCACCCAGGTTGGAACACAGGGACCACAGGGCCCCCCGCCTTCTGCAGGACCACCCCGCTCATCTGAGGGAGACACTGTAGAAACACATCTTTGAGCAGTGGCTTCTAATCCAAGAAACCCAATAGAAGTCAAACGCAGATTCCTAGGGCCCAACCCGGACCCACTGCGTGGGAATCCCTCAGCCGGGGCCAGAAGCACGCTTTGAAGACACCAACCTCCTCAGCAAGCCTCTTGCAAACCACATCCTGCTTCTCCAGAAGCTGCAGATCCAGAATGTTCAAAGAAAGAGCCCTCCTTGCCTTCCTCTTCTTCCACCCCTGCCCTCTGCAGACTGGGGTTCTGTAGACCCCCAAAGTAAGTCCGCCACACCGGAAGGAAGTGAGTTACACAGGGGCCCACATGGGAACCGCTTTTTGTCCTGTCTTGGTGGGAAAATGGCCACGACCCCAGCCCAGGCTCTGCCACGCCACAACTCCACGGGCATAGCCTGGGAGGCCGCAGCGTGAACTGTGACTAGGGCTGAGGATGGTGCCATGGTAGAAGTGAGGGCCTGGCACCCGGCCAAGTGCAGGACTCCTCGGCAGTGGGGTTGGGAGAAGCAGCCTCTGCAGGCGAGGCCAGGAACCAGGACACAGGAGGAGAAGCACATCTCAGAGGAGGGAGCTCTGGGAGGAGCCAGCAGAGTCCTGCAAAGGAGGATGTGGGGGAAATGGGGTGAGGCCAAAGTGGGGGCTGCTGAAGGGGCTACTGCACCCGTGCGAGCAGGGCCAGGACCAAGCTGCATAGGCAGCCAGGGACACAGCCGATGCCACAGACGTCAGGAACCACGCAATGACACAGGCCACCTTTGACCGACCGTTACCCCTGGGGCAAATACCAGTGGGGATAACGGGCAAGGAGAGGTGCTGTTTACTGTCTTATTGTTGCCAGTTCAGCAGCCCACAGGAAATGGTGTTAGTCACAGAAAAAAAAAATCTGTTTTCTATATTTCACTGTTTCCAAGTAAAGAAAAAAGAAAACTAATCTTAGCTTAAAAAAAAAAAAAATGGTGCGCTGGGCACCGAAAAATAACCATCTTCCTAGGCCTGCGTTTCCCCCACACCGGGGACTTGTGCTGGAAAGAAAAGCTGCGTTGGCAGCCAGGAGCCGGGGAAACTGTCCAGGGAGGCATCCTCTGCGATGAAGGCGGGGCCTCGGCGTGGCCCGTTCCGCGCTCTGTCCAGCCCTGGAGAAGCCCCACCCTCACCGAGCTCGAAATACCCCCTCCCTGAGAGCCGAGACTCATGGCCGGGACCCCTTGGACAGAAGATGCGGATGCTAACCCGGCGCTTCCACCACAGCCCCGGCGGCACTGGGGAGCGAGCGCGGCCATCCCGCGCGTAGGTGGTGTTTCTCTGCAGGCGCCAGTTTCACCGCGGGCGCCCAGGATCCTCAACGGTTCTGTTGTGATGTGATTCCCCTCTTCGACTTCGTCATTCAGCCTCAGTCCCTCAGTCCCCAAATACCGAAAGGCAGTCTTTTTTTTTTTTTTTTGAGACGGAGTTTCACTCTTGTTGCCCAGGCTGGAGTGCAATGGTGCGATCTCGGTTCACTGCAACCTCCGTCTCCCTGGCTCAAGCGATTCTCCCGGCTCAGCCTCCCGAGTAGCTGGGATTACAGGCACCTGCCACCACGCCCGGCTAATTTTTTGTATTTTTAGTAGAGACGGGGTTTCACCATGTTGGCCAGGATGGTCTGGAACTCCTGATCTCAGGTGATCCACCCGCCTCTGCCTCCCAAAGTGCTGGGATTACAGGCGTGAGCCACCGCGCCCGGCCTTTTTTTCTTTTTTCTTTTGAAGTTAATGAACTTGAATTTTATTTTATTTACAGAATAGCCCCCATGAGATACTTGAAGACCCGGTGCCAAGCGACAGTGTTGACCCCAGGTGGTCAGTCCTGCCTGGCCCCTTCCGAGGGATGCGCCTTCACCATAACCATGTCACGGACAGGCGTGTGGGCAAGGGGGCATCGCTGTATTTTTCACAACTCTTTCCACTGAACACGACAATGACATTTTTCACCACCCGTATGCATCAACCAAATGAAAAGATGAGCCTGTGACATTCCCGTGCGTAGAGTTACAGCTTTTCTTTTCAAAACGAACCTTCAGTTTGGAGCCGAAGCGGAAGCACGTGGCGTCTGACGTCTCCAGGGAGACCCGCCGCCCTCGCTGCCGCCTCACCGCGCTTCTGTTTTGCAGGTAATCTTCAGCAAGTACTGCAACTCCAGCGACATCATGGACCTGTTCTGCATCGCCACCGGCCTGCCTCGGTGAGTGCGCGCTGCGGGCTCTGCCCGGTGACGCCACGCGGCCTCCTCGCCTTTTCGGGATGGCTGGGAGGGGCGGGAAGAGGCGCTGAAGGGCCCGAGGCACCGGCCTTCTACAAGGGGCTCTTCGAAATCAATCAATGCGCAGAATCCCGAGGGAGGCTCAGCCGCCCTCCGGGCCTCTCTGCCTCCACAGGTGATGGCTGTGTCCACAAGGAGGAAACCGTCGGGCTGAATTAAACAGAACCGCCCTCCTAAGAGTGTGGGTTTTTCTGCCGGGCGTGGTGTCTCACACCTGTAATCCCAACACTTTGAGAGGCCGAGGTGGGCAGATCACCTGAGGTCAGGAGTTCGAGACCAGCCTGGCCAACATGGTGAAATCTTGTCTCTACTAAAAATACAAAAATTAGCCGGGCGTGGTGGCGAGCACCTGTCATCCCAGCTGCTTGGGAGGCTGAGGCAGGAGAATGGCTTGAACCCTGGAGGCAGAGGTTGTAGTGAGCTGAGATCATGCCATTGCACTCCAGCCTGGGCAACAGAGCGAGACTCCGCCTCAAAATAAATAAATAAATAAAAAAGAGTGTGGGTTTTTTCCTCTCACTTCTTCATTCACTTTTGGAGAAAGCGGGGTGGTTGTGTGTGTTTGGTCCCCAGCCCCACATCACCCCATAGGTGCCTTTTCTACCCAGGGGGCTTGACCCAGATCAACACTGGGTGAAAGGCTGACTTCAGAAATGGGTTGAAAAGACCAGTGATCTGCCTTATCGAGTCCTCAGAGTCCCACAGGAGTTAATGTCCTAAATCAACAGTGTGTTCGAGCCAGTGAATTTTCTAATTATCAGCAAACTTTCCAAATGTAAAGGGTGAGCAGGAGTAGCTTTGGCTCAAGGATTAACTTTAAAGTTAGGACGGAGGTGGAGAAGGGCAATTGAAGTTTCTCACAGACAGGTGAGAAAAGGGAGATGAAAGTACACGTCTGAAAGTGCAGCAAATGGCAGTTTTAGCCGCAAAAATAGCCCATGGTCTGGGGCATCTTTGGGCACCATATATGAAGCAATGTGCCAATAAATAAATATATATACACAGTATTCCGTATAGCAGCCCTGGGATTTGAGTATCACCTCTATTTCACAGATTTTAACAATTTACAACTGAAGATCAGAGATTAACTTGGTCGAGGTAACACATCTTGCAAGAGGCCCCAAAACATGTGAGGTTGGAGGAAGACTCATCCTAAGCATTTAAAACTATTTTGTAGGAGAGACTTGCGCAGTTCAGACGGACTCCCAAAGGCACTGGAAGCGGAAAGACAAACTATGAGTTCGTCATCTGCTGATATAAATGTTAGTTCCTATTTTACCACAGTTTTTTAAAAAAAATCTCCCAACTCAATAAAGTAGACTTGCTCCAATTCCCATTTTAAAGTATTTCAGCATCTACACGCACTTAGGATTATACGCAGCTGTTTAATTTCATTTACAATCGGAGTCTCAATGCCCTGGGGACGGCCTCCCACCCTTCCCATCCCACCACACCTTGGTCAGGCTGGTCCTGGGACTGTCCTGGTTGTCTCAGGGCTCTGGCCCCATGTGTACATTCAAGTGTACATCCCAGAGCACACTATGGGCGAAAACACGGGCTTGGGTGTGTTTTCCAGGAACACGACCATCTCCCTGCTGACCACCGACGACGCCATGGTCTCCATCGACCCCACCATGCCCGCGAATTCAGAACGGTAAGAGGCTCCGGCCGCGCTCCTCGGGGTGTGCCTGGCACTTCTCTCCATGACATGGGAGGCTTTCTGTGATTTTGTAAATGTGCTACTGCAGAAAGGTGTGAATTGACAGCAGAGATGGAGAGCGAGGGTAGGAGCCAGTGTGAAGGAAGCTTGACTCGTCGTGTTCCCCTGCAGAGGAGCTGGGCACGTTCCAAGATAACAATTGCAGCCGTGGCTCTGCACCTGCTTCTCAACGGGAGGAGGCATTGTACAGAGGGGAAACTGAGGCCCAGGAGGGTGAGCCAAGAGCTGCAGAGCCAGGCCCCGGGATCCCCACATTAACCCCAGGAAGGACCTCGGGAGATTCCCTACAGAGCCCCTGGGGACATTTCGTGTTTACCCACTTAGGGCCGGTCTCTGTGTTCATAAAGTGATGCCTGTGGGAGATTCTAAGCACAGAAGGGCCAGGGACAAGGGAGGCCCAGGAAGTCAAGAGGAGAGGCCGGTGAAAGCCTCCGTGAATGTCTGTGAACTAGGTCAAGCCAGCGGTGTATGGCCCAGGAAGGACGCGGAGCAGGGGCCCTCAGGTCAGTGACCTGCCCCTGTTCCTGGTGACCTGGGGAGACCCCAGCAGCCTCCACTGCTCTTTGTGGTTGGGCAAAGTGGAACTTAGATTTCCTCATGAGGCGAGGGAGCAGGTGAGCTGGGGGCGGGGCGTGCGACCTCAGGACCCCTCTCTGGCGTCCTCTGTTCCTCCCAGAGTGGGGCTCACTGTGCCTCCAAGGGACTCAGTAGATGCGATGGTACACTTGTCAATCTGGTCATCAGGGTGTCCTGCCCAACTGACCCATGGCCAGCTCTGAGCCCACAGGAGAAAGTGCATGTCAGGCAGACCCTTGTGTCAGTGAGGTCCCAGTGGGCGTGGCCAGCACCGTCCCCCTCAGTGAGGCCCCCCAGTGGACGTGGCCAGTGCTGCCTCCCTCAGTGAGGTCTCAGTGGACATGGCCAGAGCCGTCCCCCTCAGTGAGCGCTCAGTAGACATGGCCAGTGCCGTCCTCAGCGAGGTCCCCGTGGGTGTGGCCAGCGCCATCCCCCTCAGCGAGGTCCTCGTGGGTGTGGCCAGCACCATCCCACTCAGCGAGGTCCCAGTGGACATGGCCAGCGCCGCCCCCCTCAGTGAGGCTTCAGTGGGCATGGCCAGTGCCGTCCCCCTCAGCGAGGTCCCAGTGGACGTGTCCAGAGCTGTCCTGGTCAGCCGTCCTCCCTGTCACCTTGAGGCCTCAGCCGAGCTCCTCTCATCTGGCTGTGCCCGTCAGTCTCCCCTCCTGCCCTAGCCAGGATGCCCGTCTCCTGCCCCACACAGTCTGGCTCTGACTCTTGGCTTCCAGACTCCCCGGAAGGTGCAGTGCTAATTGGCTCCCCAGAGACTCCAGTAAGCATCTTGTCAGCCTCAGCACCAGCTCCAGCCTGGGGGGTCTCGCTCAGAAGCAAAGTCACTGAGTGACCTGTCCTCCTGACACCCACAAGACTAAAATGATCTCTCAGAGGGGACCTCACAGAAACCAGCACCTTGTCCATGCCAGCTGGGTATCTGAGAGAAACTGCTTTGTTTTCCTGAAGTCATTTGAAACAGCGTGCAGAGACATTTAAACTCGGCGGGAAATAGGAGAAGCCCACCTTGACCCTTCTAATTCTCTGGCCCCAGGTGCCTTATTAACAAGAGACAGTATCAGACACACCAGACAAAAGCCCTCCTGAGCCCAAAGAGCCCAAATGTCTGGAAGCTCTCTGCTGAGATGCCAAAATGCATGCCTTTCTGATAAAGAGACAGAGACAGATGAGGTACCATGATATGGACATGGCAGTGGACGTGGACAGGGGAGCAGTGGAGATGGAGAAGATGGAGACACACGCAGTTGAGGATACAGGCGAAGAAGATGGAGACACACGCGGATGAGGATACAGGCGAAGAAGATGGAGACACACGCGGATGAGGATACAGGTGAAGAAGATGGAGACACACGCGGATGAGGATACAGGTGAAGAAGGTGGAGACAGACGCGGATGAGGATACAGATGGAGAAGATGGAGGTAGACGCGGGTGAGGATACAGGTGGAGAAGATGGAGGTAGACGCGGGTGAGGATACAGGTGGAGAAGATGGAGGTAGACGCGGATGAGGATACAGGTGGAGAAGATGGAGGTAGACGCGGATGAGGACACAGGTGGAGAAGATGGAGGTAGACGCGGATGAGGATACAGGTGGAGAAGATGGGGTTAGACGCGGATGAGGACACAGGTGGAGAAGAGGAAGTTAGACGCGGATGAGGATATAGATAGATGCATAGGGTGTGGATCTAACCGGGTACAGGTGATGCGGAAACGGATCTAGACAGCGATGTGGAAATGGATCTAGACAGCGATGTGGATGTGATCTAGATAATGTGGCTCTGGACGTAGAAAGAGCTTCAGATGCTCTATCTATGATCGTGGGTGTGGATATAGGCATAGACATGGTGAAGAGGAGAGAATAGACTCTCCTCTCTCATGACAAACTGATCGTGGCTGGGGGCGGCACGTGCTGAGATGTGGCTGTATTTGTCCCCCAGGCTGGTGCCTGCGCCTCCTGCACCCCCGTCTCCTTTGTGCCTTCTTCCATTCCCTCTGCCACTGTTAGGTCCAGGCCTCACTGAGCTCTGACCTCCCTGCCTCCAGCCTGCCTCTCCCACACGGCTGCCAGGTTCAACCTGGTAAGACACCTTCTTCTCCATGGTGGCCTCCCAATCTGGGCCCTGCCAACTTATGCCTCACCAACTTCTCCAACTTACCCCTGTACCCACGCCCGCACCATGCCCAGCCCACAGGATCCTGCCTTCCCAGCTCTGCAGAACCAGCTTCTGCTTATCCGCTAGGTGCCAGCCCAGCCACCTGCCTTAAGCACCATCCACAGTCACCCAGCCCATCACCATCACTAGCAAAGTCACCCAGACCCATCACCATCACCATCCAGAGTCACCCAGCCCTTCACTATCACCATCCAAAGTCACCAGCCCCATCACCATCACTATCCAGAGTCACCAGCCCCATCACCATCACCATTCAAAGTCACCCACCCCGATACCATCACCATCCAAAGTCACCCAGACCTATCACCATCATCATCCAGAGTCACCAGCCCCTTCACCATCACCATCCAAAGTCACCAGCCCCTTTACCATCACCATCCAGAGTCACCCAGTCCCATCGCCATCACCATCCAGATTCACCCAGACCCATCACCATCTCCATCTAAAGTCACCCAGACCCATCACCATCACTATCCAAAGTCACGCATCCTGTCACTATCACCATCCAAAGTCACCAAGCCCCTTCACCATCACCATCCAAAGTCACCCAGTCCTATCACCATCACCATCCTAAGTTACCAGCCTTTCACCATCACCATCAAAGTCACCAGCCCCATCATCGTCACCATCCTATCCAAAGTCATCCAGTACCACCACCATCCAAAATCACCCAGACACATCACCATCACCATCCAAAGCCACCTAGCCCATCACCATCACTATCCAAAGTCATCTAGCACCATCACCATCCAAAGTCACCCAGACACATCACCATCACCATCCAAAGTTACCAGCCCCATCACCATCATCATCCAGAGTCACCCAGATCCATCACCATCACCATCCAAAGTCACTCAGCCCATCACCATCACTATCCAAAGTCACCAGCCTCTTCACCATCACTATCACCAGGCCCTTCACCATCATCCGAAGTCACCCAGACCCATGACCATCACCATCCAAAGTCTTCCAGACCCATCATCATCACCATTTGAGGTCACCCAGACCCATCACCATCACCATCCAAAGTCACCCAGCCCATCACCATCACTATCCAAAGTGACCAGCCCCTTTACCATCACTATCCAAAGTCACCCAGACCCATCACCATCACCACCCAAAGTCACCCAGCCCCTTCACCATCTCCATCCAAAGTCACCCAACCTGTCACCATCAGCACATCACTGGCTTCCTCCCCTCAGTGTGCGCCTCAGTCTGAAGTGATCTCACTTACTTGTTTGAGGTTCTCACTGCTGCTGGCCCCGCTGGACGGTCTTCTCTCATAGGAAGGAAATTTCACCTTGCTCTCTGCTGGATTTCCAGCCCCTAAACGAGGCGGGGCATGCTGGGTGCAGGATGGAATGAGTTGGGGACGGAGTGAACCAGTCCAGCTCGTGCGTGCCTCCCCCTCTGCACTGCCCAGAGCAGTTTTTTCTTCTGGGGACGCAGGGCAACGTCTGGAGACATTTCTGGATGTCACCAGGGGTAAGGGCCTGCTACTTGTATCTGATGGGTGGAGACCCGGGATGCCAATGGCATCCTACAGCGCACAGGACAGGCCCACAACAATGACACACGTGGCCGGAGACATCAGCGGTGCTGAGGCGGAGCACCTGGTGTCTGAGGTCTCCCCTGTGCTCTGTCGCTGTCCTCTCACCCTCCCCCAATCTTCCAACCTAGTAGTTCTCAGACAACTGCGTCAGAATCCGCAGGGGGCTTGGTGGAGCACAGAGCTCCCCTCAGTCTCTGGTTTGTGACGGAGGTGGGCCCCGAGAATCTTTCTGCAGCAGAAAGCCAGGCTTTCTGCAGGTTCCCAGTGAGGAGGACGAGGCTGGCCCGGGACACGCCACTGATGCTCTTCTGACCCAGGGGCTTTTCTCTCCCGCTTCCGTCCCTCTTCCCTCGCCGGCAGGTGACGTTACTGGCCTTTTCTTTTTTGGCCCTGCCTCCCCCTTGGCTTCTCCCCTCTTCCTCTCCTCCACTCGGTGCCTGGTGACATGCGGCCATCCTCAGAGATGTGCTTCGGGGCCCGCACGCCTTGCTCCTCGCACTCTTCCTGCACCGGAGCCGCGGTGCGAGGCCTCGGGAATGCTCACCGTTTCTCTCCCGCCCCCCGGCCGCATGCTGCAGCCATTCCCTCACCACATGTCCAGGAGGGAGCCGGCATCCTTTGCTGACTTTCTTGCTGTGACTATGGTGCTGCGTGGAAAAGGGGCCGTGGGAAGGCTGGGCAGGTGGCTGCTCAGAGCCCCACCTGACACGGTGACCCACGGGGCCTGGAAATTCACTGCCCCGATTTCCACACAGGTGCCTGAGCTCCTGCAGAGAATGCCTGAGAGCGAGACGCATGCCCGTCAATTTGTGCTTTCAGGCGTCCTAAGCACACACGCCTGCTCTTATTTGAACCACTCCCTGTAAGCTAGTTCCACTAAAGAGTGGCTTTCCACCCTGGCTGCAGATTGCAACCACCCAGGAATCTTTTTTTTTTTTTTTTTGAGACGGAGTCTGGCTCTGTCGCCCAGGCTGGAGTGCAGTGGCGCGATCTCGGCTCACTGCAAGCTCTGCCTTCCGGGTTCACGCCATTCTCCTGCCTCAGCCTCCCGAGTAGCTGGGACTACAGGCGCCCGCCACCACGCCCAGCTAATTTTTTGTGTTTTTAGTAGAGACGGGATGTTAGCCAGGATGATCACGATCTCCTGACCTCGTGATCCACCTGCCTCGGCCCCCCAGAGTGCTGCGATTACAGGCGTGAGCCACCGCGTCCTACTTTTTTTTTTTTTTTTTTTTTGAGACAGAGTTTCACTCTTATTGCCCAGGCTGCAGTGCAATGGTGTGATCTCAGCTCACTGCAACCTCTGCCTCCCAGGTTCCAGGGATTCTCCTGCCTCAGCCTCCCAAGTAGCTGGGATCACAGGCATGCACGACCACACCTGGCTAATTTTGTATTTTTAGTAAAGATGGGGTTTCTCCATGTTGGTCAGGCTGGTCTCAAACTCCTGACCTCAGGTGATCCGCCCACCTCAGCCTCCCAAAGTGCTGAGATTACAGGCGTGAGCCACCATGCCCAGCCCACCCAGGAATCTTTTAAAAGGTACCAGTTGATGCCCAGACCCCTCAATTAAGTCCAGATTTTTAAGAGATTTTTTTTTTTTAAAGCTCTGCAAGTGATTCCAGCACACAGTCTGGGGACTAACCGCTGATATAAGGTCTGGAAAATCTAAGAAACCACTCTACCCCACCCTCTGGTGACCAGAAGCTTATGTCTACCAGACCCAGGGCCTTCCCTTGCTGAAACATGCTGGGTAAACTCTTTGTTTCTTCCTAGCAGACAGCAGCCCTCTCCCTCTAGCTCAGAAGCTACGTCAGCAGTTGGTTGGTTGGTTGGTTGGTGGGTTGGTTGGGTTGTGTCTCTCTTTAACTTCCTCCACTTCTGAAGTCACCTGCAGTGACTTGGTGTGGACTTGGTCACCTCACTGTCCCCCCAGCCTCAGGCCCAGGAACCATGTCTTTGGAGGAGGCTCTCCTGCTGGCAGCTGGTTGCATCTGGCATGCTTGGATTCCTGCAGGTGGCTGGTTGCACCTAGCTTGCTTGGATTCTTCCCAGATTCACAGCCATAGGGTGGGCGTTTCATGAAATCTCCAAATTCCAAGGGCTCTTGACAGACCACCTCCATCCTGATCAGAAGGGGTGATGCCGGTTGCACGGTCTCTTAGAGCTTAAAACTCTAGCTTCTTCTCTGCTCCTCATTCCAAACTAAACAAATTGTTGCATTGGATTATTCTTTCAAAATACTCCTTGCCTTAATGCCATCCTTTAGATTTTGGTGGCTGGCTCCTGTTGTGGACCGCATCTCACAGGTGGACTTCCTGGTTTCTGCCTCCTGTTACCCCTCACAGTTATCTCTCCCTTGAGTCCTGCTACCTTCCAGAAAAATAGGCTCCAAACACACTTTCATCCCATCACTCCCAGCATGGAGTTCTCCAGTGGCCTGTTGGCTACAGGACACTCTCCAGCCCCCCGCATTGGGATGTCTGGCCCCAATCCACCATAATGTACTTGTCTCCAATCTGCTGAGCTGCATGAATGCCCACCCCAGCCCAGCGGGCACTCCCCTTCTGCAAACCTCCAAGCACATTCCCCCTCTGCACACTGCCAATCTTCCTGTCCCCGCCCCAAATCCAAAGGCCCCTCCTATGGCTGGGGATCCACTGGCAGCTGCCTAACCCTTCCTATGCTCCTGGACGTTTGGTGCAATCTGGAGCACGCTCAAGCCGGCATTTGAAATAACCTGGAACACGTTTACATCATGGAAAATATGGAAAATAGGCTGATTGGCTTCCACTCCCTTTTAGAGCTGGCAAGAAAAATAATTGATGACTAAACAACCTAACGACCAACAAATATAAAAAGTCATAGCCCAACCATGATCAAATAAGGCTCCAGCATTCCTCCTTGGAGGGACTCTGAGCCATCTGGTGTCATTTTCCTTTCCAATCCGGGAACATTCTGGAGATCCTGACATCCAGCTAACATGGGCGTTGCTTCCTGACAACCCTACCCCTTCCATTCCCCAGTCACTACTGCTTCAAGATGCAGTGGAAGGAGATAAATCAGACACCTCAGTAGCGTGAGTGAAAGTGGGGTGTGTGGTGAGACACATACAGAGGGGAGAGGGCCAGAGGACGGCGCCGTGCGACACACACCATTGCTCCTTTTGTTCCCGGTTTCGGCCAAGTTGTGCCGCAGGTGACTCTCCACCGGCTGAGCTCTGTGCATGCAGGGCCAGTATTCTCGGCCATTCTGGCTTAGAGAAAAGCTTTCTATATTCCAGAATGGCTCCAGGCCTCCTCCTCCTCCTATTAAATGTGTTTTAAAAGAGGTCTTAGAGCCCAGGCAGTTAGATCTTAGAAAAAGACAAATACAGTAGAAGCTGGAGGCAAGCTTATCCTTTCCAAAGAGGGAGTGCTTCCTGTGTTAATTTGTTATTGAGCATGATGAAGATTCAGCTCCATTGAGACTGAGCCAAGAGTTGACTCATTCATGGGAGCAACATAACGGGTTGTGAGAAGCCAAAGGATTAAGCATCTGGGAGCCAAGACTGATCTTGAGTGGCCCAGAAATGCAACCCAAGGATCTTGGGCCCAAGGGCCAGGAAGGTTTCTGCAGCCTCCTGGAGCATTCACAGAGGCTCCCTGTCCGTCCACTTTTCCCTCTGTTGCTGATGTGATGGCTCCTGCCCTCAGCTTACCAGACTCCTCGGAGAGGCTGGCCTCTGAATTGGTTGAATGGGCTTGAAGGGGGCTGGACTCCATTTGGGTGGATGAGCAGGCCCAGTGCCCCTGTATGAGGGGAAGTTGTCTTGGTAAGCCTGTTTTTGTGTCAGGTCCCCAGGACACCTTCCTCTGAGTCTCTTGCGTGGGAGAAGTTGCTGGACACGCCTCTCTGGCTCTGTCCCCGCCGGCACTGTGTGGGATCCATGCTGTTCTCCCTCCAGCCCTTGCCCCACCTCCTGGAGCCCTTCTCTGCGCCTGGTCACTACCCGCCCCCCACCTCCAGCATTAATTTTCTAGGGACAAGGGGCAGGGGAAGGAGGAGAAGAAAGAGTCCTTGCTGCTCCTCAGAGAAGACACAGGAGAAGAAAGTCGGAGAGGAGTGGGGAGCCAGGGTGGCAAAGCCCCTTCCTGCTGCCCACGCAGGTCCTGGCTTTCTCTCCACCCACTGCACCATTTCCAGGGCTGCTCTCATGGTGGGAGCCGGAGAGACACTGAGAAGAGGAAGGAAGGAGGATCCAAGAGGAGCCCAGCACACCCGGCTTCTCTGCTGCCCACCCTCCACTCTGTCCTCCCAGCCCAGGCCCTTCCTAGGCAACCCTGGCACGGGTCCTCACTGGCCACACTGAGGCCATCAGCAAAGCACCTGGCCTCTTCACGCCTTGGGCTCTGGGTCTGTAAGGCAGTGAGGCTGAGGTTCCTGGGACAGCTGGGCACTGTGGACTTGCCCAGCTGAGCACAGGCATCAGGGGCTAGAGGGGCCCTAGTCCCGATGACGACCGAGTGCCCTCTCCACCTGGGGAGCTTGGAGGACTTTGCTCTGCACTTAGGGCCACGCTTCAAGCCCAGTGCCTCTTATGACCAAGTCTCTGGGGAGAAATGAGCCCTCCAGTGCCAAATGACCCACCACTAAAAGGCCTTTTGAGGCAGGGCCTCTCCTGAGCCCACGCAGGCACGTGGTGGGAGATGAGAGGGTGTGGGCTCACTTCTTGACATTCTGTGTGAGTGAGGTCATTCATAGGGTGAGGGGAGAATCAAGGGGACAGAGGGCCCTCTAGTCCCCAGCACTTGGGCTCAGCTGGCAAGTCCACAGTGCCCGGCTCTCCCGAGAACCTCAGCCTCACCGCCCTACAGACAAAGGGCCCAAAGTGCAGGGAGGTCAGTGCCACACAGGTTTTATTTTTTCACATTATTGGTGTTTAAAATTGTAAAGATTTTCCACGTTACCTGTAACCATCAAACCACATGTATTGCCCCCAGTTAATCACCATGAACAGCTTGGTGTGTATACCCCTCCATATTCACTGTGTTTCTTCTTCCAGGAATGAGCTCATTCTCTATACATCACTCCGTAACTTGTTGTTTTTACCTAGTAAGGAGTCATGGGCGTCCCACCAGGTGAATACTTGCATGTTTGTCTTCATCTTCTTAACAACTACCTGACACTGCAGTGTCTCAGTCTGTCTGAACTTAAACAGCTAGACATTGAGTTCTCAGAGTCTGGAGGCTGAAATCCAAGATGAGGGTGTGGGCAGGTTCTGTTCCTGGGGAGGCCTCTCTTCCTGGCTTGCATACAGCTGCCTTCTGGCTGTGCCCTCATGAGGCAGAGCAAGAGACAGCTCTGGTGTCTTTGGCCCTTGTAAGGACACCAACCCCATCCCATGGGCCCCACCCTCAGGAACTCCTCCAAACCCAATCACCTCCCAAGGCCCTACCTCCTAATCTTACCCACTGGGGATGAGGGCTTCATTATATGAATTTGGGGTGGGGGTGCCTCAACATTCAGACCCCAGCACCATGGGACCACTAATGTGGCATCCTGCCTGTGGAGAGATGCACAGACTGACCCATCCAGACAGCACAGTGGAGCACGCTCTTTCAACCCACCTGCACCTGACCACAGTGGGCACTCAGGAAGAAATGGGTAGAGCGAGTGAATGAATGAATGAGCAAGTCAAAGACATGAACACATGACATCTGACTGTCTCCCTGTGTGCTTGTGTTTCATTCTGATACATCCCTCCCTAAATTCATCTGCTGAGACAAAGGATTTTAACTGGTGTTTCTACACTGCTTTCCCCAAGATGTGGCAACCCACACCCCACCAGCAACACCTGTGATGTCTGCCGCCCTGTGTCCTTGTAGCACCTCTCTTACCAGGTTTCCAAATGTTGCTAAACTGCTGGGTCAAGGAATAGCATCTGCCTGGGGTTAGCCTCACTTGTGTGGATTTTTTCTTACTCCTCTTGGCCACTGACTGCTCCTGGTCTATGCCTGTTCCATTGGCTGCACTGTCCTTCCCTGCCTCTTGGCCAGAGGCTGTCGTGTGTCAGCGACAGAAACGTTTTGGCTGTCGTCTGCACAGCCAGTATTCTCTCCCCATCACGCTGGGCCTCGTGATGATGGGGGGAGGGGGGTTGACATCACAGAGATCCCAGTGCATTTTCGACTTCATCACTGTCACCATCCTCTCTTGTTCATTTGGGGGATACAGCCGCCATCAGCTCAACAGAGCAAAAGAGAGGGAGGCCACCTGCATCCGCCAGGTGCTGAAATGGGTCCAGGCAGCTGCCAGAGTCTGACATTTCCAACTTGATACAGCACCTGTGATCGGCAGTAGTACCCATGACAACATTTATTTAATTGACCAAACACGAACATTATAGAGGAAGGTGATCATTTAAATGATATACTTGAAATTCATCTGAGTAAGGAAGCTGAGAACAGTCAAAGAAGCTAATTTAAAAAATAAAAATAAATAAAAAGAACCACCTAATCCGCTGATTTCTAATCATGCCGAGTGCTTATCTCTCCTGCCAGGCATACAGCGAGCGCCTTGCAGAGTCTCACAGCGGCACTGTCTTCTCTTTTGCAGCACTCCGTACAAAGTGAGACCTGTGGCCATCAAGCAACTCTCCGGTAAGGCCCTGCTGTCGTTTTTTAAACTAAAAGAAGGAAAAAGAAATCTTGAGCTTGCCCCTGTGATAAAATATATACTAGTTAAGCATTTGAATCTAAGCATTTGAAATATATATGAGTTACCTTTGAAGCATTTAACTATATGTTAGTTAAGCATTTGAATCTGCATTTGAAGCCGATACAACTGCAGAATCTGAAACCTTGTACTACTGTAAGGGCTCTGCCTTTCTAACCCCAGGGAGAATAGCATCTGCCTGGGGTTAGCCTCCCTTGTGTGGATTTTTTCTTACTCCTTTTGGCCACTGCCTGTTCCTGGTCTATGGCCGTTCCATTGGCTGCACTGTCTGTCCCTGCCCCTCGGCCAGAGGCCATCCCAAGGACTTTGCAGTTGCAGGGCGGCATCCACTCTGGTCTTCCTGGCCCAGCACCTGTCCTCCCCGCTCCACTGTGAGTTGCCAAGGCAGGCATTTGTGGCCCCTGGGATGCCTTGGGGTGCCTCATACAGTTACTTGGGCCGCTGTGTTACAATCCTTTTTCTTTTTCTTTTTTTTTTTTTAAAAAAAAACGGAGTCTGGTCCTGTCACCCAGGGCTGGAATGCAGTGGCACGATCTCGGCTCACTGCAACCTCTGCCTCCCAAGTTCAAGTGATTCTCCTGCCTCACCCTCCCAGGTAGCTGGGATTACAGGCGTGCACCACCAAGCCTGGGTAATTTTTTTTGTATTTTTGGTAGAGACGGGATTTTGCCATGTTAGCCAGGCTGGTCTCGAACTCCTGACCTCAGGTGATCCACCTGTCTTAGCCTCCCAAAGTGCTAGGATTACAGGCGTGAGCCACAGCACCCAGCCTAGAATGCCTTTTCCATTTGATTTTTATCACTTTTATTTATGTGTGATTTATACATCATAAAATGCCATTTAAGTGCCTATTTTGATGACTTTTGAAAAATGTGTACACCCTTGTAACCATCACCAAAATCAAGACATTTGCACCACCTAGAAAAGCTCTCTCTTGCCCCCTCCAGTGTGTCTCAGTCCACAACGGACCTGCTTTCTGACATCATCCATGAGATTTCTTTTTGAGAGTTTCATATATAAGAAATTACATGGTATATGTACTCTTTTTGACTCAACATAATGTTTTTGAGATCCATCCATGTGCTGTGTGTAGAGACAGTTCATGCTTTGTATTGCTAAGTGGTATCCCATGGTGTAGGTTGTACCACAGGGCGTCTTCCATTCACTGTGGATGGACATTTGGGTTGTTACCAGTCTGGGGGCTTTTAAGAATAAGGCTGCTGTGAGCATTAAAGTACAAGTATTGGTGGAAACGTATATTTTTATATATTTCATTTCACTTGGCTAAATACCTATGATACCTATAACCTTGCCAACTTTTTTATACAGTTAAACATATACTTAACCGTCTTCCCTAAGAGTGGATATAAGAGTCTGTAGAGTGTTCCCCAGTCTGGGTTTGTCTGACGTTTCTCTCACGACCAGCCTGGGTGTGGTGGGTTTTGGAAGGAATACGTGGGGCGCATGACAGCCAGGTAGGACCACGAGCTTCTCCACTGCAGAGTTACTGTTGATCTCCTTCCCTGCTCTTCTTTGAAAGCAAGTCACGAAGTCCAGCCCACCCAAACACAGGAGAGAAAAACCGAGGTTCGTTTTCTCTACACAGATATTCATTTCTCCAGCACCATTTGTTGAAAAGATGATCTTTTCTCCCACTGAATTACCATGACACCTTTGTGGAAAATCGATGGGCCATGTATGTGTGAGTCTTTTTCTGGACTCCAGATCCTGTCGTGTGAATTTACATGTCTTAAAACAACAGCACACCATCTTGACTACCGTAGATAAATAGTAGGTCTTGAAATCAGGTACTCTAAGTTATCTCTGGTTTCTTTTTTCTTTTTCAAAAATGTTATTGCTTTTATTTTCAAATAAATTTTAGAATCAGTCTATGAATTGCTTCCAAAAAAACAGTCTGCTAGGATTTTGACTGAAGTTGCATTAAATATACAGACCAATGTGGGAAGAATTAATATCTTAAGAATGTTGAGTCTTCTGGTTCATAAATATGGTCTATCTCCCCATTCATTTGGGTTTCCTTTAATGTTTCTCAATAATGTGTTACCATTGTTAATATGAAGTACTTAATAAATACTGATAAATACATCACTATTTCATGTATTTAATGGTACTGCAAATGGACTTTTTTTTCATTTCAATTTCCGGTAGTTTTTAGTTTATAGGAATTGGCTTCTGTATGGGACCTTGCTAAACTCATTTATTAGGTCTAGTACCTTTTTGCAGATTTCCTGTGATTCTATAGATGATTTTCTTATAGTGCTGGTCTTCTGACAACAAATTCCTTCTGCTTTTGTCTGAAAAAGCTTTTCTTTGCTGTTTTGCTTTTTTTTTTTTCAAAGAGAGAGAGAGATAAAGTCTTTGTCTGTTGCCCAGGCTGGAGTGCAGTGATGCGGTCATAGCTCACGACAGCCTTGACCTCCTAGGCTGAAGCAATCCTCCCTCCTCAGCCTCCCAAGTAGCTGGGACTATAGGCACACACCACCATGCCCGGCGAATTTTTTAAGTTTTTATAGGGACAAGGTCTTACAGTATTGCCCAGGCTGGTCTCAAACTCCTAAACTCAAGTAATCCTCCCTCCCTGAGATTACAGACGTGAGCCACCATGCCCGACTGACAGTGTTTTTATTTCATCTTCATTTTGAAAGGGTATTTTCTTGCCATAGAGAATTTTAGTTTCACAGTTTTCCAGCACTGTGAATATGTCTTCTCATTGTGTTTTAGCTAGTACAGCTTCTAATGAGAAGTCTGTGATGTCTTATCTTTGTTCCTCTGTGTGCAATGTGTCTTTTTCCCTCTGGCAACTTAAGATGTTTTCTTTATCACTGGTTTGCAGGAATTTGATTATGATGGCCTTGGTGTGGTTTTCTTTTGGTTTAACCTGCTTGGTGTTCATTGATCTTCTTGGAACTTTGGGATCATATTTTTCATGAAATTTGGAATTTTTTCTGCTCTCCTCTGTCTCTCTCCTTTCCCCTGGGACCCTAACTACCTGAATGATAGACAGCCTGAGAGCGTCCCCTGACTCACTCACACTGTTTCTTTCTTTCCAGACCTTTTTTTCTGTTTGCTTTATTTTTCTTAGACTTTTCCGTGACGTCTTCCATTGCACTGGTCTTCCCTCCTGCAGTATCTAGTCTGCTGTTAATCTCGTTCAGTGAAATTTTCATTTCAGATATTGCATTCTTCATCCCTAGGAATTATGTTTCCCTCCTTTTTCGTATCTCCCATTTTTACATCTCCCATTTATGCCTCATTATGTTTATATTTCCTGTAAATGCTTATACCTCATTATAATTCTGTTTCATGCCATTGTCTGCTGGTTTCCTCCTCTCTGCCATATCCGAGTCTGTCTCTGTTGATTGATTTATCTCCTGGGTATGGGTCATATTTTTCTGATTCTCGTGAATCTAGTAGATCTTGATGGAATGCTGATCACAGGAATGCACGCTGGTTCATCATCTGGTTTTGTTTCTCCCAGTTAAGAGTGTTGGGCTTTGCCTTGGCAAGCAGTTAAGTTACTTGCACATCAGTTTGATGCCTTTGAGCCCCACCTTTAAGCTTTGTGAGAATGGCTCTAGAGGGCCCTTACCCCAGGGATAGCTCAGTCCTACTAAGACTTGATCCCTTTGGGGTCTCCCCCAAACTCCTGGCTGATCACCAAATTCCACTCTGGCTGTTTAGAGTGCAAATGTTTGGAGATGAGAATGAAAGCGCCAGGGCCTTGAAGGTCGTTGCAAGGATGCTGGCTTTTATGCTGAGTGGCGTGGGCAGCTATTAGAAGGCTTTCAGGAGAGGAGTGACATCATCACATTTGTGTTTTAAATCTTGCTCAGGGCGCTGGGTCGAGATCACGAAAGGGAAGTGGCAGCAAAGGTGGAGGCAGAGAAATCCAAGAGGAAGCTATTTTTTTGGGAGGAGGCGGAGGCCTAGGCCGGGGTGGGGGCCATGGAGGTGATGAGGAGCGCAGGTTCCAGCAGGTTCTAAAGGAAGAGACAAGCTTTTTCCTAAGTGGAAGCGGGATATAGAGACCCATCCGGGGCTTCTTTGACCTGAGCACTGAGCGCCACGGCCCAGGGAGGGGGTTGCTGCGGGTGGGCTTGGTCTGCTCATCAGACATCAGGTGCATGAGGAGCAGGCAGAGTCAGGGCAGGCGGCCTCTCGGCTGTCGGCTCCCAATGGATGGTGTTGAAGTCTGGGACTTGGTGAGGCCAGCAGGGAGTGAGTGAGCACCAGCAGGAGGGGCCAGGCCTGAGCCGGACGGAGACCGAACCCATCCGTGGGAGAAGGACGCTGGTGACAGGACACCATCGGGAGCAGAGGGGAAGCCATAAAGCCCTGGAGGCAGGAAGAGGCAAAGGCTGGCCGGGTGTGGGTGAGGTGCTGCAGGGCTCTCGCAGGCCAGCGAAGACAGGCGAGATGGCTGTGCTCAGAGTTAGAAGAGCATCGCTGGGAGCAGAGGAAAGAGGGATTTCTGTGTCACCTGGGGACCCATCCAGGACCAGTGGGAGATGGAGTTGGGCTCATTGAGGGAAAGAGGTGAATGGAAGGAAGTTGGAACCAGCTGTCCTAAGGCCGGAGCTGCTCCTCCCTGGAGGACTCCGGCAAAGGCTGCTGGCCTTGGGCTGTGCGGGCACCCAGTGGCTGAGAGATCGTTGCCCTCTGCAGCCCTCCTGCAACTTGGATCCTAGGAGCCACAAAGAGGCTTGAAAAATAATCCATCCTGAGAAACACAAAGGCTCACATTAAACTTCGCATCGTAAAGTTTTGAGTAAAAGAACAATAAGGGGCATTTCTGCTAAAGGTGCCAGGATGAGAAAAAGCAGGAAACAGTGCTGCACCGCCAGGCTCTGCACCGTCTCTACAGAGGGCTGGGGTTGGTTCAGGAGCATTCGGCCCAGGCTGTGATCTCGAGAAGGTGGTCAGGGCCCAGGCTCCCGCCAGCCCTCACGGCAGCACGAGGCTGGTACGAGACAGGTGCTTCAGGTGTTTGTTGAGAGCTGCACACACTTCTGCTGGGCTGGGCAAGACTTCCCTCTTCAGAGAGGATGAGCGGCCACACGGAAGGCCAGGCTGGGTGTCCCTCCGGGCCAGCCGAGGAGCGCTGCGCTTATTCCGCAGTGAGGAGTCGCTGGCTGTCCAGGGGAGCTGCATTTTCCTAGCAGCGACAACCCCTCCCACATCTCCATAGTCACATCCTGGCTGGGCTAACACCACCTTTCCCCGCCTCTGGGTGCGTGGGGACCCCGCTCTCCAAATAGGCCAGTGTTCCAGGCTTTTCTTTAGGAGACAAAGTCGGTGTCAGGTAGACCCCCCCCACCCCACCAAACACACACACACACACACACACACACACACACACACAGCTTTCCTGAGAAATGTGTTTACAGAACATTTTTTCCATTTGGGGTTTGTCCTTAGGAATTCTTCACTCTCTCTATGGCAACAACCTTCCCTCTCCCGTCCATCGGCCTTGGGTCCCAGAGCCACTGAGCCGTGGCCCAAGGTCAGGAGTTAGCTCTAGCGACGCCGCCCTGAGTTCTGGCCTGTAAGCAACCCCAGGTGCCCTTGTGAATCAACAGACCACATTTCCAGTGGCAGAAAAGGAAATGGGAGCTGTTTCTAGACTAGCACAAGGCTCAGGGGGTGGGGGGTGGGGGCAGGGTGCAGGGAGGCCAACGCCACACAGCCCCACACCCAGCCTTTCCCAAGGCCCTGGGTTCCTCACTGATTCTCAGCAGGTTTCAGTAAATGCCTCTAACGGGCCCGGTGGAACTGTGCAATGCAGAAACACCCCAGGGTTTTGCTGTTTTGCTACTTAAATATTCAGGAAATAGTAAAGAGAAGAGTATTATCAAAAACGTGACTTTTCATAGAAAAGGGAGAATAGGCCAGCCCTGGCCTGGGTCCACAACCCCAGTGTGAGCTGCAGAGACTTCTCTGGAGCGGTGAACAGCTCCTGCCAGGAAAGAGCATGGCACAGCCTCGTTCTCCAGCGTAGAGTAGAAGGAATGGCCCCGTCCACGCGAAGGTCTGTGTTCACCAAGCATCTTCTGTAGAAAAATGCTCTCTTCGCCTGATCATGGGAGGGAATCAAATGGATAGAGCATTTATCCCTTTTGTGACTAAAATAAAGGTAATAGCAACTACAAAAACCACGACACAGGCTTCTCAGCATCTTTTTATAACGATAGTGCTGATTTTTTGGAAAATCCTTGAGCCTCAATCACTTTTATTTGATGTAAGCCGCTCAAACTCAAAGAGTGTTGTTTTCCAGATTATAAAACACAGATCTCAGCTGATGGCGGTTGACGGGTGTCCCCCGAGTGCCCTCGGCTGCCAGGAGCTGGCAGGGGAGATGCCTGTGATGAGGATTGGGTGCTGTGATCACAGCACGCGGGAAAAGGACAGGGCCTCCCTCAGCGTGGCAGATCGCGTGGGTCCATGGGTCCGTGTGATCTCATGACCGTATCAAGGGGATTGTGTCTTTTTGACCAGAGCGTTAGGGAAAGCGTGCTGCAGTCACACGCCAGGACGGCCCCCCACGGCCCAAGTCCTATAGGAGAGCCAGGGGCCATCACGATTTTCTTAGGCACAGCAGCAGTTGAACCGTGCTGTCACACTTAACCCAAGTGATGACAGCCTCTTCAACTAGGACAGTGCTGTAGGGGTCTGGTTCTGCTTGTTCTCCCCCACATTCCTGCCTGCCCTAGGACCCAGGACCTGTCTCTAGTCACACACACCCTGTTCAGCCTCTGCATCTGGCCCCCGCGGAGACCCACACCACATTCTACTCCCCTGGCCAGAGACCGAGGGTGACTCGGAGGCTTCCAGTTCCCAGCAGCTTTATTGGCGTTGCTGTTTCCATAGAAGGACAATAAAAGGGGGCCATAAGGAGGCGCATCCGCAGAGTGCGTGCTTGAGCTTCTGCAAGCCAGAGGAGGCCGGCGGCCGGCAGGGTGGGCAGGCTGGCTGGCTGTGCCCCACAACATGCATGTGGAGAGGTTTTGGGGGCAGCCATGGAACCCCGGAGCTGCCCCCACATGAGAGTTCCCCCAGGTGGTGACCAAATGCATTTACAGTCCAGCCGCAGTCCAGATGCAGATGCGCTGTAACTGTAGAACACACAGCAAATTCTGAAGGCTTAGTATGAAAAAGAATATAAAAATCTCAGTCATTTTTATATTGATTTCATGTTTCCTGGTTGAGATGTCATTGATATAACATAAAGCCCACCATTTTAAAGTGTACAACCTCAGCCAGGCATGGTGGCTCACGCCTGTAATCCCAGCACTCTGGGAGGCTGAGGCGGGCAGATCACCTGAGGTCAGGAGTTTGAGACCAGACTGGCCAACATGGTGAAACCCTGTCTCTACTAAAAATACAAAAATTAGCCGGGTGTGGTGGTGCACATCTGTAATCCTAGCTACTTGGAAGGCTGAGGCAGGAGAATCGCTTGAACCTGGGGGTAGAGGTTGCAGCAAGCCGAGATCACACCACTGCACTCTAGCCTGGGTGACACAGTGAGACTCTATCTCAAAAAAAAAAAAATTGTACAACCTCAGTCTTTTTTAGTGTCTTCATTTTGTTGTGCAACCATCACCACTATTTAATTCCAGAACATTTCCATCAACCCAAAAAGAATCCCTGTACCTGTGAGCAGTCCCCCCTCCATCCCCTTCACCCCCCAGCCCCTGGCAGGCCCTGTTCTCTGTCCTGTGCATTCTGACCTTTCACATAACAGAATCCGTGGCCTTTCCAGCCTGGCTTCTTCCACTTTGCACACGGTGTTGCAGGCTCCCCGCGTTGTGGCATATGACAGCTCTTTGTTCCTTTATGGCTGGATGACGTTCCGTTGCGTGGCTGCGTCCTGTGGCTGCATTGTGTGGCTGTGTCACGTGGCTACGTCACGTTTGGTTGATCCGTTCATCAGCTGATGGACATTTGGGCTGTTTCCACAAAGGCTCTTGTGAATGATGCTGCTGCAAACGTTTGTGTGCAAATTTTTGTATGAAAGATACATGGTGAAATGAGGTATTTTGAGGTACATTGGATTAAATGAGATATTAAAAATTTTTTTAAAGTCTAGCCGTCTTGAAGGGGAGGGCCTGAGAGAAGTGCTGAAAGTTCACAGCAGAGGATACCGGATGCTGCGGGTGTGCCAGGCTGGCCTGTCCAGGAGGTCCCTGCAGCCTGGGTGGGAGGTCCCTTACCCACTAATGGGTGCCTCCTCCAACCCCTGAGTCCCCCTACCTGAGGACTTCCTCTGTGTGTGGCATACGCGGCTGCCCCGAGGTCAGTCCTCCCCAGTGAAAGGGAGCTGAAGGACAGGTGCCCAGCTTCTTTGCTCCACAGTGGGACCAATCTCTGACATCATCAATGCAGTTGCTCAAAGGGAGCTCAGAGCGAGGAGTCACCTGTACATCAACTCACCCTCTGGGAGCTCTCTTCCCTTCCATGCCTCAATCCCCCACTCCCTCCCAGGGCTTCCTGGGCTGGCCTCCAAATGCACCACTAGCCCCCAGCTCCTTGTCTCCGGTGGGCTTTTGAGGATTTCCAACTAAGAACCTTAGACTCCAAGACAGGTCAAGCCCCCTGGCATACTCATTTGTCATTTGGATGAAATAGCCTTAGGAGAGCTACTTAACCCCACTGAACTTCCATTTCCCTGACAAAATAGGAATTCTAATGCATACCTTGCATGGTTCTTGGAGGATAAATGAAGTAATTTATGCAAAATGCTGAGCACAGTGCCTGCCACTTGGTAAGCGCCCAGTAAATGGTTGTTATCATTGAAAATGACTTAGGGGGCATTTTTGAATGGCTAAAGTTATGTCTCTCTGGAATTGCTGAATTTTAATAGAACAGGAATGCTTCCTAAGGTCTAAAACAAAAGGCGGAGGACTGGCTGTGTCTGCCCTGGAAGCCAAGTTAATGCTGGATGTCTGCGCATAGACATGTTGCTCATGAGAAATAATAATGCTCCTTAATAATATTGTCTATTTCAGTGCAATTTCAGTCTAGAAGGCTTTATAAGCAAAGCCACAGTCATCCTTACTTGCATTTTTTTGAAACAAAAAGACTGCAGTGTATAAATGAAAAATAACCATTTCTGGAATGGTGTGTTCAGACGGATTCCCCTTAGAGTAGCCTAGCCAACAAAGACAGCAGCAGCCCTTAGCGTGCCACTGTCAGAGATATTGATGGCAAACAGTAATACGGAAGCCTGCGGAATGGAAGTGTCCTGACGGCAGATTTGAGTAAAATGGAGATGATGACAGCTGAACATTGCTGCACGGACCTCAAGACTGCAAACGTTAGGACTGCCCTCCCTGCTCCTAGGCATTTGTGAGAACCAGGCCAACCCATACCCACCCACTGCTGTGTCCTGCCTGACTGCACTGAAATGCACAGATCCTGTGGGTGCAGTTTGATGAGTTTTGTTTTGTTTTTTGTTGTTTTTGTTTTTGAGGAGTTTCGCTCTTGTTGCCGAGGCTGGAGTGCAGTGGCGCGATCTCGGCTCACTGCAACTTCTGCCTCCTGGGTTCAAGCAATTATCCTGCCTCAGCCTCCCGTGTAGCTGAGATTACAGGCGCATGCCACCATGCCCAGCTAATTTTTTGTATTTTTAGTAGAGACAAGGTTTCACCATGTTGGCCAGGCTGATCTCGAACTCCTGACCTCAGGTGATCCACCTGCCTCAGCCTCCCAAAGTGCTGGGATTACAGGCATGAGCCACTGTGCCCAGCCACAGTTTGATGAGTTTTGATAGAAGTGCATGTGTTAGATCTTTCAGGAATCACCACCCAAACCAGAAATACCATTTGACCCAGCAATGACGTTTATATATATACCCAAAGGAATATAAATCATTCTATTATAAAGATATATCTACATGTATGTTCATTGTAGCACTATTCACAATAGCAAAGAGATAGTATCAATCCAAATGCCCATCAATGATAGATTGGATAAAGAAAATGTGGTACATATACACCATGGAATACTATGCAGCCATAAAAAGGAACAAGATCATGTCCTTTGCAGTGACATAGACAGAGCTGGAAGCCATTATCCTCAGCAAATTAATGCAGGAACAGAAAACCAAACACCACATGTTCTCACTTATAAGTGGGAGCTGGACAATGAGAACACATGGACACAGGGAGGGGAATAACACACACTGGGGCCTGTTGGGAGGGTTGGGGGAGGGAGAGCATCAGGATAAATAGCTAATGCATGCTGGGCTTAATACCTAGGTGATGGGTTGACAGGTGCAGCAAACCACCATGACACACGTTTACCTGTGTAACATCCCTGCATGTCCTGCACATGTATCCCAGAACTTAAAATTAAATTAAATTTTTTAAAAGTGCACGTGCATGTAACCGCCACCACAATCAAGACAGAGGACATTTCCATCACCCTAGAAAAATGTCCCCGTACCCCCTTCAAGGCAGTCCTCACTGTGGAGTGCTCTGCCTATTTTTGAGTTTCACGGAGTTGAAATCATACAGCACGAGCTCTTTGTGTCTGGACTCTTTCACTCAACATCATTTTTGTTTGTTTGTTTGTGTGTGTGTGCGTTTGTTTTTTGAGACAGGGTCTCACGCCTGTTGCCCAGGCTGGGGTGTGAGGCACAATCATGGCTCACTGCAGCCTCGACCTCCTGGGCTCAGGTGATCCTCCCACCTCAGCCTCCGAGTAGAGACATGTTGCCCACGCTGGTGTCGAACTCCTGGGCTAAAGCAATCCGCATCATGATGTTTGTAAGATCCATTCGTGCAGTTATTTCCTTTTGCACTGCTGAGCACTGCATGCCTCGCTCATTCATTCTTCTGTGGAGGGACATTTGGGTCATTTCCAGTTTAGGGTTCGGCTACTAGAATTATTGTACAAGTCTTATTGTGGGCATCCTTGTCCATGATCTTGGGTCCACCTAGGAGTTAAATGGCTGGCTCATATGCTGTGTTTGTTTAACTTAAGACTTACTTGTTAAGTGTAAGAAACTGCCAAGCTGGGCCGGGCACAGTGGCTCACGCCTGTAATCCCAGCACTTTGGGAGGCCGAGGCGGGCGGATCACTTGAGGTCAGGAGTTCGAGACCAGCCTGGCCAACATGGCAAAACCCCATCTCTACAAAAAGTGCAAAAAATTAGCAGGGTGTGGTGGTGTGTGCCTGTAGTCCCAGCTACTCAGGAGGCTGAGGCAGGAGAATCTCTTGAACCTGGGAGGAGGAGGTTGCAGTGAGCAGAGGTTGCGCCACTGCACTCCAGTCTGGGCGACAGAGCGAGACTCCATCTCAAAAAAAAAAAAAAAAGAAAGAAAAAAAGAAACTGCCAAGCTGTTCTACCAAGAGGTTGTACCATTCCACATTCCCACCAGCAGCATCTGAGTGATCCAGCTGTTCCACATCCCTGCAACACTAAGCATTCTCTGCTTACATTTTAGACATTCGAGTAGGTGTAAGAGCAATCCTATCTTCTTATAGTTTTAATTTGCATTTCCAAGTAACTTAATGATGTTGAACATGTTGCTATGTCTTATTGACTATTTGAATGTCATATTTTGTGTAGTGTCTGTTCAACAATACTTTGCTCAGGCCAGGTCCGGTGGCTCACGCCTGTAATCCTAGCTCTTTGGAAGGCCAAGGTGGGTGGATTACCTGCGGTCAAGAGTTCGAGACCAGCCTGACCAACATGGTGAAACCTCCTCTCTACTAAAAATACAAAAATTAGCTGGGTGTGGTGGCAGGTGCCTGTAATCCCAGGTACTCGAGAGGCTGAGGCAGGAGAATCGCTTGAACCCAGGAGGTGGATGTTGCAGTAAGCTGAGATCGCGCCTTGCACTCCAGCCTGGGTGACAGAGCAAAAGCTGCATCTCAAAAAAAATATGTAAAAAGGATTTTGCTCATTTTTTAAGCTGGCTTGTATTATTTTTGTCACTGGTTTGTAGGAAACTCTACATAAGCTAGGATATAATTCATTTGTCAGATATATGTGGCAAACATTTTTCCCAATTTGTGATTTGCCTTTTTCGTTTTCTTAATGAGGTCATTTGATGAGCAGAGGTTTTTAATTTGGTGAATTCCATCCAATGTAACAAGTTTTTCTGTTGTGGTCAGTACTTCTTGTGTCTTCTCTAATAAGTTTTGTTTTTTTTTTTTTTTGAGACAAGGTTTCTTGTTGCCCAGGCTGGGGTGCAGCTGTGCGATAAGCTCACTGCAACCTCCGCCTCCCGGGTTCAAGTGATTCTCCTGCCTCAGGCTCCCGAGTAACTAGGATTACAGGCGTTTGCCACCACGCCTGGCTAATTTTTTTGTATTTTTAGTAGAGATGGGGTTTCACCATGTTGGCCAGGCTGGTCTTGAACTCCTGACCTCATGATCCACCCACCTCGGCCTCCCAAAGTGCTGAGCCACCGCACCAGGCCCCCCAAATTGCTAGGATTACAGGAGTGAGCCACCATGCCTGGCCCTAATAATTTTTTTTATCCCAAGGTCATGGAGATACATTTTAGAAGATTTAGAGTTATAGCTGTTATGTTTTTTCTTAATTTAAAGAAAATTTTTAACAACCCAATCTGTTGAGATGTTATGTTTTAATCTGTCATTCATTTCAAGTTAATGTTGTGTGTGTTGTGAAGTAGAGACTGCCATTCATTTTCTTCCCCACGCTGACACCCAGCTGTTACTGCACCACTTGTTAAAAAGACTCCTTTTCCCGCTGAATCCATGGCTCCTTTGTTGAAAGTTAATGGTATCTCTGTGTTTGGGCCTCTCGCTGAACTCTGTTCTGCTTCATTGATCTATTTGTCTATCCTCACACCAACACCACACTGGCTACGTTACTGTGCCCTGGAATCAGGTACTCTAAGTTCTCCATGTGTTCTTCCTCTGCATTTGTTTTGACTGTATAGGTTCTTTTCTTTTCCCTACAAATTTTAGGATCAACTTGTCAATTTCAAAAAAAAAAGCCATCTATGACTTTGATTACTATTTTATTTACTATATAATTTGGGGAGGGTAGTGTCTTAACCATACTGAGTCTTCCAACCCATGAACATGATACATCCCTCCACTTATTTAGGTCTCATTTAACTTCTCAAAAGGTTATGGCTTTCAAGATAAAGGTCCTTCATGTCTTCGGTTAACTTTACTCCAAAGTGTTTTCTGTTTTCTGGTTTTATTGTGAATAAGATTTCATTAATTTTCCAATTGTTTGCTGCTAGTTTATAAAAATATAATAGATTTTTGGATGTTGGCGTTGGATCCTGTGAATTTGCTTAATTCATTGGTTAGTTCTAGTTGTTGTTTTATAGGTTCCTATAATTGTCCACAGAGACAATCATGACATCTAAGAATAATGACAGTTTTAATTATTGCATTCCAATTTTTGGCTTTTATTTCTTTTACTTGTCTTGTTGTACTAGTTGAAACTGCAATACAGTTAAATAAAAGTGAGAGCAGACGTCCTCGCCTTGTTCCCAATCTTAGAGGAGATGCCTTCGGTCTCTCACCATTACATACGATGTTAGCCACAGATTTTTTTGTGGATGCCTTTCATAAGGTTGGAAGTCCCCGTCTAATGTTAGTTTTCTGAGAGTTTTTTGTCTCATGTTCTTTGACAAAATTCTTTGTTAACTTTTATCAAATGTTCTCTCTACAGCTACTGAGGTGGGTTGAGGAGGTGTCCTCTTTTTCCTTGTTTTCTAATGGTTTTGTCCCATAAAGAGGTATTGGATTTTGTTCCAGTACCTTTCTGCATCTATGGGATGAGCATACATATGGTTTTTCTGCTTTATTCTATTAAGATAATGAATAATACTGATTGATTTTCAAATGTTAAAACCACTTTGCTTTCCTAGGGTAAATGCACTTATATTTCCAGGAAATGTTCCTAGGAAATTTCCTGGGGTAAACTCACTTGTATTTCCAGGAAATATTTCCAGGAAAATACTTGGGAATAAATGTAACAAAGTATATGTAGGCCCTCTCCCTGGTGTGTTTGCTTTTTATGTATTGACTTGTTTTTGTTTTTGTTTTTGTTTTGAGACAGTGTCGCTCTGTCACCCAGGCTGGAGTGCAGTGCTGCCATCTCGGCTCACTGCAACCTCCGCCTCCAGGCTTCAAGTGATTCTCCTGCCTCAGCCTCCCGGGTAGCTGGGATTACAGGTGTGCACCACCACACCAGATAATTTTTGTATTTTTAGTAGAGACAGGGTTTCACCATGTTGGTCAGGGTGGTCTCGAACTCCTGACCTCAGGTGATCCACCCGCCTCAGCCTCCCAAAGTGCTGGGATTACAGGCGTGAGCCACAGCACCTGGCCGCTTTTCATGTATTGCTAGATTTGATTTCCTAACAATTCGTTAAGAATGTGGCTGTCTATGCTTAAATGGGATATTGATTTGTAATTTTTTTTCTTGCAGTGTCTTTGTCATGTTTTGATATTGGCCCTATAGTGGCCTCATAAAACACATTGGGAAGTTTACTTTCTTCTGTATTTTCTGAAAGATTTTATGTAATTTTGGTATTATTTTGTCCTATGTCCCTTTACACTTAATGTATTTGGGTTTTTTGTGTGTGTCTTTTTAATAGTTAATAACAATGTATTTTATTCTTGAAAATCACTGAGAGTACATTTTGCATTCTCACCACAAAAAAAAACTATGTGGCATAATGTGTATGTTAATTCACTTGATTTAGCCATTCTACAATGTATATATTTCAAAACATCATCTTGACCATGGGAAATGTATCTAATTTTTGTCAATTTGTTAAAACTTTTTTTTTAATTCCAATTTTTTTTTTTTTGAGGTGGAGTCTCGCTTTGTTGCCCAGGCTGGAGTGCATGACCATGGGAAATGTATCTAATTTTTGTCAATTTGTTAAAACTTTTTTTTTCATTCCAATTTTTTTTTTTTTTTTTTTTGAGATGGAGTCTCACTTTGTCGCCCAGGCTGGAGTGCAGTGGTGCAATCTTGGCTCACTGCAAGCTCCACCTCCCGGGTTCACGCCATTCTCCTGCCTCAGCCTCCCAAGTAGCTGGGACTACAGGCGCCCACCACCGTGCCTGGCTAACGTTTGTATTTTTAGTAGAGATGGGGTTTCACTGCATTAGCCAGGATGGTCTCGCTCTCCTGACCTCATGATCCACCTGCCTTGACCTCCCAAAGTGCTGGGATTACAGGTGTGAGCCACCACGCCCAGCCCCAACTTTTATTTTACGTACAGATCTAAACGTATCACATGCAGGTTTGTTATGTGGTGTGTCGCACCCAGATGGTGAGCAGAGCCCCCAAGTCTTTGTTGATATGGTTGGGGTTAGCTCTCCCAGTCTTTGTTCATATGGTTGGGGTTGGCTCTACCAGTCTTTGTTCATATGGTTGGGGTTAGCTCTACCAGTCTTTATTGATATGGTTGAGGTTAGCTCTACCAGTCTTTGTCGATATGGTTGGGGTTAGCTCTACCAGTCTTTGTTGATATGGTTGGGGTTAGCTCTACCAGTCTTTGTTGATATGGTTGGGGTTAGCTCTACCAGTCTTTGTTGATTAGCTCTCCCAGTCTTTGTTGATATGGTTGGGGTTAGCTCTACCAGTCTTTGTTCATATGGTTGGGGTTAGCTCTACCAGTCTTTGTTGATATGGTTGAGGTTAGCTCTACCAGTCTTTGTTGATATGGTTGGGGTTAGCTCTCCCAGTCTTTGTTGATATGGTTGGGGTTAGCTCTACCAGTCTTTGTTCATATGGTTGGGGTTAGCTCTACCAGTCTTTGTTGATATGGTTGAGGTTAGCTCTACCAGTCTTTGTTGATATGGTTGGGGTTAGCTCTACCTGTCTTTGTTCATATGGTTGGGGTTAGCTCTACCAGCCTTTGTTCATATGGTTGGGGTTAGCTCTACCACGTTGCTATTTGCTGTTTCTTGATCTTGGGTTTTGTTTTTCTGTTCCTCCTTTTCTGCCTTCTCCTGTGTTAATTGAATAAATTTTTGTTTTCCATTTTATTCCTTCTGCTGACTCTTTAGCTGTCTCTTTTTGCATTATTTTTCCTCGGCTGTTGTAAGTGTTACAATATGCATCTTTACTTTTTTTTTTTTTTTTTTTTACAATTGATAGACTTTGTTTTTTAGATTCACGGCAAAATTGAGTGAAAAGTGTGGAGCTCCCACATGTTCCCCCCACACACAGACATTCAGCCTCTGCCACCGTCAACGTCCTGCATCAGATTGTATATTGGTTACAGCCGGGCGCACTGGCTCACGCCTGTAATCACAGCACTTTGAGAGGCCAAGGCAGGCAGATCACTGGAGGTCAGGAGTTCAAGACCAGACTGGCCAACATGGTGAAACCCTGTCTCTACTAAAAATATAAAAATTAGCCAGGCGTCATGGCGCACACCTGTAATGCCAACTACTTGGCAGGGGAATCGCTTGAATCCGGAAGGCGGAGGTTGCAGTGAGCTGAGATTGCATCACTGCACTCCAGCCTGGGCGACAGAGAGAGACTCTGTCTCCAGACAAAAGAAAAAAAAAAGACTGTACATTGGTTACAATCAGTGAACCAACATTGACATATCCTTATCAGCCAAAGTCTATATTCCACCTCAGAATTCACTCTCAGGGCTGTACATTCCCTGGGTTTGGACAAATATATGATGACCTGTGTGTCCCATCCCAGTCTCAGACAGAATCGGTTCTCTCAGGGCTGTACATTCCCTGGGTTTGGACAAATATATGATGACCTGTGTGTCCCATCCCAGTCTCAGACAGAATCGGTTCACTGCCTTCAAAACCCCCTGTGCGCCACCTATTCATCCCTCCCGCCCCAAGCCCCAGATCTTTTTACTGTCTCCATAGTTTGGCCTTTTCCAGAATGTCACATAGTTGGAGTCATACAGAATAAAGCCTCTTCAGGTTTTCTTTCACTTACTAATATGTCTTTAAGATTCTTTTATGCCTTTTCCCGGCATCTTAGCATTGAAGCATATTCCATGGTCTGTATGTATCACAGTTTATTTGCCCACTCACCTATTGAAGAGCATCTTGGTTGCTTCCAGGTTTGGGCAGTTATGAATAAAGCTGCCATAAATATTTGTGCACAAGTTTTTGTGTGCACATAAGATTTTAACACATTTGGATAAATACCAAGAAGCACAATTGCTGGATCTTTTGGTAACAGCATGTTTAGTTTTGTAAGAAGCTGCCAAACGGTCTTCCAAAGTGACTGGGCCATTTTGCATTCCCAGCAGCAATGAACGAGCATTCCTGCCGCTCCACATCCTCCCCAGCTTTTGTGTTTCAGTGTCTTGGATTTTCACCACTCTGATAGGTGTATTGCAGTATCTTCTTCTTGTTTTATTTTGCAATTCCCTAGTGACATATCATGATAAGCATCTTCTCATATGCCTGCTTGCCATCTGCATGTCTTCTTTGAGGTGTCTGTTCATATCTTTTGGCCACTTTTAATCATCCTGAACTTTTCACAATCTATTTAGAATTAATACTGTACCGCCTCACATAAAAAATAAGGACACTGCAGCTATATAAGTCTACTTACTCCCCTCTCCCACCACCTTTGAGTTATTGTGTCATATGTTTTATATCTGCATACATTTTAAGCCCCATAATACAATATTATAATTTCCTTTTTTTTTTTTTTTTTTTTTGAGACGGAGTCTCACTCTCTTGCCCAGGCTGGAGTGCAGTAGTGAGATCTCAGCTCACTGCAACCTCCACCTCCTAGGTTCAAGCGATTCTCCTGCCTCAGCCTCCCGAGTAGCTGGGATTACAGATGTGTGCCGCCACGCCCGGCTAATTTTTTGTATTTTTAGTAGAGACGGGGTTTCATCATCTTGGTCAGACTGGTCTCGAACTCCTGACCTCAAGTGATCCACCCGCCTCAGCCTCCCAAAGTGCTGGGATTATAGGCGTGATTATAGGCCACTGTGCCTGGCCTATAATTTCTTATTTAAACAGCTAGTTGTTTTCTGAAGAAATTATGAAAATAAACTTCCAGATAGTTTTTTAATAGTTGCCTATATATTTGCCATTTCTGATGTTTTTATTTCTTCTCAACTTCCAACTTATATTATATCCCTTCACTCTAAAGCATTTCTTTTTTCTTTTAATGTTTCTTGCAGTGCATATCTGCTAGTAACTAATTCTCTCAGCTTTTGCTGATTGGAACATGCCTTTTTTTTTTTTTTTTTTTTTTGAAATGATGTCTTGCTCTGTCGCCCAGGTTGGAGTGTACAATCAGTTCACTGCAACCTCCGCCTCCTAGGTTCAAGCAATTCTCCTGCCTCAGCCTCCCAAGTACCTGGGATTACAGGCGCCCACCACCATGCCCACCCAGGCACTCCACCCAGGAGGTGGAGGTTGCAGTGAACTGAGATCTCACTACTGCACTCCAGCCTGGGCAAGAGAGTGAGACTCCATCTCAAAAAAAAAAAAATTTTTTTGTATTTTTAGTAGAGACGAGGTTTCACCATGTTGGCCAGGTTGGTCTCGAACTCCTGACCTCAGGTGATCCACCCACCTCGGCCTCCCAAAGTGCTGGGATTACAGGCGTGAACCACCGTGCCCAGGCAAGGAACATGCCTTTATTTTGCCTTCATTGTGAAGGATGAGTTTTCATGGTGTGGAATTCTGCATTCACAGTTTGTTTTCTTCAAGAAGCTTAAAGATGTTGACTCACTTTCTTTCTGGCCTCCATTGTTTCTGATGAGAAGTCAGCTTAATTTGATCATTATTCCTCTGTATGAAGTGTGTCTTTCTTCTCTGGCTGCTTTCTTTGGGGTTTGTTTGTTTGTTTGTTTGTTTTGTTTTGTTTTTGAGATGAAGTTTTTGCTCTGTTGCCCAGGCTAGAGTGCAGTGGTGCGATCTCGGCTCACTGCAACCTCCGCCTCCTGATTCTCCTGCCTCAGCCTCCAAGTAGCTGGGATTGCAGGTGCCCGCCACCACGCCCAACTAATTTTTAGTAGAGACAGGATTTCACCATGTTGGCCAGGCTGGTCTCGAACTCTTGACCTCAGGTGATCCACCCACCTCGGGCTCCCAAAGTGCTAGGATTACAGGCGTGAGCCACTGTGCCCAGGCCTCTGGCTGTTTTCAAGCTGTTGATTTCTTTCCTTTATCTTTAGGTTTCAGCAGTTGGACTATGATGTGCTTCAGTCTCATTTTCTTCTTATTTATCCTTCTTCATGTTCATTGAGCTTCCATGGACTATGAATTTACCTTTTCAGCAAATTTGCAAAATTGTCAGCCATTACGTGTTATATGTGCCATTCTTTCTCACTAATGACCTGTATGTTAGAAAGTTTGCTGTTGTCTTTCAAGTGACTGCAGCTTTGCGGTTTTTTATAATCTTTTTTTTCTTTGCCCTTCAAATTGGGTAATTTCTGTTGACCTGTCCTTGATTTCCCTGACTCTTCCACTGACTCCAGACTTCTGTAAGTTGATCCATGAAGTTTTTTTTTGTTTAGGATATTATATTTTAAAATTCTAAAATTTGCACTTGACTCTTGTTCATAGATTTGTCTCTCGAGACTCCCCTCTGTTTACGATTTACTGACGCCGCTTTTGTTTCGGTGTTTGCACGTACCTGCAATTGCTGCATTAAAGTCTCGTTTGCTCATTTTGGCATCTGAGCCGGCAAGCGTCCAGGGTGTCTGAGGGATGATTTTCTCTTGGCCATGGGTCACATTTTCCTATTTCTTTGCATGTCTATTTTTTATTGTAGACTAAGATTATGAATAACACCTAGGAGAGACATTGGATTTTGTTATCATCCTCTGAAGAGTGTTAATTTTGCTCCAGCAGTCAGTTCCGTTACTCACTGATCATCTGAACTTCGTGCAGCCTGGTTTTATGCTTTGTTGGGGTAGATCTCTAGACTGACCCTTCTGTGGTTTTAGTAGGAAGCCTGAGGTATTTATCAAGCCTCTCTAACTCGACTACATTTAAACTCCAAACTTTGTCTCCTCCACAGCAGGAGCTGAAACCTCTGCCACACTAGGCCCACAAACATGCGTCATTCAGGGATCCACCAAGGAACAGGGTAGTTTATACAGAATTTGGGTCCCACTGCCATGGCTTCCTCCTTTGGGAACTCTCCTTTCCATTTCCATCCTCTCTGACAACCTAAAACTGTGTCATCTGACGCTTCAACCTGGAACTTTCTGCTTAAGTTTTAGCCATCTACATTATAAGGGCACTTTATAGCAAGAAATAGAATATTATTCCATTCTAGGCCAAGTACAGTGGCTCACACCTGACATCTCAGCACTTTGGGAGGCCGAGGTGGGTGGATCAACTGAGGTCAGGAGTTTGAAACCAGCCTGGCCAACATGGTGAAATCCTGTCTCTTCTAAAAAAAATTTTGAAAAAATTAGCCGGGTGTGGTGGTGCATACCTGTAATCCCAGCTACTCAGGAGCTGAGGCAGGAGAATCCCTTGAACCTGGGAGCCAGAGGTTGCAGTGAGCCGAGATGGCGCCACTGCCCTCCAGCCTGGGTGACAGAGTGAGAGTCTGTCTCAAAAAAAAAAAAAAAAAAAAAAGAAATATTCCTTCGTTCTTTTATAGGAGCATAGTACTTCATTTTGTAGATGTACTATTGTGTATCCTACTGATAGATACTTGTGTTGCTTCCAGTCTTGTTTTTACAGCGATCAGATGGTTCTTCTTAATTTCTCTTGCTACAAATGTTGCTGCTGTGTACAACCTGTTAAAGTCCACAGATGGAATAAAAGCTTTGGTTTGCAAAAATGACTCAATCTTTACAAACATTCTGTCATTTGTACCATAATCAATTAGTTTATTGGATCACCGAATTGCCTGACAGAATCCTTCCTGGAACTAGTCTATGGGGTCATTTGGCATAGAGTCAAAGCCTCAGACACGATGAGCCAGAGTTGATTTCCTTTGGCTTCACATAATTAAACTTTCCCAGAGGATTATCAGGTTACAGTGACACACACACAGGCTGTCAGATAATGGACAAAGTCCCAGCAGCGTGTACAACCAGCTGGTGGCTCCCAAATTCAAATTCCCCCAGCGGCATCCGTTCGGTTATTCGTACCCACACCCTCCCTTAGAAGTTTACCCCTCCGCCAGGCGCAGTGACTCACGCCTGTAATCCCAGCACTTTGGGAGGCCAAGGCGGGCGGATCACCTGAGGTTGGGAGTTCGAGACCAGCCTGACCAACATGGAGAAACCCCGTCTCTACTAAAAATACAAAAATTAGCCGGGCATGGTCACGCATGCCTGTAATCCCAGCTACTCGGGAGGCTGAGGCAGGAGAATCGCTTGAACCTGGGAGGCGGAGGTTGCGGTGAGCCGAGATCATGCCATTGCACTCCAGCCTGGGCAACAAGAGCAAAACTCCATCTCAATAAATAAATAAATAAGTTCACCCCACTACGGGCAAGAAGCCACACAGAAAGAAAAATAAAATAGGTATCTCTGGGGTTTTCTGAAGGGAAAGTAAGTGCAGCTCTGTCCCGTCTTTGCAGCTCTAAATAGGAACATGGTGGAGTAGGGCAGGTCGGGCTTGACGATGTCATGACTTGGCCTCTCTCAGTGTCACGCAGCCCCTGCAGGTTATAAGGAGGATTGAGCTGGCCAGGCACAGTGGCTCATACCTGTAATCCCAGCACTTTGGGAGGCCGAGGTGGGCGGATCACCTGAGGTCGGGAGTTCGAGACCAGCCTGGCCAACGTGGAGAAACCCCATGTCTACTAAAAATACAAAATTAGCCCGGCGTGGTGGTGCATGTCTGTTAACCCAGCTGCTCGGGAGGCTGAGGCAGGAGAATTGCTTGAACCCGGGAGGCGGAGGTTGCAGTGAGCTGAGATTTCGCCATTGCATTCCAGCCTGGGTAACAAGAGCGAAACTCCGTCTCAAAAAAAAAAAGAAGGATAGAGCTAACATGCATGAACCACCTAGAACAGCACCCAGAGCATAGTAACAGCTCCTTGCAGATGTTACAGTACCTTGATCTATACAACAGTAAAGGGAAATGCATGCTAGCTGCCCCAGATGCTGCCAGCTTCACAGGCATTTTTCTGCCTGCAAACTAATCCTAAGGAAGAGAGGAGGGCAGGGGGAGAAATTGCACCCAGTCAAATGTAAACGATACAAAATGTGAAATTCCCCTCTCTGAAAATGAAAGGGAAAAAACTCGATTCAATGCCTGCCCCTGAGGTGAACCTGAAATGACAAGGCAGACACTCTCTAGAACTTCACGTTTGGCCACCAGGGTCTTCGGTTGATTTTCCTTTCTTCGTCATATCTGAGTGGCTGAAACGCCAGTGATCTGGGATAGTCCTTTGGCTGCTGATAGACTTATGCAATCCCTTGGCAGGCAGGACAGGCCAGAGGAAGGGCTCCTGTGCCTTTAAGGTCACTGTTAATCATGTAACTTTATTGTGTTCCTGGGCTATAAAGGAAATGTCGTCCTTGATCTGAATGTCTGTTTTATGATGTCCATAAACAGTGAATTGCCAGTGACTGTACCCTGAGTGAGAACATCCTCAGCCAGTTGAATAGTTCAAGGGCAGTTGCAGGGGTCAGGAGAGAGCAAAAGTGGGACAGAAGATGAGTTTGCTTCCCAGGAAGAGAGACAGTGCCACCCCACCCCTCGCTGACAGGGAAGCCTTCCAGCCCTTCCTCCAAAGAGCCTTGGCTCTCAGGGGTTGGAGGTTGGACAAGAGCAGAAATAAAGGCACCCTGCTCCCACCCCCCACAATCTTCCGGACGTCTAGAGTGCTTATCTCTTTGGGGGCAAGTAATGTGAATTATTTTCCCTAATGCAAAAATAAAAAATAAGAGACCCCTTTTACCCTTTTCTGAAAGGATAGCAGAGGTATTTTTCTTTTCTTTTTTTTTTTTGAGATGGAATCTTGCTCTGTCACCAGGCTGGAGTGCAGTGGCACAATCTCAGCTCACTGCAACCTCCGACTCCCTGGTTCAAGTGATTCTCCTGCCTCAGCCTCCCGAGTAGCTGGGATTACAGGCACGTACCACCATGCCCAGCTAATTTTTTTGTATTTTTAGTAGAGACGGAGTTTCACCATGTTGGCCAGGATGGTCTTGAACTTCTGACCTCATGATCCGCCCACCTCAGCCTCCAGAAGTGCTGAGATTACAGGCGTGAGCCACCATGCCCGTCCAGCAGAGGTATTTTTTCTAATACTTGAGAAGTGTCTGCTAAGTATGTATTCACCGGAGGGTGCTCAGCACCTCGCCCTGTTGCTCTGGGTTGGGACTAACAAGGTGAAACATGGCTCATTGCATCATATTAATAGCATGCAAATCTAAGCCCAGTGATGCCGTGCAATGGCTACGATCAAGGGCAATAGAATGGATCGTGCATGAGCTCCCAGGCCACACACACACGCCCTTGTGATGTATTATTCCCTCTACTCTTGCAGGTCGGTGCTTGGGATGCTAGTGCCCAAGCTGATGTTCCTAGGTCACCTCCCTCAATGCATGGGTCTAGGGGCCAGCATGTTCTATTGCTAGGGCCATGTGTGCATTCGTTTGCCTAGGGGAGAAAAGTACACATTCCCATCAGCTCAGGTGCGTGGAGGACGGAAGAACTGCTGTTGCTGCTAGTATTCTCTTCAGCACAAGATAAAAAGGAGATAGGCAAATCAGCTGGCTGGCCAATCAAATTAACTTATTGTTACACTAATTTTTAGAATCAGAATTATGGGTCAGGCTGTGCTAGCAATCAGTGAAATCAAATTTCATGTCATTCTGCACTGGGTAGACTCAGGATTTGCCTGAAACAAGTAAACAATTCCTGGAAGAAGTGGGCGAGGCAGAGGCTTGAACTATCCACTCAGACCAAGGAGGAGTCAGGCAATGGCTTCTGGGCATCGTGTGGGGTGGGGGCAGCCCCTGCCCTGGACACCCGTGAACACGGAGGCAGCCGTGTGAACACCATGAGGCAGGGTGTCCATCCTGCCACCCACACAGCTGCGTCCTGCCCAGGAATGAGGCTGGCAGCCCATAGGCCCCTCCTTGGTCCCTCTAGAGGTTTGCTTCATTCCAGTACCCTTGGTTCTGTCAAGTGGGCAGGGCCTGGGCCCCTCTGCTGCAAACCCATGGCCCAAAGCGGACCTGATCCGGCAGCATCTAAAAACAGGACCCGGAGAATCTGCTGGACTCCAGGATTGCCCTGGAACAAACCTAAAGTCTCCTATGACATGCAAACAATTCTGCCAGCCCCGGCCAGCATTCCCTGCATGTGCTTATCAAGTGAGGAGGCCAGCAGGACTTAGCACCCAGGTGAGCACACTTCATTGAGTCCAGGTGTGTGCAGATGAGAAGCAGCCAGGAGTTGAGGCTGAAGAGGAGCCTACCTAAACCTGTCATTACAACTGATTGATCCTTGGTGTAGTCAAATCTTCTGCCTTTATGAAAGTCATGGTATCTAGAGGTAAATCCCCATCAGCTTGGAGCAGCACCATGAAATCCACTCTAGCATGCAGACTCGGGGGCACTTTTAGATATTCTATTGGTTGTTCTTGGGGGACAGCTTCCTTTGGAGAACATGTGAGTTGTCTGTGAATATCAGCTTGCTCTCCCTAGGTTTCCATCACATGGATCAGCGAGAGTTAATGCTGACTCCCCCTCCCTCGGGGGCTTATTTGCAATCTCCCGATTTGCTCAAAAACTTCCAGGTCCAGAGGGACCCTAAAGACCCTGTCATGTCCCCCTGTGAATTACCAGCATCCCAGGCCATTGCTGGGTTTTCTTAAAACTATTAAGACACTATCAACGTGAAATGACTTGAATAGGCTTTAATTTTTAAAATTCATTATACGTCCTGCAGCATTTAGGAAAAAGAGGGAGGTGTCACACATAATATCAAATTTGGCTGACACAAGGTGATTTTGCCACGAAGGTTGGGAAGGATGAACATTTGCAATTGAAAACTGTTTGTTGCCCCCAGAATCCAGCGGTTTCAGGCTCTCTGAGGATTCCAGAGGTGCTAGAGGGGGTAAGGCCACATTCAGGTGGTGCAGGTGGGATTCACCCCTTCACAGCCTGGAGGTGGTGCCCGGAGCGCACCCTGTCACCCCAAGGATGATGACACCCCAGGGAAGGTGGTGGAAGCAGGAAGGGGAGGTCAGAGGAAAACTGGGGCCCTCAGTGGGCATCCGTGATGCGGAAACACTAATAATGCCAACAGCAATAGCAGAGGCAGGCAGGGCTTACGTGGCCAGGGCTGGGCTGGTGCTGTCCTGAGCACTTGACATGCATGAAATCACAGTTGTTTTAAGTTCTGAACTCCCCTGGGAGGAAACTGTGGCCACAGCAGGAATTCCAATGATTCTAGGGTCAGGAGAGGAGGCACCCACTTCCTGATCAGGGCTCTGTTTGTGGATGCGTGGGTGTGGTTGGCCTTTGTGCACACTGGTGGTTTTGCTTCTTTCCCCCAGCAAAAGAATGCAGATTTTGCATTATCTAAAGAGGCGGTTCCGTGAGCCCACTGTGCTGAGTCACATATATTCCATCGGTGTAAGTACCACCACCTGGGCAGTGCCCCTGGAGTGTTCTCACTGGGAGCGCAGCTTTGTGTCTGTACCCTTCCTGAGAATAGCTGACATGCTGGCCTGGGTGGCGCATTGGCCGAGGTGTGGCTATGACAGACCAGGATACCAGCATCTGCCCCAGCACTGAACTGAGCACACCACAGAAGGTGTGGACAGAGTGGCATGAAACATGACAGCTGCTTGTGCTCGAAATTAGATGTAGCCACACAAATCCTGTCGTGCTCAAAGGGTTCCATCTCCAAAGTCCAAAGGAAAACTCTTCCTTAACTGTTATTCCATTCTGTCTATACATTTCTTATTTTGAAGCAAGGATAGGTTCACACGCTGCTGTAATGATGCATGCAGAGAAAGCCCACTCATGGCCCGGTTTCTCCCAGTGGTGACATCTTGCAAAACTCTAGCACAATGTCACAGCCTGGCATTGACCGTGACACGGTCCAGATCCGGAACATGGCGTCCCCCACAAGGATCCCACCTGCCGCTCTTTAATAGCCACGCTGCTTCCCTTCCATTCCCCACTGGATCCCTGTCCCCTGGCAACCAAGAGGTCTCTCTCTTTTTTGTTTTTGTTTTTGTTTTTTTTTTGAGACAGAGTTTCGCTCTTGTTGCCCAGGCTGGAGTGCAATGGCACAATCTCGGCTCACCCCACAACCTCCGCCTCCAGGGTTCAAGCGATTCTCCTGCCTCAGTCTCCTGAGTAGGTGTGATTACAGGCATGCACCATCATGCCTGGCTAATTTTGTATTTTCAGTACAGACGGGGTTTCTCCATGTTGGTCAGGCTGGTCTCGAACTCCTGACCTCTGGTGATCCACCCACCTCAGCCTCCCATAGTGCTGGGATTACAGGCATGATCCACCATGCCCGGCCTCTGGTCTCTATTTGTATGATGTTGTCAATTCTGTAACGTTCTACACATGTAATCATGCAGTAGGTGACTTTGGGATTGGCGCCTTCCACCCAGCACAACCCCCTGGCATCCATCCGGGTTGTCGCCTATATCCGTGGTTCATTCCCTTCTTTCTGAGTCATACTCCGCGGTATGGATGGACCACGGTTGGTTCAACCATTCTCCCTTGAAAGGCATCTGCATCGTTTGCATTTGGGACTACTACAAATACATCCGCCAGGAACATGTGGACAGGCCTTTGTGTGAACATCAGTTCTCCGCGTACATCATCTCTCTGCCCTGGTGCTTGCATCTTTAGTTGGTTTTTTCTGTCTTTTGAAGAACCTACCAGACTGTTTTCAGAATGACTGTACCATTTTTCATTCCCACCAGCCACGAGTGAGTGAGCCGTGTTTCCACGGGGGTTGGCATTATTTTGTATCCCAGCCATTTTGATAGGTGTGCAGTGGTGTCTCACTGTGGTTGTAACTGGCATTTCCTAATGGCCGAGTGGCTCTCAGCATCTCTTCATGGGCTTCTTTCCATCTGTGACTTTCTCCAGTACCCATCTGCTCATCTCTTGCCCGCTTTCAAGTTGGCTGGTTTTGTTTTCTACCATTGAGTTTTGACCATTCTTTATACATGCTATCTGCAAGTCTTTGTCAGATACGTGTCTTGCAAATATTTTCTGCCACACCGTAGCTTGTCTTGTCATCCTCTTACCAGGATCTTTCTCTGAGCGAAAATTTTCATTTTGATGAAGTCCAGTCTATCCATTTTTCTTTTTCTGGTTTGTGTTTTTGCTGTCAAGTCTAAGAACTCCCCACCTTACCGAAGACCCTGAAGATTTCTCCTATCTTCTCTCTGTGTTTTATAGTTTCATGTTTTACATCTGTGGTCCACTTTGCATTGATTTTTATATAAACTGAATTCTAGGTCAAGGCTCTTTTTCTTGTTGGCCTGCGGATATCTAATTTTTCCAACACTACTGAAACACTATTTCCAACACTATTACTGAATGCCACCACGCCTGGCCATATATATATATATATATATATATATATATATTTTTTTTTTTTTTTTTGTAGAGATGGAGATCTCTCTTTGTTCCCCGGCTGGTCTCAAACTCCTGGGCTCAAGCAATCCTCCAACCTCGACCTCCCAAAGTGCTGGGATTACAGGCATGCGCCACTGTGTGTGGCTGGTATTTTATTTATAATTTCAGTGTCTACATGGTCATTGCTAAGCTTTCTTTTCTCTGTTGAATTGCTTTTACATCTGGGTCAAAAATCAGTTGGGCGTATTTGTATGGACATGGTCATAGGCCCTCTGTTTCTTTCCATTGCTCTACCTGTCTGTCTTTCTGCCAGTACCTCACAGTCTTGATTACCGAAATTATGTCATAAGTCTCAAAAATAAGATAGGCTGATTCCTCTCATTTTGTCTGTTGTTTTTCAAAATTGTTTTTATTCTTGTGAATCCTTTCCCTATCTAAATGTTAGAATAATCTCTATTTCTACAAAAAAAAAAAAAAAAAAAAAAAGTCTTGCTAGGCTTTCAATGGGAATTGTGTAAAACTTGTTTACCTATGTGGGGAGAATTTACTATGTTGAGTCTTCCAACCCATTAACATGGTCAGTCTTGCCATTTGTTTATATCTTCTTTGATTTCTTTCATGAATGTTTTGTAGTTTTCAACATACAACTTCTGCATATGTTTTGTCAGTTTGACACCTAGGGGCATTTTTGAGTGACTGTAAATGGTACTGGTGTTTGTTTGTTTGTTTTTGAGACAGGGTCTTTGTCCCTGAGGCTGGAGTGCAGTGGCATGATCGTGGCTCACTACAGCCTCAACCTCCCAAGCTCAAGCAATCCTCCCACCTCAGCCTCCTGAGTAGCTGGAACCACAGGCACATGCCACCACGCCTGGCTATTTTTTTTTTTTTTTTTTTTTTTTGTAGAGATGGAGATCTCTCTTTGTTCCCCAGGCTGGTCTCAAACTCCTGGGCTCAAGCAACCCTCCAACCTCGACCTCCCAAAGTGCTGGGATTACAGGCATGTGCCACTATGTGTGGCTGGTATTTTATTTATAATTTCAGTGTCTACATGATCATTGCTAGTATATACAATTGTAGTAAATACAATTGAATTTTGTATGCTTTCCACCCTGCAAACTTGCTAAACTCGCTTCTTAGTTCTAGGAGGGTTGTGTTTTTTTGTTGTTGTTGTTTGTAGATTCATTGGGGTTTTCTATGTAGACAACATGTCATTGGCAAACAAGGACAGTTTTCTTTCTTCCTTTCTAATCTGTTTGCCTTTTATTTCCTTCTCTTGCCTATTGCACTGGCTAGGACTCCCAGCACTATGTTAATTAGCAGCAGTGAGAGCAGACAGCTTTGCCTTGTGACAGTCTTAGACACCAAGCACTGAGTTTTTCACCATTAAGTACAGTTGGCTCTTCTGTATCTGTGTGTTCCATATCCATATATCCAACCAACCGCTGATCAGAAATGTTTTAAAAACAAGAAAAACAATACAAATTAGTAAACAGTACAGTATAGCAACTCTTTACATAACATTTACATTGTATTAGGTATTCTAAGTAATCTAGAGATGATGTAGCGTGTACGGGAGGATGTGCATAGGTTATATGCAAATACTATACCATCTTATATAAGGAATTTGAGCATCCTTGGATTTTGGCATCCTTGTGGGGAGTCCTGGAACCAATCCCTCAGAGACACCAAGGAACAACTGTATAATATTGGCTGTAAGGTTATGGTTGATGCTTTTAATCAACTTGAAGAAGTTCTCCTCCATTCCTAATTTTATGAGAGTTTTCTCATGAACATGTGTTGAATTTTGTCAGATGTTTTTTATGAATTAGTTAATATGATCATGTAATTTTTCTTCTTTAGCCTGTTGATTGGAGACTACATTGATTGGTTCCCAAATATTGAGCCAACCTTATATCCCCAGAATAAACCCCACTAAATCTTGATATGCAATTATTTTTATCTATTACTGAATTCTACTTGCTATTTCATTAGTGATTTTTGTATCTATATTCATGAGGGATGTTGGCATGTAGTTTTCTTTTTGTTGTTTTTCCTTGTCTGCATTTGGTATCAGGGTAATACCAACTTCATAAAATGAATGGGGCCCAGGTGCAGTGGCTCACACCTGTAATCCCAGCACTTTGGGAGGCCAAGGCAGGCAGATCACTTGAGGCCAGGAGTTCAAGACCAGCCTGGCTAACATGCTAAAACCCCGGCTCTACTAAAAATACAAAAAATTAGCCTGGCTTAGTGGCGGGCACCTATAATCCCAGCTACTCAGGAGGCTGAGGCAGAGAATCACTTGAGCCCAGGAGGCGGAGGCTGCAGAGAGCTGGGATCATACCACTGCACTCCAGCTTGGGGGACAGAGTGAGACTCAGTCTCAAAAAAAAAAAAAAAAAAGAATGGTAGTGTTCCCTCCTCTTCTGTTTTCTTGAAGATATTGTTAGAATCATGTTGACTTTTTAAACATTTGGTAGAATTCTCTATAAATGTTTAGAACCATCTTGGCCTGGACATTTCGTTTTGGGGAGTTTTTAAATTACAAATTGACTTTTGCTATAGGTTGTTTAAATTACCTGTTTGATATTGAATGAGTTGTAGTACCTCATGCTTCTCTAGGAGTTGGTCCATTTTATTGAAGATGTCAGAGTTATGTGTGTAGAGGCATTTGTAGTGTTCCCGTATTATCCTTTTGATGTCTGCAGGGTCTGTAGTGATGTTCCCTCTTTCATTCCTGATATTGACAGTCTGTGTCTTCCCTCTAATTGTTTCTTTGTCAGTCTTGCTAGAAGTTTGACAATTTCTTATTTTCAAATACCTAGCTCTGTTTTGTTGATTTTCTGCATTGTTTTTCTGTTTTCTGTTACCGGGATTTCTATTCCCCTATCTTTGTGATTTCCCTCCTTCCTTCCTTTGCTATCATTGTGGGTTTACTTTGCTCTTCTTTTCCTGGGTGCTCATGGTGGGATCTTGGCTTATTGAGTTGAGATTTTTCCTCTCTTCAAATGAAAGCCCATAGTGCTATAAATTTCCCTCTCAGCATTGCTTTAGTCATGTCCCACAGCTAAGTTTTGTGTTGTATTTTCATTTTTATTGAGTTCAATGTCTTTTTAATTTTCCCTTGAGACTTCCTCTTTGACCCTTAAGTTATTTAGAAGTGTGTTGTTAAGTTTCCACGTGTTTGGAGATTTGTCTGCTATCTTTCTGTTATTGATTTCTACTTTGATCCTCGTGTGGTCAGAGGACATGCTCTGTATAGCCTCAGTTCCTTTAGATTGGGTGAGATTTCCTGTATAGCCCAGGATATGGTCAATCTTGGTACATGCTCTGTAGGTGCCTGAAATGAACATAGCACTCTGCTGCTGTTGGGTGAAGTGGTCTGTAAATATTCATCATTTGATGGACTTCTAAATTTATCTCAAGACTCTGAGATCATTTACTCTCAAAGGTTATGTGATACGCTACCTTTTCCAGACAATTCCTAAGTGATCTAAACCCCTGCTGAGTTCACCAAGTGGCCTGTAAAACCCTATGATGATTCTTGTTGATGGGAGCCATCTTCCCCCACTAGTAGGTGTGGGCCTTTCTTAAGGTGAGGGCCTTGAGCTCGCACCAGTTCAACCTATGGCTGTATGAAAATTTTCTGGCTGACATTTTTACGCTTGTACCTTCAAGAAATATAACAAAACATCATTTTTCTTCTTCTTATCAAGTCATAGAATGCTAAAGGCAGCGGGAATCTAGGGTGATCTGGTCTACCCTCTCGTTTGACAGGTGAAGCAATGAGGTGTTGCGAAGTTAAACTGATTAGTTTTTTTTAATTTTTTAAATGAAATTAATATACGTTAATTATAGAAAATGCATAAGAAAAAGGGGAAATGCATAAGATAGAGGGAAGCAAACATTTTTAAATAAAATTTATATAAAACTTATAACCAAAGATGACTACTATTTTTATTTTGGAGTATACTCTCCCAATATGTTTTCAAAAGCAGGATCACTCTCTATGACTGCTTTAAAATCTTTTTTTTGTACTTTAACAACAGACATGAACATTTTTCAAAATATTATTTCTAATAGCAAAATATCATTCCAGATATATGTCTGATGATACAGTTTTCTCATCATTTATTTAATGAGTCTCCATTGGGTGGGCGTGCAGGTTGTGACAGTTTTCTCTGTGTTAAATAACACTGTGATGAATATCTTTTGTGTACATGCATGATGATTTCCTAGAAATGGGACCCTGGGTCAGTGCTTGTGAACATTTTTAGCTTCTGAGCCCCATTGCCAAGTTGGATTCTTGAAATTTTTTGTTTGTTTGGGCAGCTTTGGTTTTGTTTTTTTGTTTTCTTTTGAGATGGAGTTTCGCTCTTGTTCCCCAGGCTGGAGTGCAATGGCACGATCTCAGCTCACCGCAACCTCTGCCTCCCAGGTTCAAGTGATTCTCCTGCCTCAGCCTCCCGAGTACCTGGGATTACAGGCATGCACCACCATGCCTGGCTAATTTTGTATTTTTTAGTAGAGACGGGGTTTCTCCATGTTGGTCAGGCTGGTCTCGAACTCCCGACCTCAGGTGATCTGCCTGCCTCGGCCTCCCAAAGTGCTGGGATTACAGGCGTGAGCCACTGCGCCCAGCGCAGCTTTGGTTTTATTTGTTTTGTTTATAGTGGAGGGTTAGACATGAAATCAACATAGAAGATGACGTAAACTTATGACTAAGCCTGGTGTGGGCTCTCGGTGTTCTGGGGCATGAGCTAGAGGATGGCTGGAGCCAGGTAGAGACCGCTCCCTTCCTTAGAATGTCACCTTGCTGACAAGGACAGCGCTGTGAGCATCCACACCTTCCTGTGAGGTATCTGGCATTGAGCCTGGTCAGGAAACAGGAAGACAAGCAGGTTCCATTGAGCCTGGGACCTGGACCTTGTAAAGCCAGCCACCCAGCCCAGTTTTACAGGCCAGGCAACAAAGGGAGCAACCGGCTGGACCCAGGCCTGCCTCCCCCGTGCAGACCCGCCGTGAGAACACCGTGTTCTGAATTGAGACGTGCCTTGCACTCACTTTGTCCCAGTAATTGCCCCCATAAAATAGACCTGGACACTAAGAGGAAACTTCCCATATTTGGAAACCCAGTCCTGCCTGCTTTTTATAGCTGGTGTCGAGGACAAGAGAACCACAAGCCGTGGCCAGTCTGCTGAGAGACCACTGAGGGACAGACGGGTTGTGGGCCTGGAGCAGCCCCGGAGGGAAGGAGCATTTGAAAGTGGACAGGTAGAGCCCAGGCCCAGAGAGCCCCAGGGCTGCTACCAGGAAGGCCAGCGCATCCCTCCAGGTAACGGGCAGCTCCTCGGCCACAGCCTCCACCCCCCAACACGTGGGATTCGGGCTGCAATGGCCTACACATCTTTTCCTCTTGTCCGTGTTCCATCTGTCTTTCTTCTTTGGTTTGTAGAGAGAGAAGAATTAATCCAGAGCGTGCTGGCGCAGGTTGCAGAGCAGTTCTCAAGGTACAGAGTCTTCTAAACTTACAACCAGCCAGAGATGGGCACATCTTTCTCTAAGAGCGAGGGCAGGCCCCAGGCTCTGAGGCTGGCCTTGGCCGGCAAGCGTGGCTGTCTCACCTGCCTGGAGGAGCTGCCCGCACGGTGGAAGCCTTCTGTGGCTTCTGTAACTAAGCCAGCTTGGATGGGGCCCAGGAAACGCTCACCTTAGACCAAAGACCATGTTGAGTGGGTGCATTAGAATGTGAGCTCGTGAGGTCGAGAATGTTCTCCACCGGCTCTTCTGGGATGGGAGAACAAGCTATAAGAATTGGCTCCACTGGAAAATAAGCTTCCTCGCTGAGCTTCTGTGTAGTTAGGAGACTTCCTTTTCATCGGAGTCATCCCAACAATCCTGACCTGGATACCGTATTTTCCATTTCTCAAACTGACTTCTCTGTGGCGTCTTACTGCCCAGGTTAATTAAAATAGTGAAAAGCACAGACGGGTGGGATTTTTTAAAAACCTTTGAATTGGCCGGGTGCGGTGGCTCACGCCTGTAATCCCAGCACTTTGGGAGGCGGAGGCGGGCAGATCACCTGAGGTCGGGAGTTCAAGACCAGCCTGACCAACATGGAGAAACCCCGTCTCTACGAAAAATACAAAATTAGCCGGGCGTGGTGGCACATGCCTGTAATCCCAGCTACCCGGGAGGCTGAGGCAGGAGAATCACTTGAACCCGGGAGGTGGAGGTTGCCGTGAGCCGAGATCACGCCACTGCACTCCAGCCTGGGCAAGAGTGACACTCTGTCTCAAAAAACAAAACAAAACAAAAAAACCTTTGAATTGTTTAACTGACTGGGTTGGAGCCTCCAGAGAGCACAACAGGTCCTCCGAAGGTGTCTGTGCCCATCAGGGGAAGGTGCGGGGACTGGACCATCTCAACTGCATGAGCAGAGAGAGGGCCATGTGTCCACCCCAGAGAGCTTGGGTCCACTGCTCAGGCCCGAAGAAGTAAATATGCCCAACCAGCCCAGAAAATACACCTCATGATACTTTGGTGATTCTTTCCTCCCCATGGGACATGATGATTTCTGAAAAGCAAGTCCTAGCATGTTGGCACCTCAGACCCTCACCAGCCCACCTAGAGGCCTTGCCCATGCCCACAGCAGGGACTCAGTAGGTGTTTGCTTAACCGGTTTTGGCTCTGAGAATTTTAAGGGTCATATTTACTCTCTCTTTTCTTTTTCATTCCTAGAGCATTCAAAATCAATGAACTGAAAGCTGAAGTTGCAAATCACTTGGCTGTCCTAGAGAAACGCGTGGAATGTGAGTGACGTTTCTGTTTCCTTTTTGCTTCTCTGTCCTTTAACCTCTATTCAAATTAACCACTTGGAACGGGGAGGAGTTCAGTGCCGAAGGTAAATACAAATAAATGTCTTTTCTTTGTGAAATACTTGAAAATTACCTTTGATGTTAACAAAGGCTAGCACAGTGACTAACTAAGCATTTTATTTCTATTTTAAAAGAAGCACAGCTCATGGTATAAAGCATTCTTTCAGCCCCAAAGAATAAAAATGAACACACGAAGCCTTCCGCACTTAGCCCCTCTGAGAACCTCTGCTGAGTGTCTTGTCTGTGTCTTTTTGTGTGTAAATGAAGACATTCTCTGCACACTGATCGGCACCCTGTGGGTCATAATTTTTTGGAATATGTCTACTAAGTTGTTATCTCTTGGTTTCTGATACAGTCTGGATGTCCCCTCCACATCTCACGTTGAAATGTCATTCGCAATGTTGGAGGTGGGGCTGGTGGGAGGTGTTTGGGTCACCAGGCAGATGCCTCCTAAATGGCTTGGTGCTCTCCTTGAGATAGTGAGTTCTCGCAAGATCTGGTTGTTTAAAAGCACGTGGCATCTCTCTACCCTCCTGCTTCTCCGTTGCCTTCCACCATGATTGGAGGCTTCTCGAGGCCTCCCCAAGAGCCAAGCAGATGCCGGCACCAGGCTTCCTGTAAAGCCCACAGAACTGGGAGCCAATCAAACCTCTTTTGCTTATAAATTGCCCAGCCTCAGGTATCTCTTTATAGCAACAGAAGAACAGCCTACTACAGCCTCCAATCACCACCAAAGGAAAAGCAGAAAAAGGACTAGGGAGCCAAGGAGTGTCGATTCAAGTCCTGATTCAATGATCACAAAGCTCAAATTCTGGGAAGAAAACAGCTTCAAGTCACCCACCCTTTTTGTCCTCATCCATAATATCAAGATCAATGCTTGAATTCCATAGGCCTCACAATTCTGTGTTCCACTCACAGCTTGACAAGTGAACTCTTTGTCAATGACAAGGCAAAGGTTAATGATTAACAGGCACTGTATTTACCAACTTAGGAACTAAATAAACAGAATCCAGACAGGATACCATTAAGAGTTGCAGCATCACCAAAAATATCTGGCTGATTGACTGAATGTCGTCGCTTTTCTTTTTCTTTTTTTGAGAGACAGAGTCTTGCTCTGTTGTCCAGGCTGGAGTGCAATAGCACAATCTTGGCTCAATGCAACCTTCGCCTCCTGGGTTCAAGTGATTCTCCTGAAACATGATTTACATAGTCAGATTTATACTTTTCAAAGTGTGTTGACATTTCTAAAAATGTATGTGGTCACTGGATCTTCAAGACAGTTTCATTTTCCCCATTGTCAACGAGGAAGCCACAGAGAGGTTAGGTAACCTCAAGTTCACTCAGCAAATTAGAAAAATAAATAAAGCTGGGACTGGCACCCAGGGTCCTGGCCGGGCTGCTGTCACGGCCTGCTACCTGCCCTTCTGGAACGAGTCACTTCCCTGCACACCTGGCTGAAGAGGACCAGGCACTCCATGAGGATTCCTTGATAACGCAGGTTAGAAAGCTAAAGCTGCAAGCAACAGAAACTGATCGTGGCTGCTTTCAACAGAAAAGGAGTTTTTCCCTAAAGGATTTTGGGAAGCTTCCCCAGATCCCCAGGAAGGCTTGGGAACAGGGCTCAGAGGTTGTGCAGCAGCAACAATTCCCCAAATCCCGTGCAGAGCTGATGCTGTGCGGATGCCTGTGCTGCCGTCTCTGAGCCCCAGATGCGGCACCAGCTCCCCTGTACTCCTCACTCTGGACCTAGGTCCCCCGGAGGCTCCACAACCACTTATGCAGATATCAGGCTGCTTCTCCATGTCACTGGCTACAGGTTCAAAATCTAGACAGAGCCAGGCCGCGCACCCAAGGTCTAGCTGCAAGGCAGGCCCCACGAAGGGAGGCTGTGAGTATCCTGAAGCTGCCTCACAAAGCACCACAGACTGGGAGGCTTAAGCATCAAAAACTGACTCTTTCACAGCTCTGCAGGCCAGAAGTCAGAAATCAAGGCATGAGCATGACTGGCTATTTCTGGAGGCTCTGAGGGGCCCTGGTTCCATGCCTGTCTCCTAGAACCTTGTGGTTCCCAGCAATCCTTACCGTTCCTGAGCTTGGAAGGCTACATTGCTATAATCTCTGCCTGTGTCTACACGTGATGACATTCTCCCAGGATGTCTCCATGTCAACAGTCTCTCTCAGCTAGGTCTTATAAAGATGCCTCTCTTTGAATTTAGGGCCCAACCTAAATCCAGGATGGGCCCATCTCCAGATCCCTAATGGATTATATCTGCCAAGGACCTTTTTCTACATAAGGTCCCATTCACAAGTTCCAGGGAGTAGGTTGTGAACAGATCTTTCTGGAGGACACAATTCAACCCACCACAGCGAGTGTTTGCATTTCCATATTCTGCACTGGGAGGCTGGCTCAGCTCTCCACCAAGCCCCATGTCGCAGGGAATTCTCCAAACTTGGGTAGGGGTTTGAGCCAAAGCATGCAAAAAAGGCTTGCTGCAGAGTCCCCACCCCTCTTTACGGACACAAAAAGCCACGCAGTCACTACGGGGCGAGTGTGCAGATGCCCGCGGGCAGCAGGTGCCTCCCACCTCTCCTCCTCTCTCCAGCACCTGGGTTTTTCCTCAGCCTTCCCCATCTCCTACGCCCCACCTGGAAGCCAGTGCCAGCTCCCCCCATGCTCTTCCCGGAAAGTGCAAACAGGCAAGTTGAAGAGGCCATGTCGTAACTCTCAAAACTCTTACAGAGAATTATGTCGCCCACAACAAGATGAATAGTAACCCTGTGTGTCTTTGAATAACTGACCCTGGAAAATAACCATCAAGCCAGAAGAAAAGTGTTCCTATTTTACCTGCAAGTGGCAGGTGAGTCGAAGACCACTGAAGGAAATGGCCCATAGGACCTTCCCCCCTAGCCTGTTCTGGCTGCGGAATTCTCCAAAATTTCTCACTTCTCAGAGGGAAGCATCTTCCCATAAAACCCTCAGTAAATGCACATAGATGGCCTGGAAAAGGACACCGCTCTTGACCCACCGAGCTCAGGCTCACTGCACTGACCAAAATTCCTGGCGCTTCTATGGGTAAAACCGGTTGTGACTAGTTGTACTGATTTCTAGCACCAGAGACCTAGGACTGCAGAAATGGGATTGAGGGAGCTCACCTCTCTAAGGAGTAGAGAAGGAGGAACAGTCTAGGAGTTGTGGAGGGTAAGGGAGGGGCTTGGGTGAGGTCAGGGGGGACTCTCCTCAGTCCTCCTGGCTGCCCTCCTCCCCTGGCATGCAACTCACACCCCCACCCCAGGAGGCAGCCATGTCCAGACAGGCTGTCCTCCTCCTGAACTCCACCTGGCTTTGGGCTCATCCTCCCCGGGCACTTCTGGCTGATGGCTCCCCACTCTCCAGCGGATGTGCTTTAGCGGGAGGTGGCCAGGATGCTGCACCTGTGCTGAGCCCCAGAGATTCTGAGTTCCAGAGACACTACAAGGGCAGCAGAGCCTTAACCCAAAGATGCAAGAGCCCAGACATTTTAGGAAGCTTGGAGGGCAGAAACGGAAAGTCCTTTTGAGGAGAGGGCCTGCAGCTGAACCTCTCACGCAGGCCACTGGGTAGGTGCGCGCCCAGCTTCTCAGAAGGTCAGTCCCAACCCTGCACGGCTGCCAGAAGCTAGCCAGATGGGGAAGGCGGCCAGGAGCCTGGTCCGACACCCCGATGCACAGGGCCTGGGCCAGAGGCAGATGCTCCCATCTACATATGCACACACACATATAAACACAAACAGAGAAAGGTGCACATGCACTCACATATACACATGTGAAATCACACAGGCATGTCAGGATGTCACATATACATGCACACGTGTAAGCACCCAGGCACGTGCAGATACATTCATATATATGATCACATACCCACACATGCGCACACACAGCTGCTTCTGCTATACATGAGCTGCTGTGAGCTGTTTTGTTTTGTCTTGTCTTGTTTTTGTTGTTGTTTGAGACGGAGTTTTGCTCTTTGGCCCAGGCTAGAGAGAAGTGGCGTGATCTTGGCTCACTGCAACCTCTGCCCCCCGAAGACAGGACACTTCTGTCTCAGCCTCCCAAGTAGCTGGGATTATAGCTGCCCGCCACCATGTCCGGCTAATTTTTGTATTTTTAGTAGAGATGGGGTTCCGCCATGTTGGCCAGGCTGGTCTCGAACTCCTGACCTCAGGTGATCGACCCGCCTCGGCCTCCCAAAGTGCTGAGATTACAGGCGTGAGCCATTGTGCCCGGCCAAGCTGTTTTCTGCCTCTTGAGTTAAAGGATTCATCCACTAGAACTGGCCACCTTAAGGCCATATTATATTGTGGTGGACTTGTCTTAAATGGAATTTCCTGCTTCTTCTTAAATGTATAATTCCTCTGAATTGAATATAAATTTCTTCATTTCTCCTCATTGACTTTCAAAGCTCTTCTTCCTTTTGATATACAAAGTTTAGCCTTGTTCGAGAGATCTGGGATTTCCCTTACGTTACGGATTATTTTGTAAACAGAACACCCAGGCTCCTCCCCTCATGTCCTGGCTGGAGGTGAAACATTAAAAAGAGATTTTAAAGCAGGGCCCTTTACTCCCTTCCTTCCTGGTTTGTGGCCAGGGCACAGGGCAGCTCTGCTCCATCCACCCTTTGTCCCTGTGCTCTGGGCTTGGACCAAAACCTAAACACAGCGTGGGCCGTGGCAGGAGCTGACCGGCTGGGGCAAAGTTTAACACAGGCCATACAAACAGCCCAGAGCCTGGATGCTAGAACCAAGCCTTGCTTTTCTCTGTCACTCCGGAAGTGTGCTCTACGCGGGCTCTTTAGTGAGGCTCCTGGAGGAAGTGTTGAAACACAACTCTATTCATACATGTCTTTAAACAGCTTTCACTAGCTCTGTAGCCAAAGGACTGGGCCTGCCAGGTTCCCGGCCTCTTGCTGGAGCACAGTGAGGCTGGGGAAGGAGCACAGCACAGAGCCTCCTGAGCCTCGGCTCAGCTCTCCCCGACCCCCAGCTCGGCTCTCCCCACCCTCCGGCTCGGCTCTCTCTGACCCCCAGCTCAGCTCTTCCCCACCTGCCAGGACGATTTCCCCAAAGCCAGCGTCTGTCAGAAAATCACCCTTAGTTTTTCCTGCAGGTGGCCTGTGACTTGTAGAAGCTCACAAAAATCTCTTTCAAAGCCCTTTTTTGTTGCTGTTTTGTTTTGTTTTGAGACAGAGTCTCACTTTAATGCAGTGGAGTGCAGTGGTGTGATCTTGGCCCACTGCAACCTCCACCTCCCGGGTTCAAGTGATTCTCCCGCCTCAGCCCCCAGAGTAGCTGGAATTACAGGCAGCCTGTGACCACGCCTGGCTAATTTTTGTATTTTTAGTGGAGACGGGGTTTCATTATGTTGGCTGGACAAGCTGGTCTCAAACTCCTGACCTCAGGTGATCCACCTGCCTTGGCCTCCCAAAGTGCTGGGATTATAGGCATGAGCCACTGCGCCCGGCCTACAGTCCTTTTAAGAGGACAGCCCGGGGTTTCCAGATAATACTAGCCCCACACACAGGCATGTCCTAGGGTCCACACCTGGTCAGCGGGAATAACAGGCAGCCGTGGGCTGGGCTCCCAGCCCCCTAGCAGGGTCCAGTGGGCCAGGGAGCCTCTGCTTTGGTTTGTGGTGCGTGGTCTGTGCCCGCCTGTGTTCAGCGTTTGAAGGCAGAGGAGCGGGCCATGATGGGCAGAGCCGACGTCCAGGCTCCACGGTAGGGCCGTCCTGCTGCTGTCTGCAGACCTCTCAGGCTTGAGGCCCCCCGCCCCACAGGACTGGCCCGCTCCTCCCTCTGGATTGAGGTGGAGCAGGGCTGGCAGTGGGTCGAAGAGGGGAGCTGTGGAATCTTCCCCAAAGCAGCCGGGTGTCCTGGAAAGGCCAGGGAGTGAGGAGGCAGGACCCCCGGGGACACAGGCACACACATCCACCACATGCTCACCTCTGCCTCCTCCTGCAGACCTCCCCGCCAGCCCCGTCATTTCATGGCATCTTGCTTTCTCTTCATTGAGGAATGCACTTTTGCAATGTTGTTACTCACTATCCATCTACTTGGCCAACAGCCTCTTCATAAACTTAATTGCCACAAATTCTGCATCTCTGGGATGCAAACTAGTGAAGCTGTGCTGTGTCACCCAGGAGGCTTAATTTTAACATCACCTCAATAGGTAGCCAGGGAAGCGGATCTCGGTGGACTCTGCACTGTCAATACAAACGCTATGCACCCATCAAAAACCATGAGCTGGCTTAAAACAGAGCCTTGTATGGACATGGGAAAAAAATTATAGGTTTGTTGCAAACTCATTTAGCAGCAAAAATGTGATCTGAACTGACATGAAGCCCTTGGTATTTATTTATCCTGCTCAGTATGATAAATAGCATTTTCCTCGGGGGATAAAAAGAAAAACGTGAGCTGCGACAGCAGCCACTAACATGGGGAAGGGCCGTGACCTCCTGATGAGTGAAAATAGCAAGTTAGAAAACAACAAATTTTATCTTTTAAAATTAATAATAGATATATAGATACATAGACACACACAGGATGGATAGAAGCTAGATAGATACATACATACATAGATACATACATAGATAGATACTATATAGATATGTAAATAGAAAGATAGGTAGAGGCTGGGTGCAGTGGCTCATGCCTAAAGTGGTTCCCCAGCACTTTGGGAGGTGAAGGCAGGAGGATTGCTTTAGCCCAGGAGTTCAAGACCATCCTGGGCAACATGGCAAAACCCCATCTCTACAAAAAATACAAAAATTAGCCAGGTGTGGCGGTGCACCCCTTTAGACCCTGTTATTCAGGAGGCTGAAGTGGCAGGATCACTTGAACCTAGGAGGTAAAGGTTGCAGTGAGCTGTGATTGTTCCACTGCACTCCAGCCTGGGTGACAGGGCAAGCCCCTGTCTCAAAAAAAAAAAAAGAAAAGAAAAGAAAGATAGGTAGATACATAGAATGGGTGGATAGAGAGATAGAACGGATAGAAAAATAGGATGGATAAATAGAACATAGGTAGATACATAAATATGATGAATGCATAGATGGATGGGTGGATGGATGGATGGATGGATGGATGGATGGATGGATGGATGAATGGATACATAGATGAATGGATGGATAGATAGTATATAAATGGATGGATGGATAGATACACAGTAGGTAGGTAGGTAGTAGATAGATAGATAGATAGATAGATAGATAGATAGATAGATAGATAAACAGGATAGATAGATAGATAGATAGATAGATAGATAGATAGATAGATAAACAGGATGAATATTTAGAAGGCTGGGAGTGGGCAGAAAGCCTGGAAGGACACACATTAATACAAATAATATTAACTGAGTTGTTTTCTGGGCCCATAGGATCCTAGACAAGTTTTTAAATATTATTCTTTGAAGTGCTATTTCCTACACTTCCTACAATGATAATAGGATATTTTATATTCAGAAAAATGACATTTAAGACATAGTCAATGGTCCATGGACCTTGGACAGAGGGCCCAGCTGCCCTGTTTGCAGTCTACACCGCATGCCCAACCCTTCCCCAGATCTACTCACTTTCAGAATGTGCTGCCTTCCACGTGTGAACCAGACTGAGCTCCTTTCTGCCACTGATGTTGAATTGTCCATTTGCTCACGTCAGTGTCCACGTGGCAAATCCACAGGGCATGGGTGGGATCCTGCAGTCTAGACAAAGCCAAGGAGCACCGCTGGAGGCCACGTTGGGCTTCCCAATCCACATGCAAACCCAAAATGTGTTCTTGGGTACCTTTTCTGAGAAGACAGCCTGTGGCATGCATCAGCTTCCTTGAGGGGCCCATGATGCTGGAGAAAACGGAGACCCGGCTCCAAAGGAGAATGTGGACTCTTAGTGGTTGGACAAAGACGTCCCGACCTCAGACCTCAGGTACCCTGTGTTTCCCCAGCGGCAGCTCATCTGGACTCGGCCATCACGACAGCGACCACACTGGCTCCAGCCACATGCACTTCCGGACCCCATGTCCTCTAGCTGTTGGGTAGAAGAGGGGTGGAGAAGGTTTCTGTAGCACAGAAACACATCAGCAGGACCAGATCCAAATATTGCACTCTCCAGATTCTTCGTCCTTCTGGCAGAAAGAAGCAGTGTCCCGGGAACATGCCCCTACTTGACCCCTGACCCTGGAAACGCCTCGAAACCCACCCGGGAGGCTGATTCCAGCTAGTCTGCCCTGGGCCACTGTACTGGGAGAGTTTCTTTCCGGAGCTGCAGTACTTCCTTTGGGGTGGGAAGGAGTTGTTACAAACTAGCCAAAGGCTCTGAGTTGCTTGGTTTTTCCTTTAGAAAACATTTGCTTTTTATTTTTAGCAGTTATTCAGAGCCAAACTTCATGAAAAGGGGAATAGAGTGGTATCGTGGGAGTATCCTTTTGCATAAAAACTAAGGTGTGATTACAAAGTAACAAAGCTAATCTTTTTTATTTCAATTGGTTTATGAACCAACTCTAATTGAAAAGCCGTGCAAAGCTGCTTGCTTCATGGCAGCTTTTCTGGGGTAAACGTGCAGTCAGCCAAGGGTAAATATCTTGAAGTTTAACGCTCGCTCGGAGGCATAAGCTCCAGTTTGTTTTTGGTTGAAAAATAGTATCCTAACTGTTGAGGTACACCTTTGCAGTGGGACTCTGTAACTGCCCAAGGGGTTCACCCTGCCTGCTACCTAAACAGAGCTCATTCATCAAGACAGGGGAACTGCAATGGAGAAAGAGCCATTCACCCAGTGCCGGCTGTGCGGGAGACCAGAGTTTTATTATTCCTCAAATCAGTCTCCCCGAGCATTCGGGGCGCAGAGTTTTTAAGGATAACTTAGTGGGTGGTGGGAAGCCAGTGAGCCAGGAATGCTGATTGATTGGTCAGGGAGGAAATCATAGGGAGTTGAAGCTGTCTGCTTTTTTTTTTTTTTTTTTTTTTTTTTGAGACAGAGTCTCACTCTGTCCCCCAGGCCAGAGTACAGTGGCGTGATCTCGGCTCACTGCAACCTCCGCCTCCCGGGTTCAAGCTATTCTCCTGCCTCAGCCTCCCGAGTAGCTGGGACTACAGGCACTGGCACACCATGCCCGGCTAATTTTTGTATTTTTAGTAGAGACAGGGTTTCACTATATTGGCCAGGCTGGTCTTGAACTCCTGACCTCGTGATCTGCCCACCTCAGCCTCCCAAAGTGCTGGGATTACAGGCGTGAGCCACTGTGCCTGGCTGCAGCTGTCTTCTTGCACTGAGTCAGTTCCTGACTGGGGCCAGAAGACCAGACGAGCCAGTTTATCTATCTGGGTGGTGCCAGCTGATCCATCAACTGCAGGGTCTCCAAAATATCTCAAGCGCTGATCTTAGGAGCAATTTAGGGAGGGTCAGAATCTCGTAGTCTCCAGCTGCGTGACTCTTAAACTGTAATTTCTAATCCTGTGGCTGTTAGTCTCGTCCCCAGGCAAGAAGCAGGTCTGCTTTGGGAAAGGGCTGTTACAGTCTTTGTCTAAACTATAAACTACAAATGAAGTTTCTCCCAAAGTTAGTTCAGCCAAGGAATGAACACAGACAGCTTGGAGGTTCGAAGCAAGATGGAGCCCGCTAAGTTAGATCTCTTTCACTGTCTCAGTCATAATTTGGCCAAGGCAGTTTCAACTCCAGGAATGTGATCAAGTCCAAGTTCTGCTGATCCTCAACTTTGCCTATTTATTTCTCTTCTGTTTTAAGTCAACACTTTCTCCTGGTGAAACTGCTCTGGAAGGACGTTCCAATGAAAAGCTTTTCCCATAATGAGATCGTAATCCTTGCTGAAAACGCTTTGCCGTTCACTGCATTTTAATGCTCTGGCACCACATGTGCCCCCTTTTCTTTTTGGGATAAAAGACGCCTTTGTCCCATGTCCTCAGCTGGTGCTTAGGGGTATGGAGCAAAAAGTGGGTGCCAGAGTTGAGATTCAGGGAGTGGAGAGTGGGGAGGAGCTTCTGCCTTCTGAAAACTGCCCGGATGGATGCGGTAGTGCAGCGGTGGCCACGGCACATGCCTGCGAGGATAGAGTCAGTTGTGGCTGAGCTAAGCGCGGAAGTGCAGGCAAAACCTGAGTATCGGCAGCCAGGGCAGGTGTGGGGACCTCTGCACTGAGGTATATTCCTCCCTGGGAGCCACAGGGAGCCCTTAGTTACCAGCCTTGAGAGATCCTCCACATTCGTCCGTGGTAACCCCCTTGCTGTCTCTCTCTCTGTCACCAGTGGAAGGACTAAAAGTGGTGGAGATTGAGAAATGCAAGAGTGACATTAAGAAGATGAGGGAGGAGCTGGCGGCCAGAAGCAGCAGGTAGGGTCTGCGCTGGGGCCACGGGCGGCCGGGCCTGGGGAGGGCTCCCCGTACCAGTTGGGCTGGGGCTGTGGGCTTTGTTTGCCTAAAAGAAAGGCTGGTGCAGTTCGGTACAGTTCAGGCTTGGGAGAGTGCAGTCTGGAGGCAGCCACCCTGCTTGCGACCTGCTTGTCAGTGGTGTGACTTTCTTCTAACAAAAGAGCACGCATGGGCCGGGTGTGGTGGCTCACGCCTGTAATCCCAGCACTTTGGGAGGCCGAGGTGGGAGGATCACCTGAGGACAGGAGTTCAATACCGGCTTGGCCAACATGGTGAAACCCCGTCTCTACTAAAAATACAAACGGTAGCCAGGCATGGTGGCACATGCCTGTAACCCCAGCTACTTGGGAAGCTGAGGCGGGAGAATCGCTTGAACCCAGGAGGTGGAGGTTGCAGTGAGCCGAGATCGCGCCACTGCACTCCAGCCTGGGCTCGACAGAGCAAGACTCTGTCTCAAGAAAAAAAGAGCACATATTGGAGATAGGGGCTGGGAAGACGATTTCACAGAAGAAGAGTCCTCCTCCTGCAGATCCAAGCCTTAGGAGCAATGTGTCCAGCTTGGAATAAGTTGATATCCACTTTTAAAGACAGAACAAGAAGAGGAAAAGCATTAGGGGAGGAGCCTCCTGTTGCCCCCAGGGACCCGGTTCCTTGTGTGATGTTCCCACTGGGTTGCATTCCAGCGAGGGCTTCAGCACTGGGGACACAGAAGTCATTCTCCTGGGAACAGGCATCCTTCACAGGCGCTTCGGGGGGCCCAGTGAGCTGTGACTCGTGGGGAAAATGCCCCAGTCTCCACGATGCCACCTCCAAAGTCAGTTTTGTGTACAGCAGGACTCTTTACTGGAGCCAGGGTCAGGACACGTGTGGATGAACCACGACCAAACTGGGGATGGAAATGCCGGTAGTAGCAAAGAGACGGCGGTGATGATGAGCAGAGCGCATGCATTGAGGCACTTACTGTGTGCGGGCGCTGTGCTTAGTGAGGGGCACACAGGACCTGCTCACACCTCCGGGCTTTGCCTCCATGCCCGCTGGTGCCAGCCCAGACACCACAGGCATATGATGTGGCTCATGGTTCCCCAGAGTGCCACTGCCCGGCCTCAGTGGGATTTAATGGGGACTAATGGACTGAGAAACAGCCCTGTGCAATTGCACTGAGTTGTCTCAGAGCCACCTGGCATGCTGACGATCATTCCCTGATTTTGAAATTGAGGGCAATCTGCTTATTGAGGAAGCGTGGCAAGTGAAAGGGTCTCAGAGGCAGAAGGTGAAGGGAAAGCCGACGGGCCTCATCTGGTCCCCTCAAAGCCCCGGGGGCCTGGCCTCGGGGTGGGCGCAGGGAGGAAGGCCGAGCGGAAGGAAGCAGGCCTTGTCTGAGCCACGTGAGAGCCTGTCCTACAGGGACCGTGCCACGTGTCTGTCCCATGCACTCATGGGCTCATTTGGAGTTAGGGATGTCTCAGCCCAATTGACTTAGGGGAAGTCAGGCCATAGTTTGTGGCCATGGAAAGTTGTGAGTGAACAATCCATCTTCGTCATCCCTGTGCTGGAGGCTCTTTAAAGGACGGGAGACAGAGTCTCTCATTTGTGAGCCAAGGAAGAGCTCCCAAGTTGCACAGGGACGGCCACACAGCTGGGGTCCCAAGGCTGGGACCTGGCAAGGCTGGGACCCGGCTTGGCAGCCTCAGACACACAGCACCTTCACCTGTGGCACCGCCCTTGGCCGTGGGCTCTACGTGGCTTGGTTCAGCCCTCTGGCTGTCCCTTGCGCCCCAGGTGCCATGGCTGCTTTGGCAGGAGGGTGGTGTTCCAGGGTGGTGCTGCCTGGCAGGGTTCCCCTCTGCCCAGAGCCAGGCGGAGATGGGTGGCCTCAAGCTGGGGCTGCGGGTGTAGCAGGGCCAGCCTTTCCAGCCCCACCAGCAGCACGAGGGGAAGAGGACAAAAACTGAGTTCTAGTCTTCAGCCTGAAACCAGACTCCCTGAACAGCGGCCTCTGGGCCCCATATGGGTTGGGGAACTCCACCGCCCCAAGGGGTGTGTCTGGAGCCAGGCCATGCCTCCCGAAGCTGCCCCCAGCTCCTCACCCACAACTGTGTGTCCCTGAGCACTTTCTGGAGGTGTTTGTAGGATGCAGCCTCTTATCCCTTAAACGACTGCATTTACCGCCCACCTACAGCAGCAGGAGTGAGTGGTGAGACAGCCTCCGGCCTCACAGGTCTTGCCTCTGCCGTGCCTGATGGGCACCCGCTCTGTAGAAAGCAAGGCGAGTGCTCGGATCACACGCCGCTCCTGGCGTGGTTTCTGGTGTGCACTAGTCCTGCAGGTCAGGTTGAGGTTGCAGGGGGGAAGATTATTTTTATCGAAGTTGTAGTCATTTCCTGGGGCTGCGTAACGAATTCTCATAAACTGGGCAGCTTAAAACAATAGAAATGTATTCCCACATAGTTCTGGAGGCCACAAGTCCAAAATCAAGGTGCCAGCAGGCCCTGCCACCTCTGAAGGCCCCAGGGGAGGGACCTTCCCGGTCTCTCTTGGCCTCTGGTGGCTGCCGGCGGCATTCTCTGCCTGCTTCTTCACCTGGTGCTCCCATCCGTTCTGTCCAAATTCCCCCTTTTTGTAAGGACACCCATCCTATTGGAGTAGGGGTCACCCTCCTCCAGGATGACATCCCCTTAACTACATCTGCAACAGTCATGTCCCCAAATGAGGTCACCCTCAGAGGCAGCAGGGTTAGGACTTCAACATACAACTTTTGGGGGGAGATGTACTTCAGCCCATAACACACCACGTGGGAGGATAACACCGATTTCAGAGCTTGCAGAGGAAGCCGCCAGGAACTCCAGTGAGACATCAGCCCCCAGGTGCCTGTCAGGCACGCCGGGCTGTGGGGGGCACCTGGGCCCATCTGAGTAACGGAGGCGCATCCGCACTTCCCCCAGGAGTACATTTTTAGAACCCACAGCGCCATAAACCAAAGACAAGGAGACTTCCTGGTGCCCCGTCAGCTTCTGGAGGCGACGTTCTCGGCTGACAGCTCTGGCAGCCTCCCCTGTAGGTGAGAGACAGGTAAATGGGACTCTTGCTTCCAAAACGGAACAGGGTAAAAATTCTCAAGCGTTGTCGACACATTGAGAAAAAACAAATCCAGCCTCCTGGGCTCTGGTCTCATCCCCAGCCGCGTCATGTGCCCCAGGCCGGCGTTGCCACACATGAAACCCCTTCCTGTTTTTCTATGTAGAAAGGAACTCAGAATAGAGACACTGAGATATTCGTGTTGTCCCTTTTGTCTTTGTCAACAGCAGAGTTACATCTTACTCATGAGAGCCCTGTAGCAATGTGGGGACCCTGGGACCAGTCTCAGTTAAGCTGGAACTTCCCCGGATGACTGGGGAGAGGAGCTGCAAAAGGCAGGGTGGGGGTGGGGGGCCTTCCCGAGATGGCAGCCCAGCCAGAGGCCAGCGTTCTTGCCTCTGGGAAGAGAATAAAGGCCCCAGACAGGGTGGAGCTAGCTCAGCCCCGTGCCACACAAATGGCCAGTGTGAGCCTGAAATGTGGAGCTACATTCAGCCCACATAGCACACCCTGGTGGGGCCTCGGAGCCAGGGGTATGGATCCACCAGAAGCTGCCCCTTGGGAACAGCAGTGGCATCGGGGTCCGGCACACAGCACCCGGGAGCAGGTGGCCGTCCCCTGACACTCACGGGCTAGGTTTCTCCTGCTTTTCCCTCAAAGAGGACAGAGGTCCAACTGCCAGCTTACATTTAGGGCAGGGGCAGGGGCAGGTCTACCCCAGGGGCCACGGCCACTCTGGCCCCCAGCACTGTGCCAGGCAGAGAGCAGAGCATGGAATATGGGGTTCACCCAGAGCTGGGGAGTCTGCAGGAGCCTGGGGTGGCAACTGAGGGCTCAGCGTTCATCCCAAACAAATGGCCTTGCCCACTGGCCTAAGCCCCAGAGAAGGGGGATGGGGACCCCAGGAAATGAAAGCAAAGATAAGCTCCAAATAGGATGAAAAGAAAGAGCTCCATGCCAGCTGCTCTGTTTGCTGAAGACGCTGGTTCCCGTGGCAGCGGAGCGCAGAGAGAGGGGCTGCCTGGCCAGGCAGGGTCAGCGGGCCCCAGCAGACCCTCCTCTGCTCCCAGCTCTGGTATCTGCAAGGAAACAGCGGGATTCGAACAGTCAAACTGTCTTGCTCGGTGAAGATTTCCATAACCCTCCTGGGGAATGCAGGAGACTTACAGAGACAGCACATGTGCGAATGTTTACACAAAACAGGTTAAAAGCAGCGAAGAAATCATCATCATGCCATCTATTTTTTTTAACTACGCAGAAAACGTTCGTTACTTCTCAGAAATGTGTAAATGGAATTTCTCGTTTAATGGATGACAATGGAAATCATTTGATTGGTGCATTTTGTTGGTTGGTTTTGTTAATACTTTGCTGAATCTGTTAGCGTTCCCCCTTACACATCAAACTGTGGTAGCAACTCTGATGGGTTTTGCAAGCATGAAACAGAGGGAAGGGCTACCAAATGGATCTCCGTGGAGCGGTGGTTATCACGGGGAAGAGACGGCAGCATGCCGAGAAAATAACACCGAAGCCTCTTTTTCCAGAAAGGAAATAGATTGATTATTCTAGTTTTGAAAATAGCACAGGCTCATTGGAAAACCTCCAAACTACACTGATGGGAGCTGAAGGGTGCACACCGATCATGACAACAGCCGGCAATGTCCCCCCAGTTTAAACCTGGACACGAGGCCTTCTAGATGTTTTTCTGTGCATAGATACCTTGTTTTGAAAAACAACTAAAACATGCGTTGTGTAGTCTTTTTTTTTACTAGTGGCATTGTGAGCAATAAATAGATTAAATTTTAACCAGCGTACAGCTCATAGATTTTCCCAGAAGGCCACAATCAAGCACTCTTTTTAAACCTACCGAATGTGCTCTTTCTTCCTCGTAGCGTGGCATTTTTTGGCACTTGCTTTCAGTACATACTGTGCATAGCATTCTTATTTTCCCTTTTCATGTCAAGTTTCCTCACTTGGCATAATATCCGTGATGATCCTCCTAATGGCATAATAGTCCATCATGCGGAGGCACTGTGCTGGTTTAAACCGCTTCCCGTCTTGGGACATTCAGGTGGCTTCTAGTCGGTTTTGTGTTTTTGTTACAGCAGATCACACCACGGTGAATATCTGTGTGCATAGAGCTGTTTGTTCCTGTTTAATTCTTGGCTTAAGATAAATTCCCCAGGATAGATATGTGGGCTTAAAGGATACGAATTTCTATATGGCTCTTACTGGGCAGTATTAACTTGCTCTCCCAGAAGAAGGGGCTTTATTTACAAATCGCAGGAGCTTCTGCTGCATTTAGCTCCCTGAGTGCCCCCATAGCCTGGTGAATGTCACACAAGCCAGGCGTGACCCCCACCCACCATCGTCCAAGTACACAGGGAGCCTGTTCACTTCCAAGCAAGTTCACACCCATAGGGTGTGAACCCAGATCGGCCCAGCCCCCTGGTGCACTCTGCTGCAGGGGCCCAAGAGCAGCCAGACCTCCTGGGGCAGCTGCTCCTCATTCAGCCTCTGGGGACCACCCTGAAGCCAGCACACTGCCCAACCGGAAGGTGGCTTTCCTCTGAAACATGCCTGGCTCACTTTGCCCTGCTCCTATGTGGGATACCTCGATACCAAGTGCTAAACAAAAACAGAGTCAGACAGAAAACTCATCTGCTAACATTACATGTAACAGGGAAAGTTGGAAACATTCTAAAAGTCCATCACTGGGGACTGGATTGCTAACGTGTGCTATGGCCACACCCTGGAGAAACTTGGAAAATGAAGCTAAGCTCTGTGGAGCAACTTGGGATGAGTTCATGATATGTTAGATGACAAAGCAGGTTGCAGCAGACTGACTTTGGTGCAATTCCATCTTTGTTTAAAAGTACAAAGGGGCTGGGCGCAGTGGCTCACGCCTGTAATCCCAACACTTTGGGAGGCCAAGGCAGGTGGATCGCTTGAAGTCAGGAGTTCACGACCAGCCTGGCCAACATGGTGAAACCCCGTCTCTACTAAAAGTACAAAAATTAGTCAGGTGTGGCAGCATGCACCTGTAATCCCAGCTACTCAGGAGGCTGAAGCACGAGAATTGCTTAAACCCAGGAGGCAGAGGTTGCGGTGAGCAAAGATTGCGCCACTGCACTCCAGCCTGGGCAACAGAGTGAGACTCTGTCTCAAAAATAAATAAATAAATAAAAATTTTAAAAAGTACAAAGGGGCGGGGTGCAGTGACTCACACCTGTCATCCCAATACTTTGGGAGGCTGAGGCAGAAGGATCGTTTGAACCTAGGAGTTCAAGACCAGCCTGGGTAACATAGCAAGACCCTATCTCTACAAAAAATAAAAATTAAAATATTGTTAAAAGGTAAAAGCGGCCACCCATGTGTGTCCACACTTCAAAACATTCTGGAAAGATACACCAAACTATTAGAAGTGATTTCCAGAGTATGGGATTTAGGGAAATAAATGGGTAAAGTGAGGACTTCGGTTTTCATATTTTGGTGTTTTTTTTTTTACTTTACTCTTGTGTTGTTTAGATTTTTTAGAATGTTTTTCTTTTGAAAACAGCTTCTAAAAGAGAAGATAGCCCTCAACATCTGACTTTTTTTTCTTTTTTTTTTGAGATGGAGTTTCGCTCTTGTTGCCCAGACTGGCCAGGCTGGCGTGCAGTGGCACAATCTCTGCTCACTGCAACCTCCGCCTCCTGGGTTCAAGCGATTCTCCTGCCTTAGCCTCCCGAGTAGCTGGGACTACAGGCACACGCCACCACGCCCAGCTAATTTTTGTATTATTATTATTTTTTTAATAGAGATGAGGTTTCACCATGTTGGCCAGGATGGTCTCGATCTCCTGACCTCATGATCATCCCGCCTCGACTTCCCAAAGTGCTGGGATTGCAGGCATGAGCCACCACGCCCAGCCCCAACATCTGACTTTCTGTGTGTTTTCCAAGAGTCTAGTGTGAGGTCAGAGGTCAGACAGGTCATCAGGGATTTTGCTTCGAGTGAGTTGCTGCTGCCCTGACTCCTCTCCCACAGCAAATAAGACCACACGGGGCTTGGGGGTTGGGTTTGTCGCTTGCTTTTGCTGTGCTGAGGGCTTCACCAGACTGAAACAGCAGGACCACAGCTCATCTCTGCTCCTTCTCTCTAGGACCAACTGCCCCTGTAAGTACAGTTTTTTGGATAACCACAAGAAGTTGACTCCTCGACGCGATGTTCCCACTTACCCCAAGGTAAGATGAGATTCCGGCCCAGAAGAAGCTGCAGCTGTGTCCCCAGCCCCACGCCCAGCCCTGTGGCCCTGCGGCCAGACCCTGCTGTGTGTACGTTCACATCAACCGCCCCTCCCAGCCCTGGGCCGCTGACGGTGCGGGTTACTTTAAGGCAAAGTATTTTTTCTCTTTGACATTTGTTTAGCAAAAGTGATCCCAGACCATACCTTCCCCTGCAAGGACATAACAGCTCCGTGCTGCTGTCTGCCCGGCCCCGGGAGCTGACCTGGGTAGACAGTTTTTACACTCAAACGTTACTGGAAAGAACTTTAACGTTTAACTGAATTTTTAAAAATCCATTCCATTGGCCCTTGTCTCTGAGCAATTCTTAGTTGTCCTGGCAAGTTTTGCTCTTTTGCACAAAAGTGTTCTTAGTTCTAAGAGAAGCTGTGACGTTGGTGAAGTAGCAATGGCATTTTTGAAATAACGACAAAAGGAGGGTCTCGAGTTGCCGGTCACCCGCTCAACGCCTTCAGCTGGGAAGCAGGCAAAATCCCGGCCCACCTGCTTTTTTTTTTTTTTTTTTTGAGACAGTGTTTCACTCTTGTTGCCCAGGCTGGAGTGCAATGGCACAATCTTGGCTCACTGCAACCTCTGCCTCCTGGGTTCAAGCAATTCTCCTACCTCAGCCTCCCAAGTAGGGGGCATTACAGGTGCCCGTCACCATGCCCAGTTAATTTTTTTGTATTTTTTTAGTAGAGACAGGGTTTCACCATGTTGGCCAGGCTGGTCTTGAACTTGTGACCTCAGGTGATCCGCCTGCCTCGGCCTCCCAAAGTGCTGAGCCACCGCACCCGGCCCGGCCCACCTGATTTGTAATGTGCTCTCATGCTAAGATTCAGGGGGCACAGCTTCCAGAGACAGCAGAGGCCTGGGCTAAACACAGGTGGGCTCTGCCACTGCCTGCGGTTCAAGTGATGGCAGAGCCTTCCACAGCCTCCATGTAGGCCACTGGTGTCCATTAGTCCGTGATTCTATCCACGCAGTTCCAAACAATGTCCTGGATATTGTCAGGTTCTGGGTGGATTTGGGGGGTTTTTGTTTTTTTCTTTTGATACTGAGTCTCACTCTGTCACCCAGGCTGGAGTGCAATGGCATGATCTCAGCTCACTGCAACCTCTGCCTCTTGGGTTCAAGTGATTCTCCTGCCTCAGCCTGAGTAGGTGGGATTACAGGCACCCACCGCCATGCCCGGCTAATTACTGTATTTTTAGTAGAGACGGTGTTTCACCGTGTTGGCCAGGTTGGTCTTGAACTCCTGACCTCAGGTGATCCACCCACCTCAGCATCCCAAAGTGCTGGGATTACAGGCGTAAGCCAGCCCAGCCTCATCTGAGATTTTTGAATGGAGACTAGTGCCTTTTTCCATTGGAAAATATGCCCCGCGCTTCTCAGGATCCTGTCCCAGGGAGCCGTGAAGCACAGCCTAGATCCAAAATAAAAGGTGTCAGCCCTCCAGATCTGTCCCCTTACAAAAAACAGAAAAACAAATATCCAGTAAGACCTAGGAGAAGACAGTGTGCAATACCAAAGCAGTGTTCTTGTCTTCTGTATAGAACCACAGCCTTCTGTCCTTGTGACAGCTTAACCTAAAGCCTGATGTCCTCAGAAGCAACCCAGGGGCACCGGCCCCATCAGCAGGCCTGCTCTTCTAGCTCTCGGCAGAAACCAGGAATGGGTTCCAGACAGGAGCATCTCAGAATAACTTCTTAGGTGGTATCTGAATTTATGCCAAGTGAATTTTACCCCCACACTTCACTTTATTGCCCTTTTTTTATTATTATTTTTGAGATGGAGTCTCACTCTGTCGCCCAGGCTGGTGTGCAGTGGCACGATCTTGGCTCACTGCAACCTCCCCCTCCTGGGTTCAAGCAATTCTCCCACCTCAGGCTCCCAAGTAGCTGGGATTACAGGCACCTGCCATCATGCCTGGCTAATTTTTGTATTTTTGTAGAGTCGGGATTCCACCATGTTTGCCAGGTTGGTCTTGAACTCCTGACCTCAGGTGATCCGCTCGCCTCGGCTTCCCAAAGCACTGGGATTACAAGCATGAGCCACCATGCCCAGCTATTGTCCATTTTATCATCGGGCTTGTTGAGGTCTAATTTACATGCAGTAAAGTTATTTAGGCTTGGAGTACAGTGAATTTTGACAAACTTGTTTAGTCCTGTGACCTCCACCACAAGCGAGATATGGAACATTTCTGTCACCCCAAACCCTCCCCTCTGCTCCCTCACCCTGCCTCTGGCATCCACCGATGGGATCTCCACCCGTAGCATTGGCCCTTTCCAGAAGTATGTGGCCTGTGAGTCTGACGCAGGTGCCTTAGAAAGAGAACGGGAGAAGCTGGGTGCGGTGGCTCACACCTGTAATCCCAACACTTGGGGAGGCCAAGGCGGGTGGATCACCTGAGGTCAGGAGTTCGAGACCAGCCTGGCCAACATCGTGAACTCCCCATCTCTACTAAAATTACAAAAATTAGCCAGGCATGGTGGCGGGCGCCTGCAGTCCCAGCTACTCAGGAGGCTGAGGCACGAGAATCACTTGAACCCAGGAGGCAGAGGTTGCCGTGAGCCAAGATCGCACCACTGCACTCCAGCGTGGGCAAGAGTGAGACTCTATCTCAAAAAAAAAAAAAAAAAGAAAGAAAGAAAAAGAAAGAGAACGGGAGAAAGAGGAGAAATATCTCAGCATGCACATCACTGTCACAGGCCCACGGCGCCTGGTTAACACGGAACTCCTGTCCTTTCTAGTACCTGCTCTCTCCAGAGACCATCGAGGCCCTGCGGAAGCCGACCTTTGACGTCTGGCTTTGGGAGCCCAATGAGGTAAGTGCGGGGCTTGCAGGCACCACGTCCCAGGGGGAGGCAGCTCAGGATCTTGGACGCCAGTGGGACCACCCCCATCGCTCTTCCTCCTTCTTGCTTTTTCCTCTTCTTTTTAAAGACTGAAAAAAAAAAACAAAACTTGTTTTGCCAGGTTTTAGTTGAAACTAACTAACACTTTATAGCAGGGCCCAGGAGACTTCACAGCAAGGGGATTCTGTGAGTGGGGGAGACGGCTGTCAGGGGCAGGGAGGCTCCACCCAGGGCTCCTGATGGCGCTGGGCCCCCCGAGCCATCTGCTCATCCTGCAGACCCTCATGCACGCCGGTGGCAGCCCCGTGCTGCAGAACACCCCTGCCAGGAGCAAATCTCTCCTCAAGGAAGGGGCTGCGGTCAGAGTGCTCTGCTCTGAGAGCAGTGTCTGCAAAGGCAAGGCACAGGCAACCGGCTGCCCCAGATAAGTGGACATGTGGGATTCCGGGAACTGTGTCACCTTCTGCAGCAAGGCTTGAGGCCAGGAATTCCACACTAGCCTGAGTGATATGATTTGGCTGTGTCCCCACCCAAATCTCACCCTGAATTGTCATAATCCCCACGTGTCAAGGGCAGGGCCAGGTGGAGATCTTGAATCATGGGGGCAGTTTTCCCCATACTGTTCTCGTGATAGTGAGTAAGTCTCACGAGATCTGATGGTTTTATAAATGGGGGATTGTCTTTTGCCTGCCGCCATTTAAGTGACTTTCTCCTTCTCTGCCATTCTCCATGATTGTGAGGCCTCCGCAGCCATGTGGAACTGTGAGTCCCTTAAGACTCTTTTTCTTTATAAGTTACCCAGTCTCAGGTATGTCTTTATTAACAGTGTGAGAACAGACTAATAAGCTGGGCAACATAGCAAGACCTCGTCGCTACAAAAAAAAGGTGTTAAAATTCCTATTTGCTGAAAAATACAAGAATGGGGAATTTTTTGTTTCATCTCATTGGCTAATAGACCCCCTCTTTTCACACCCCAAAAAATGAAAAAGTTCCCTCATTGCAGACCTCGGCCTCAGCTGTTTTCAACGCACCAAAATCTAAGGACGTTTTCCTGCTTGTCAGCAACACAGAAAATGCACAAGGCTCCTCAGCAAGCTCACCTGTGCTCTTTGACAAGCTCGGCCGCAGCGATGTCTCTGCAAAGGGCAGAAAGTGGGCTCTTGCCTCTTGGCACCCCTGAGGCCAGGCTGCTGACACCTGGGGCACTGCCCTCTCCTAAGTGAACCTCTTTTCATGTGCATGGTCTCCCAGCAGGAGAAAAACTGCAGCACCAGCCAGAAAAGCAAAGCTCCAGCCTCCACTCCCCAGCTCAGTTCACCCAAGAGCAGCAGGCGGCCAGTCCCAGGGGCTGCACTGCTGCAAACCTGCTCAAAACCTCCAGCCGCCACGTGGCAACTTGCTCCCCAGCTCTGAGAGTGCAGGACCGGGGCGCAGAGACGACAGAAGAGGCTTTAAATATGCAGAATGACTGTCTAGGTCAACGCACAAAAGGAAAGGGCCCCAGGTGTGGGAGATGCAAGGGGTGAGAGGGAAAGCTCAGAAGAGACGTGTTGGAGCTGCTGGCCTGCAGCAGCTCCCAGGGTCCCTGCACAGCTGCTGAGATTGGGCAGAGCAAGTACACAGCAAGTAGACACCGCAGACAGTTAGAGCACACTGACTCCTGCTCCCAGCCTGTGGGCAACCGCCGCACCTCAGCATCATGTAGAAAAATCACCATCCCCAAAGTCATTTTGACCTCAGCCTGCTGGGAGGAAGAGCCAAGCCAGGGGCCACTGATGGCAAAGCACCTGCGTGGAAACTGGCACTCGCTGTCTTTTCTGCCACCTTCTACCAGGGAACCCTTTGAGCACGGGCCACTGTGACTGGGGAGGTGGGGCTTGCCCCACGAAGCTGGGGGATCTGTGTCTCCATAATAGAAAGGCCACCTCTCTGTCCTCTGATCACAGAGTGGATTCACAGCTGCTCTCGGGGCTGGCAGGTGGGCAAGGCAGACAGCTCCCGGCAGCTGGACTCAGCCTCTGGGTGGCATCTCCCACGGCCCGTGGCTCCTGCCCAGCAGATCTCAAGGGCACTCCAGGAGACCGATGAGGGTTCCAGTGCTTCCAAGAAGTATCTAGCTGCCTGTGTGTGAGAATGCAGAGATGCCCAAGACAGGAGCCTTGGCCTCTGGCAGATCTAGGGATGCCAGGAATTTTGGAGTGTGAGTGGCAAAGAGGGACAACTAAAGGGACACACATGAAAACAGCCCACTCGGCCCCACAAAACTGCATCTGGCCACGCATGAGGCACCTGGCACTCAGAGAACGTCAGGGCGCCTAAAAGTGATCACCTCCCTCCCTTCCAGCAGGGGCGCCCCCACTTTTCTCCGAGTGGTTTGGCCCAGTGTCCTGCCCATCACAAACCAGACAGAGGACATGACTTCAGGCTGCTGTGTCCTCCCATGTGTTAGGGCCTCCGAGGGCCCAGGGCTGTGGCCCGTGAGCGTGGCCTGCCTCTATCCTCCGAGGGCCCAGGGCTGTGGCCCGTGAGCGTGGCCTGCCTCTATCCTCCGAGGGCCCAGGGCTGTGGCCCGTGAGCATGGCCCGCCTCTATCAAGTGCAGAGCTGGAAGGCTGCAGGAGCCTCCCCCGTCATCTCATGAGTCCCCCACTCACGACCATGCAGCCCACTCAGACCACGACCTGCCGCCACATGCGGGAACTGCTGGCTCCCTCGTGCCCGCCCGGGGCTGAGGACTGCACGTGCAGCCACAGATGCATCCGGCCCTCCTGCCCCACAGCCTCTATGAAGGCCACATAAATGGCACCAAGTGTCTCTGTCTGCCGATCAGCATCCCCTCTTGGCTTCACAGCAGACGCATCTGCCTTTCAGGACTGCCTTGAACAACATCTGGGCTGGTCAGGTGGAGAGCGAGGAGTTTCCAGGTTGCAGCCCCTATGGTCCTGAGGGCTGGCGTCCAGGATGGTGGGGGTCCAGCAGCTCTGGGCAGCGAGGCCCCTGGCTGGGTGATCCAGGTGGCAGCTGACCAGTGGCCTGGGAGCCAGCCCTCCTGTCCTCACGTGGGGCCCCATCTCCAAAAGCCAGTGCAGTGCCCTGCACATTATCCAACCTACATCTGTACTGTCTCCCCAAGGAAAACGAGTGTGTGGTTCACGTGCTTTAAGGACGTTTCCCAGGTGACATTCCAAGCTCCCATCTGTGGCCGCAAGTGGGGGAGTTTCCAGTTTTCCAGATAGATTTTCTGCCATGCCAGAGAACCCTCCGCCTCCTTCAGAGCCATCTCATCAATGCAGTGATCGCAAGCTTCGATTTACAAAAACTCGCCTCCCTTGCAGCATTTCCAGGTTTCACACACAGCGTAACAAGTAAAAATGGATTTTTGGGCAGCACGCCTGTCCTAGTTTGCTGAGGCTGCCATAACAAAGTACCAGAGACTGGGGTGGCGTCAGCAGCAAAAGTTGATTCCTCAGTTCTGGAGCTGGAAGTCCAGGATCAAGGTGCTGCCAGGTTCGGCTTCTCCGGAGGCCTCGGTCCCTGGTCTGGGACCTTCTTGCTGGGGCCTCGGTCCCTGGTGTGGGACCTTCTTGCTGGGACCTCGGTCCCTGGTGTGGGACCTTCTTCCTGGCCAGCAAGATGGCCGCCTTCTTGCTGGGTCCTCATGTGGCCTGTTCTCTCGGCACATGCATCCCAGGTGCTCTTCCTCCTCTAATGAAGACACTAGTCCCATGGGACCAAGGCCTCACCCTGACTAGATGGAAACTTCATTACCTCCGTAAAGGCCCCGTCTCCAAATAGCCCCACTGGGGTCGGGGCTTTACCATGTTGACCTGGGGAAGGGGGCAGTTCAGTTCGTAACATGCCCTTTTGGGAGGAGAAAGTCAGGCAATGAGCAGACACAGGCAGGAAGCCACGCCGGGCTCCAGCAGGGATGGCCCAGTGCCCTGTACAGGCAGCAGGCAGCTGGGCTGGAGGTGGGCCCTGGGTGGAGGACACCTACCAGGTGTGTCTAAACTGCCCCTTTCCTACACATCTTCCTTCGCACTGGGCTCGCCACCCAAGACCTGCTTTTTCCAGAAAGCAAAGCCTACTTTGGTCAAACTCTCATTTTTAAAAATCACTTCATCTTTTCCTCCCTAACTTAATTAGCTCCAAAGCACTGAGCTGTATTGAAATAGATCACCACAATGACAATCCTCTTTGGGACTGAAAACAAAATCTATTTCAACTTGAACAGGGATATTGATAGAAGACAGGGCTCCATGAAAAAGGGTTAGGAGGAGCCGCTTGCTGGGGCAGGGGCCGCATCTGGGCACTGCAGTTAAGATGTTAAAGTGTCTTCGGTCCCAGGGGGCCGCAGATGAACACAGTTCAGCGTTTCTGGATGTAAATCGTCAAAGCTCCTTCGATCCCCAGCCTCGGGCAAGGAAAGGGCCTTTCTCTCTGTGATGCCACCTGTGCTCAGGTGTGCACTGGATGGAACTGTGTCCTAGACCCCTCAGCTGTGATATTGATCCGCTGAGATTGTTTTTCATCTGTAGAAATCAATAAATTCCTTTTTGGTGCAGTGTTTTGTGAACGGGTGCACTCTCTCACCCGGTCGCTGTCCTAAGAATTCTCCTTGACTTCGGAACTGGCCCTCCACGCCCCAGGATCCACCTGCCAGGAGACCCCCAGTGTGCTCTCAAACCCCCACCCATCTGAGTGGCCTGGAAAGGCTGGTCTGAAGACCTCTCTTCCCATGTCTGCCGACCAGGCTTTGCTCTCCAGGGACTTTCTGGGAGGGGGAGAACCCACCTCCTGCCAACGGCCCTGCTGGCACTCCGAGGACAGCAGAGGGAAGGAAGCCAGGGGCTGGGGAGCCGGCCACACAACTGCCCAGTGCCTATCCTTCTCCTGTGCCCACAGATGCTGAGCTGCCTGGAGCACATGTACCACGACCTCGGGCTGGTCAGGGACTTCAGCATCAACCCTGTCACCCTCAGGAGGTGGCTGGTGAGTGCCAAACCCGCCTTCGGTTCTTCCTGGGCACGTGGTTTCATCCAGTTCCACAGGAATGGAGGGAATGGATCACCAGGGCACCTTCCGGATGGCACTGCGCTCCCTGTGAGCAGAGGTGACATTTCCCCGGGAGTTCTGTGAGGACACTCAGCCTGTCTCTGTTCCTCCTTCCACCAAAACCTTCTTTACGCCCGAGCTACTCCTGCTCTGATAAGCAAGGAGTAGCTTATCAGTGAGACTCTGCCATCATCAAGCAAAGCAGCATGTCCTAAAGCAGCGGTGTGTGGGAGCGTGTGTGTGTGTGTGGGAGCGTGTGTGTGTGTGAGAGTGAGTATGGGGGTGTGGATGTGAGTGTGTGTGAGTGTGGGGTGTGGATGTGAGCATGGGGGTGTCTGCATGTGTTTGTGAGTGGGTGTGTGGATGTAAATGTGTGGGAGCGTGTGTGTGTGTGAGTGTGGGGTGTGGGTGTGAGCATGGGGGTATCTGAGTTTACGGGTGGGTGTGTGTGAATGTGTGGTGGGAGTGTGTGGGGTGGGAGTAGGAGTGTGGAGGTGTGTCTGTGTGTGTCAGTGTGGATGTGTGCATGTGTATATCTGGATGTGGGGTGTGTCTGTGTGTGGGTGTGTGTGAGGGTGTGTGTGCATGTGTGTATCTGTGGATGTGAGGTGTGTGTGCATGTGTGTATCTGGATGTGGGGGTGTGTGAGGGTGGATGTGTGCATGTGTGTGTGTGGATGTGGGGTGTGTGAGTGTGTGGTGTGTGAGTGGGTGTGTGCATGTGGGTGTCTGCCTGTGTGAATATGTTTGGCAGCAGGTTTTTTTAATGAAATATTGCTCAGAACCAAATATTAAAAGCCTATTAAAGGTTTCATGGTGACTGGGGACCCAGAGCTCCCTCTTGGAGTCTCCCCTCCCCCCATCCCCTAACTTTATGCCCCACTGTGGCTCCTCAGACACCTCCGGGGAGACCCCAGTCCTTGACTGCAGGGTGAAACCCCTGGTGGGAGCTCTGTCCCCACACCTGCCCCGGGTGCCGTGGTGTGGCCCGCTGGACGTTCTCAGGGTCCCTGTGTCACCTCATTGGTACCTGTGGTAAACCTGGAACACTGTTGACCTCTGGTTGGGATGAGGGTTTGGCAGAGAATGTTCAAACCAGCGCACAGCCTTCTGGGTGGCTTTGGGAGGAGAGGTGGGCGGGCCCAGGCACAGGGTGACTCGGACCCCCTGCCTCCCGCAGTTCTGCGTCCACGACAACTACAGAAACAACCCCTTCCACAACTTCCGGCACTGCTTCTGCGTGGCCCAGATGATGTACAGCATGGTCTGGCTCTGCAGTCTCCAGGTGGGTCCTGCCCGCTGCACACCCAGACCTCTACTCTCGGGGGTCAGACGGAGGCCCCCTTCCAGGGAGCGGCAGCCCCATCCCACCAAGAGAGCCACAGGCGTGGGGTCCCCAGCCGCTCCGCCCCTCCTAGGGACGCACCCCTGCCCACCGTTGTCAGTCACCCCATGGGCGAGGCTGCTCCTAGGATTACGAGAGCAGGTGAGTCCCCGACCTGGTCACCCCCCCAACCCCCACAGGCAGGCCGATCCTCTCCCACCATGCCAGGAGATGCCAGATGGCTGCAGGGGCCTTTGTCCCCCGCTTACCACTCACCCAATTCCACCCCCCCTCACCCCATCCCACCCTCCGAGTGAAGAGAGCAAACACCTACGCCCTGTTTTCCAATCCAGGAGAAGTTCTCACAAACGGATATCCTGATCCTAATGACAGCGGCCATCTGCCACGATCTGGACCATCCCGGCTACAACAACACGTATGTACAGGATTTTCTCTTTTTTTCCTTTTAAAAGGCACCCTGGCTACTGGAGGGAACCTGTCAGCCCAACCCTCAGAGCAGTTCCCAGATGGAGCTGTCAACGACGGCCTCCCAGCCCCCAACTCTGCCTCCACTGACACAGCTCCTGGCTTCTGGACTTTGCCCAGGGCCTTGGGTCTCCCCGGAGTAGGAACTTTCAGGATTATCAAACCCCAGGGGCTCTTTCCCACTCCTGTGCGGGCCTGGCTTCAGGCTCAGGTGCACGGCAGATCCCTGGCCCCGCCGGCGCCTTCTCCACCCCAGGCAGGGAGCAACACCTGTCCGCATGCAGGGATGGGGGCTCCACACCCCCCTCTCAGGAGCTCGCCTCTCCCTGGGCAGGCTCCCAGCTGGCTTCCGCAGGGAAAGCACAGGCAGGAGCCAGAAGAGAGCAGAAGAGGGGGAGAAGAGGGACTGCAGAGGGACAGGAGGTGGGAGTGAGGTGTCCCTCGTGGGGCCAGGGATCAGAAGGACAGACCGTTGCTCCACTCCTGCCTCCACAGGCACAGAGTTCCGCCCCATGTGGCGGACAAGGTCCAGGCCATGGGCTTGGGTCTGTGTCCTCAGTGGCGCAGCAGCTCTCTCTGTTGAACTGTGTGTTTGTGTGATGTCATCACATGCCTGAGAGCTCTGCTGCCATGTGTCAGCGCCTAGTGGGTTCCGAGGTGTGGCTGTCAGCGCTCCTCCCGGGGCCATCACCATGCACACCCATCTGTTCCCCTTTTGCTCATTTCACACTCACAGTGGCCGGCACAGCACAGGTCAGCAGAGGCCTTGACCACAGCATCCCAGTGAACCTCAGCCTCGTTCTGCCCACCTGCCTCTGGCACCTGGTGACGTTTGATAATTTCACAAGAGGCCGTGATGCCTCAGGGCCTGTCCCAGGGAGCATGCCGCTTCCTCAGAGGTGTCTGTCTGGTGGGACTGCAGGAGCATGGGGACGTGCAGTTGCAGGGGCAGCTGAGCGGCAGGAGGGACCTCCTGGCCAGGCCAGGGCACAGGCAGCTCCCCCAGCCCCCACGGCACCTTCTCCTGACTCTACTTGCTCCACTTACATGGCTGGGTGTTGCTCCCCCGTGCAGGTACCTGGTGAGGGCGCCTGAGTCTCCCCTCACTCTCTCCTTGCCTCCCAGGTACCAGATCAATGCCCGCACAGAGCTGGCGGTCCGCTACAATGACATCTCACCGCTGGAGAACCACCACTGCGCCGTGGCCTTCCAGATCCTCGCCGAGCCTGAGTGCAACATCTTCTCCAACATCCCACCTGATGGGTTCAAGCAGATCCGACAGGTGTGTGGGGTGAGGGCCCTCCCACCGGAGTGGGGGCACATTCAGGGACAGAGCAGCCCCCACTCTCCATTGGCTGGAAGCTCCCAGAAGCTCCTGGCCACAGCAGTGCCCTGGGGACCCAAGGGAACCCCTCCCTCCTTCCTCACCTCCTCCAGGGCCCAGAGTGGAGCCCCAAAAAGAGGGTACCCTCGCCATGCGCACGTGCATCCCACTGACCTGCACTTCCCAGCCTGTATTTAATTCAGCCTTCACTGGCTCCCTTTGAGATAAATCCTTTGTCCCTCTTCCAGCCCAAGAAACTGAGGCTTAGCAAAGGTAGGGAGCCTGCCCAAGGAGGGGACAGGCCCTGGACAGACACATCTGCTGCATCCAACATAGGAGAGCTGCCCCCTGCCCCATAACCCCAGCTGCTGTCACCTGCCACCCACAGCCCAGTCAGCCCCCTTCCTTTTATTTATTTTTTTTTCTTTTGAGACAGAGTCTCGCTCTGTTGCCCAGGCTGGAGTGTAATGGCAGGATCTCGGCTCACTGCAACCTCCACCTCCTGGGTTCAAGCAATTCTCCTGCCTCAGCCTCCCAAATAGCTGGGATTACAGGCATGCGCCACCAAGCCGGCTAATTTTCGGTATTTTTAATAGAGACGGGGTTTCATCATGTTGGCCAGGCTGGTCTTGAACTCCAGACCTCAGGTGATCCACCTGCCTCGACCTCCCAAAGTGCTGGGATTACAGGTGTGAGCCACCACGCCCGGCCACCCCTTCCATTTTAGATAAGGGGGCTTTATGCCTCTCAGGGCGTGATGGGAGGAGAGTGAGAGGATATCTGCGTGAGAGGAAGATGACCTGGTCCACCTGCCCCAGACAAACACCTCCAGCTCACCGAAATAACGCCCCATTCCACACGGGAATTCCTCATCAAACCCTCACTCTCTGACATTTGCAGGGGAGGGAAGCTCTCGGAGTAAACCCTGGGAGAAATGTGTTGGGTTGAATAGCAGCGTCCTTCAAACAAGGTCCACCTCCCGTGAATGTGATCTTATTTGGAAAAGGGTCTTTGCATTTGTACTTGTTAAGATTTCCAGATAAGATCAGTGTGGATTGTCTAAGGGGGCCGTAAATCCAAAGACTAGTGTCCTTGGACGAGGAGACAGAGTAGAAAACAGCCCAGACACAGAGGAGAAGGCCGCATGAAGACGCAGTGATTGGAGATTTGAGTGATGCAGCCCCAAACTAAGGGACTTCGGGGCCCCCAGGAGCAGGAGGAGACAAGGAAGGACCCTCCCCTGGAGTCTTCTTTGAGAGCAGGGCCCTGCCCACACTTTGATCTTGGTTCTGGCTTCCAGAACTGTGAGAGAATGAGTTTGTTGTTTTAAGCCGCCTAGTTTGTGGTACTTTGTGTGGCGGCCCCAGGACACTCACCCAGGGCACCGTCTTCTGCGGTTCCACAAGGCAGACCTCAGCCATTCGAAGTCTAAGTGGCTTCCTTCCAGAGGCAGCAAGAAAGACTGCCTGGACTTCAGCACTGGGAAGATACTCACCACCCTCCAGGCGTGCTGCTGAGCCTCCCTTTATCAGAGAGCAGCAGCCTCTTCTACCATGGCTTTCCAATTTGTCTACGCTTCCAGGAAGTTCAAAGCCCAGTGTAAAAAACTGAAGTCAGTGAAGCATTTGGGGAAGCTCCGAGGAAGCAGCATGCTCCCTGGGACGGGGCCCTGAGGCATCACGGCCTCTTGCGAAATTGTCAAATGCCACCATGTGCCAGAGGCAGAGGTGGGCAGAACCAGGCTGTGGTTCATTGGGATGCTGTGGTCAAGGCCTCTGCTGGCCTGTGCTGTGCCAGCCACTGTGAGTGTGAAATGAGCAGGAGAACAGATGGGTGTGCATGGTGATGGCCCCGGGAGGAGCGCCGACAGCCGCACCTCAGAACCCACTCGGCGCTGACATACGGCGGCAGCGCTCTCGGGCCTGTGATGACATCATTGCACAAACATACACAATTCAATAGACAATTTACAGTCATTATTGAATCACTGGTTCCCAGTACAGTTATCTCCCCTTTATCTATAGGCTCTCTGGCCTCTCCTCCATGTTTGTGCCCCTCCCCACCCTGCAAGCAGGTGCCCTGTGTGGCTACGATAAGCTGTGGCAAATCTTCGTCTGCAGTAGGTCAAGGAGCAACCGTGAAGAGAGAACGCTGCATCTGCCACTGCTACCCCAGTGGGGAGCTCCTCCAGGGACAGGACCTGGGGAATCAAAGCAAGTGAACGCCCCTTAGTGTAGGCCTCGTCCCACTGAGCCATGTCGGAGAGCATCCCGCAAGAGAAGGAGGCGGCACCTGATTGGAGGAGCAGCCGCTCTGCACAGGGGATCGTTCTCGTGCCCATCCACCGTGGGGACACACCAGCATTGGCCTGCTTCAAATGCTTCACTGACTGCAAAATATGACTCTCCTCTGGGGGTAAAATTAGTTGTCCCACTTTTTTAAAAATATATTTTGTCATGGAAGATTTCAGGAATAACTGAATAAATGCTTCACTAATAACACAATTAAATGTTTACAGGAAAATTGAATAATTCAAGATACAAGTGATCCCCCCAAAAAAATATATATATATACAGTTGAAATGACCTAGATTGATGGGTTTGGGTTTTGTATCTGATGCTTGTTGTTTTATTTTCTTGGAAGAGGAAAACATCATACCTGGCACAGAGATGTGTTCTGTAAATGCTTGTGGGGTGGGTGGGTGGATGGATGGATGGATGGATGGATGGATGGATGGATGGGTGGATGGGTGGATGGACAAATGGATGGAAGGGTGGATGGATGGATGGGTGGATGGGTGGATGAATGGACAGATGGATAAATGGGTGGAAGGATGGATGGATAAATGGATGGAAGGGCAGATGGATGGGTGGATGGGTAGATGGATGGAGGATGAATGGGTGGATGGATGGATGAATGGATGGGTTTTTGGGTGGGCAGATGGATGTGTGGACAAATGGATGGGTGATGGATGCACATATGAATCGGAATAAGAGATACATGAAATAATGTGTGCAGGGGGCTCAGTACACAGTAGGCCTCCGCTGAATAATTGTTCAGACTATACCCGTGTTAACACGTTGTTCTCTCGCTATTTAGGGAATGATCACATTAATCTTGGCCACTGACATGGCAAGACATGCAGAAATTATGGATTCTTTCAAAGAGAAAATGGAGAATTTTGACTACAGCAACGAGGAGCACATGACCCTGGTGAGTGGCTTATTCTGCCTGGGTGGGCAGCCAGGCGGTGGGCTGGCGAAGCAGGTCATCCATCCAGCTCACACTGGAAGCCAAGAAGCTGAAATTATTAGTCTTCTTGGAACAAGGTGTCTATAAATCTGGTTTTCAAGGTCATGACTCTTACTAGGAAAGTCCGGGCAGGGCCTCCCTCCTGATGGGTCCTCCTTCATGGTCAGAGGCAGCATTCTCCCATTCCTCCATCTCTTTTGGATTTGAAGGAGATAAGTGGGTGAAGGCCGTGCATCTCGCTCTGCTTTCCAGAGAATAAAACCAGCTCTCCCATGAAGGCACAGCCCCAGCATGGCACTCTGAAAGCCCACCTATGTGGGGGCAACTCCAACACAGCTCCCGCTCCCCAAGCCAGCATCCCCCACCAGGCCCACACCATAGCCCAGCACCCCTCCATAACCAGGACAAGGTGGCCAGAGAAGGGGTAGGGGGCCTCCCCCATGAGAAGGTGCACTTAGGTTGCCCAGCATCTGCCTTTTGGAAAGGACAGGCACTGGGCACACCAAGGCACACAAGGACCAGAGCACGACTCATGCCTGGAATCCAGCACTTTGGGAGGCCACGGCAGGAGGATTGCTTGAGTCCAAAAGTTTGAGACCAGTCTGAGCAATATTAGCAAGACTCCATCTCCACAAAAAAAGAAAGAAAAATAAAAAAATCAGTGCATATCTGTGGTCCCAACTGCTTGGGAGGCAGAGGTGGGAGGATCGCTGGAGCCCAGGTCCAGGCTGCAGTGAGCCATGGTCGTTCCACTGCACTCCAGCCTGGGCAACAGAGCAAGGGTCTGTCTCAGATAACAGAGAGAGAGAGAGGTGCATGAGAACTGCCCTCCCGGCCTTCAGAGAGAAAGCTGGTTTTGTGGAGCCTTGTCTAAGCATCAGGTGCACCCCTGGCATTCTTACTCTGAAATTTGATTATCTGTTTAAAATCAATAGCATCACTTTCCACCTCCAGAGAGGTTGAAAGATAGGGAACTCTCGGCTCAGGCTGACCTTCTAACCATCCAGTCCCAGTAGGTAGAGTCATTAGGACTCATCGCTCTCTGGAGCTGAGGTGCAGTTAATTCCCAAAGACTGTGCGAGAGGATGGGAGCTCCCGCAGGCAAGGGCTGGACAGCAGGCAAACCTCCCCAGGCCAGGGCCACCAGAAGCCCCTTCCCTAAGAGGGAAACAGTCACATAGAGCGGCTTCCTGGCAAGCAAGTTTCTTGCTCCTGAAAAACCAAGGGAAGGAGGGAGGCGCCGCCTTGTCCTCTAAGATATGAGGAAGGCAGAGATGGACCTGCAGTCAGGGGTGACCCAGGCCCCGCCGATGCCTTCCTCCTCTGAGGTGGGAGGAGAGGTCAGGGAAGAGACGGGGAGGGGCAGGATGCCAGAGGATCGGGTGCCAGGTGGTCAGGACAAGTGAACCCAGCTGAAGGTCCCCACTCCCACCCCACCCCCAGCCTTACACACTGCAGCTGTGCAGACCAGAGGCAAAGCGAGGCTCAGAGCCCAGGGTTCCGTTTATCCCAACGACCTGCACCGCGGGGTCAGATGACAAGCAGCACGGCCAGGCATCGTCTCACTGCTACGGAGCCCCAGACGGGGCTTTATGAACACGGGTGGAGGACAGAGGTTGGGGTAAGGTCTCGGGGGAAAGGTTCTGATTCAAAATGGGCCCCAATAGGGAGGCCTCTGAGGATAGTGCGGGCCAGCGTGGGAGGTGTGAGGTGCAGGGAGTGTGGCCGGCAGGGCCTGGGACCTTGACCTTCCCCAGAGACACTGCTGCCCTGGCCCTGCCCTAGGTCTGGTGTCGGGACAGCTCCACTGAGGCCGGCCAGGCACAGGCTAGTCATTGCCTCTGATCTGGAGCCGGACTCCACAGAGGAGTCAAAGAAAGGCCTGAATGGCTTCCTGGGAACTGATAGGGCAGGGAAAGGAAGGGCGACCACAGCAGGATCCCTTCGAGGTCCTGCCGAGGTTGGAAGGCAGGATCCACCAAGCATCATGCAGACTCCGAGCTGAACTGAGCTGCTCCTCACCTAGTCACGTTCCCCAAACCAGCAGGTGCAGCCCGCAGCCCGGGGGCATGTGCCTCAGCTGGGCTTTCCTGTCTAATCAGCTTCAGAGCCTGGATGGCAACCAACACTTTGGTCTGGAAACCTGGTGATTCCAGACACTCATTTGTGCCCGGTGCAGGCAGGGCCACGGGACGCCAGCCCTCCACCTCTTGTCCTATGGCGACATCCGGGCTAGTTTGGGTGGAAGCTGCTGCATTCCTGGGCCTGCCCTATCTCCTCCTGAAGCTCCTATGGCATGCCCAACCCTGGCCAAGCTGAGACAGAGCTACCTGTCCCCTGGGAAGATGAGCAATGCACCCACCTAGGGAACAGCAGAAAATAGGGGGTGACCAGGCACAGGGCAGTGCTTCAGGGGATATCACCTGGGCTGGGGTGGCCAGAAAGGCTGGAAGGAGGGGACCCAAACAGGACCTTGAAGGTTCATTCTCCATTGAGAAGGGAGCCTGTCCTCCCTGAAGGCAGCCAAGCTCAGTTGCATGGTCCAGCAGGTCCTCCGTCTCTTCCTGCCTGTAATGGCAAGTCCAGACCCGAGCAGCAGCAGCAGGCCCGTGTTCTACCTCCTGTTACCTCAATTCCAAAATCTCTTCTTTCAGCTGAAGATGATTTTGATAAAATGCTGTGATATCTCTAACGAGGTCCGTCCAATGGAAGTCGCAGAGCCTTGGGTGGACTGTTTATTAGAGGAATATTTTATGCAGGTAAGAGTCTTGCAGAGCAATCAAGCCTCCAGCCACTCTTATTAGCCCCACTTAGTAAGGGTTTGCGTTAAACGAGCACGCCTGGGTGGTCCCGCATATTCCCCGGGCTGCCGACAGTTCAGCCTCCAGAAAGCCTTCAGGGTAAGCGTACATCAGAAACAAAATAGGTTATAATTTGAGACCTGAAAGACAGTAACAATCCAGAAAAGCTAATACTCTAAAACTGTCACCTGTCACTGCTAATTGAGCCATTATTACAAGCAGCCTTGTCAAACAAATTGCCTGAAAGTCAAGAAGCAAGGACTGCAGAAGCAGGAGGGGGCCCAGGAGGGCCGAGACCCAGCAGGTCAGCTCACACAGATGGCCACGGGGAAGGTCGGGGACATAGAAAACCAAGCCAGCTGAAAACAACCACCAAATATTAATACAACAGCTTGATGAACCCTAGGAGAAGTCGGGAGGCTTTCTGCAGGACGCTGCTGCCGTCCTGGGATACATCCATCCAACTCACCTCTGCCTATCTCTCAGGTCGGTCTTCCCAGCTAGACCTGCACGCCCAGCTCTGTTTAGCACTGAAGATAGGGTCACCTTCTCCTTGTTCTTACTGAGACACATTTGTGGTGTGGTTTGGTTGGTTGGTGGTTAACTGGCGCATCTTGTCTTTCTCTGAGAACAGCGATCTGGTTATGGGGCATTTCTGTCTCTAATGTCACTGTCTGCTGCATTCCCTGCAGAGCGACCGTGAGAAGTCAGAAGGCCTTCCTGTGGCACCGTTCATGGACCGAGACAAAGTGACCAAGGCCACAGCCCAGATTGGGTTCATCAAGTTTGTCCTGATCCCAATGTTTGAAACAGTGACCAAGGTGAGTAACTGTCACCACATGTCACACTTGCTTACACTCAGATACATGCATGCACACACAGGCACACACACATATACACATATGCACACAGGTACACACAGACACACACTCATGCACACACGTACACAGATACACACAGACGCACATACAGGCACATACACATATACACACACGCACACAGCTACACACAGGCACACACACAGGCACACACTTGTGCACACAGGTACACAGGCACACAAATGCACACACACGGCACACACAGGCACACACTCGTGCACACACATGTACACAGGCACACACAGGCACACAAATGTGCATGCAGGTACACATGCACACAAGGCACGCAGGTACACATGCACACAAGGCACACAGGCACACACAGGCACACAAATGCACACACAGGCACACACACACACACACATGCACACAGGTACACACAGGCACACAAATGCACATGCAGGTACACATGCACACACAGGCACACACAGGGACACACAGGCACACATAGGCACACAAATGCACACACAGGCACACACATACACACATGCACACAGGTACACGCAGGCACACACGTACAGAGGCACACACATGCACACACAGGTATGCACATGCACGCACACAGGTACACACAGGCACACCTGCACACCTGCACATCCTGAGCAGCCTCTTCCCCGGCTGTCGTGGTGACCGCTGTCCCTGTTCCATCCAGAGCCTGCTCCCCACAGCCTGGCCCGTGACCCCAGCATCTCCCACTCTGTGCTGCACTCCCTGCCTTGCCTTGCTGGGCCCTGGGGGGCCCCTCACTGCCCTCACCCATCGCTGCCGGCCTTCAGGACCCTGGAGGCAGCACTGGCTGTGGACTCTCCTGTCCCCACTCTGCGTCCCAGTTCCTCACCTGTGGAGGAACCCCTGAGCTCTGTGCCCTCGAGCTGTGAAGCCCCTGTCCAGCTCCCAGTCTCACCGCACCCAGCCACCGAGACCTTGCTCCTTGCACACAGCTCGTTCCTGCCCAGCTCCCCCCAGGGCCTCTGAGCTGCCTGTGGCCCCCTGCCAAGGCCCCCACCTCAAGGCACCCCCAGCATGTCCAAAACAGGCCCATCTCTTGTTCCCCCCGGGGATCTGGGCTCACAGCCTCACACCCTCCGACCTTCCTGGGCTCCTACGCTGCGCATCCTTCTGCTCTAGGGCATCTCTTGGAGCCAACCCACCCACTTCCCACTCCCAGGACCCTCAGCCGGGAGGCTGTCAGCTCCTTTCCCCTGCCCCGTGTCTTTGTAAGAACCTCCCAACCTGTCCCCCACCCTCATCTCACGGGCACGGGGGACACAGGAGGCAGGAAGGGGACTTTCTGTAGGACCTCATGGAGGGTGATGAGGGCCAGAGACAGAGCCGCAGTGGGTGGAGGCAGCAGAGCCGGCACGAGGGTGTCCAGGAGCTGGGACTGGCCCAGAGGTTTCCGCACGGAGCACCTGACACCTGTTTTTCTCCGACGTTTCCCATTGCCTTAAGAACGAGGGACTCTGAATAAATCCGTGTGTCTCTCCCAGCTCTTCCCCATGGTTGAGGAGATCATGCTGCAGCCACTTTGGGAATCCCGAGATCGCTACGAGGAGCTGAAGCGGATAGATGACGCCATGAAAGAGGTAAAACACACTGAGAAGAGCCTGCCTTCCTTGCGGCAAGCAGGCACGCTGCCCTCCGCACTCCCGACTCCAGAAGCTTGGACGTGCCAAGCAGGGCACCACTGAAGGCCCCGTGGACAGGCACACGTGTACCTTCCATCAGAAAGCCTGGCTCAGTAAAATTAGGGAATGCGATGAGGGAAACCAAAACTGCATTCGCCAAGAACACGTCAGGTCTCAGTACCTTCGAGGGAGTTTACTGGCCGTGCCCTTCACAAGAATCACAACTGTCACCCACACCTGTGGACACCCAGGTGTCTTTGGGTGTATCAGCCGCCGTTAGAGCATCTGGGACCCCTCAGAGTACAGTGCCTGGCCTGGCCCCAGGGCTGACTTGTTCAGAGGAGGCCATGGGGTAGAAAGGGGCCCTCCCCTGGCACGGGGACAAAGCGACCACCCACCTGCCAGCTCCCGGGCCCAGAACACACACCGGCACCTCTCAGGGGCCAGGGAGCCTGGGGCTGGCTTTAGGTTGCTGCTGGATAGATATCATTTTGGAGGAAGGGGTCCAGGTCACAGCCTCAGGGCCCACGCAGTCTTTCTACGGATTCCCCACGGCTGTCTGCTGTCCTGCTGCCCATGGTGTGGCCTCTGCCCCTCCCAGCCTCCTGCCTCCTCCCTCCAGCGCCCCCAGGCAGCTAGAACAGTCTTACTACTCCTGCAGGGTTTGACCCCTCCTGGCCTTGGCCGGTGTTGCCTCTGCCACCCCCGCTCCCCACAGTGCCACTGAAGCACCCTCCAAGGCCCGTCAGTCAGGGCTCCCCTAGTTACTGTGCCCACCACCCCGTCTTTTCTGCCTGGGCGCTCCTGAAGCCCATGTGGCCCACAATGCCCTTTTGAGCACTGAGCCATTTTCCAGGCGTAGCCTTGGGTTGGTCTCATCTCCCTCGACTGACGGCCCCGTGCTCCCCATGCCCACACCCGCCTGGAGCGCCATGCCAGGCACATGGTAGGCGCTCAGCAATTGCTTAGGAGTCCACTGAAAATCCAGACCAGCTGCCCTGACTTCTCCAGTTGATGTCTCCTACTGGAAAGTCACAGAAAGGTCTCTAAACCTCTGGAAGGCTGAGAGCACTTATGCAGAGGGACAGATGTAGCAAGAAGGCTTCCCCCACTCCACAACCCCGCAAGAGAGCTGAAGGGGCTTCTGCCTCTCTCGTGGGCCCTCCGAGAGCCATAGCCCTGATGGCCTTGAGTCTCTAGTCCTGAGCCCTGCTGCCCAGTAGGGGATAGTAGGGTTCCTTAAGGCCTCTGCCTTCCCCCCTGTCAGCCCCCACAAAAAGGAGAGACACGCCAAAGAGGTGAAAAGGCCAAGCCCAAGCCGCAGGCTCTGCACACACCACCAGTCCCCGCGGCTGTGGTGGCTGCAGCTGGGTGAGCTCACTGTCCAGGCCCCAGATGAGGCACCAAGGGTAGCGGGACAGGGTATGCAGAGCTGCCTCTGAAAAGCCCATGTCAGGAGTGCTTGGGCTCAGAGGGGCTGGGGACCACAGGCTTTCACGTTGCAGCACCTCCAGGCAACAGAAGCTGCTGGGAGAGAGGCAGACACTCCCCTGCTGTCTCCTGCTCCCTGACTTGGCCTTCTCTGTACTCTGTTCCAGTTACAGAAGAAGACTGACAGCTTGACGTCTGGGGCCACCGAGAAGTCCAGAGAGAGAAGCAGAGATGTGAAAAACAGTGAAGGTAATGCTTGCTCTGCTGAAGTGGCATCTCAGCGCATACAATGATTCTGACAAAGGACAGAAGGAAAGAGGAAGGGGAGAAAATCTGAATTTTGGAATACCTTTAAATGAATGGAACTTTTTTTTTTTTTGAAACTAAGTCTCGCTCTTGTTGCCCAGGTTGGAGTGCGATGGCACGATCTCAGCTCACTACAACCTCTGTCTCCTGAGTTCAAGTGATTCTCCTGCCTCAGCCCCCTAAGTAGCTGGGATTACAGGCATGAGCCACCATGCCTGGCTAGTTTTTCTATTTTTAGTAGAGATGGGGTTTCACCATGTTGGCCAGGCTGGTCTTGAACTCCTGACCTCAGGTGATCCACCCACCTCGGCCTCCCAAAGTGCTGGGATTACAGGTGTGAGATTGCGCCTGACCAAATGAATGGAAATTTTATTTCTTGCAACTAATCATTAGAATTAGGCTCTTAAGGCTGGTGGCTCATGCCTGCAATCCCAGCACTTTGGGAGGCCAAGGTGGGCGGATCACTTGAGGTCAGGAGTTCAAGACCCAGCTTGGCCAACATGGTGAAACCCTGTCTCTACTAAAAATACAAAAATTAGCCAGGTGTTGTGGCGTGCACCTGTAGTCCCAGCTACTTGGGAGGCTGAGGCAGGAGAGTCACTTGAACCTGGGAGGTGGAGGTTGCAGTGAGCCCACATTGCGCCACTGCCCTCCAGCCTGGAGAACAGTGAGACTCCATCTCAAAAAAAAAAAAAAAAAAAAGTGAGGCTCTTAAAGAAGGGGAACATGCTTTAGTTAATAGAAAAACATCAATAATTAGCATATGTATCACTTATAAGAGTAAGTACTTTTTAAAAGTGCAATTGAAGTACTGAAAACTTTTCACAAATCACGTGTTTGCTTTATATGGCTTTGAGCATTTTCCTCTGTACTTGTTGATACTAGTCATTCAGCTCACGGGGAATGCAGAGCAGCCGTTTGTTCACCTCATAATAAGGTCACACTAATGGCCAGGCACGGTGGCTCACGCCTGTAATCCAAGCACTTTGGGAGGCCAAGGCGGCGGATCACGAGGAGATCGAGACCATCCTGGCTAACACGGTGAAACCCCGTCTCTACTTTAAACACAAAAAATTAGCCGGGCGTGGTGGCGGGTGCCTGTAGTCCCAGCTACTTGAGAGGCTGAGGCAGGAGAATGGAGTGAACCCAGGAGGCGGAGATTGCCGTGAGCCAAGATCGCGCCACTGCACTCCAGCCTGGGCAACAGAGCGAGACTTCGTCTCAAAAAATAAAAATAAATAAATAAGCCGGGCGCAGTGGCTCATGCCTGTAGTCCCAGCACTTTGGGAGGCCAAGGTGGACGGATCACAAGGTCAGGAGATCGAGACCATCCTGGCTAACACGGTGAAACCCTTCTCTACTAAAAATACAAAAAAAATTAGCCGGGCGTGGTGGTGGGTGCCTGTATTCCCAGCTACTCGGGAGGCTGAGGCGGAGCTTGCAGTGAGCCAAGATCGTGCCACTGCACTCCAGCCTGGGTGACAGAGCGAGACTCTGTCTCAAAAAAAATATAAATAAATAAGTAAATAATAAATAAGGTCAGACTCCATCTCAAAAAAATATAAATAAATAAATAAACAATAAATAAGGTCACACTCTCCATGTCTAACAGATAATTCAAGAGATAGTGCATCAAGCATGCAAGGCTCAGGGCAGGACAAACGGGACATGGCTCATAAGAGGAGCTGCAACAGGCTTTGGCATCCAACACACCTGGTTTTGAGTCCAGGCTTGCCAATTACAAGCCGAGAGATGTGCACAAGTGTCCCAGCCTCTCTGAACCTCAGAGCCCCAGTCTCTAAGCCAGAGGCAATAATACCATTGTTACTGCTGTTTTAGTGATTAAACAGTCAAAGTGCTTGTCTGGTCCCGATGAAGTGCTCAGTCAATGTTGCCATTTAATTTTTAAGTCAGTTCATATTTTTCAGTGGGTCAGAAAAGAGATCAATATTGTTTTACTTTGTCTAAATGTGTTCAGCAATATATCTGATGGCCTCTTTCTTTTAAAATGGTCTGTGTGTCGGCCGGGCACGGTGGTTCACACCTGTAATCCCAGAACTTTGGGAGGCTGAGGTGGGCAGATCACTTGAGGTCAGGAGTTCTAAACCAGCCTGGCCAACATGGTGAAACCCCATCTCTACTAAAAACACAAAAATTAGCCAGCTGTAGTGGCGTGCACCTGTAATCCCAGCTACTTGGGAGCCAGAGGCAGGAGAATTGCTTGAACCCAGGAGGCGGAGGTTGCAGTGAGCCGAGATCACGCCACTGCACCCCAACCTGGGCAACAGAGCAAGACTCCATCTCAAAAAAAAAAAAAAAAGTCTGTGTATAATCCTGTAACGTTTCTGCGACTGCTGGCACTTTTTTTTTTCCTTCTTTTGTGAGACGGAGTCTCGCTCTGTTGCCCAGGCTGGAGTGCAGTGGTGCAATCTCGGCTCACTGCAATCTCCACCTCCCGGGTTCAAGCAATTCTCCTGTCTCAGCCTCCCGAGTAGCTGGGATTACAGGTGTGTGCCACCACGCCTGGCTAATTTTTCTATTTTTAGTAGAGACAGGGTTTCACCATGTTGGTCAGCCTGGTCTCGAACTCCTGACCTCGTGATCCACCCACCTTGGTCTCTCAAAGTGCTGGGATTAAAGGTGTGAGCCACCGCGCCCTAATTCTAACAAAAACAAATCAGTCATCGTTTCCCTTCTTCCAGGAGACTGTGCCTGAGGAAAGCGGGGGGCGTGGCTGCAGTTCTGGACGGGCTGGCCGAGCTGCGCGGGATCCTTGTGCAGGGAAGAGCTGCCCTGGGCACCTGGCACCACAAGACCATGTTTTCTAAGAACCATTTTGTTCACTGATACAAAAAAAAAAAAAGGAATTCATGATGCTGTACAGAATTTTATTTTTAAACTGTCTTTTAAATAATATATTCTTATACGGAAATGGGTACTGTACTTCTTCTTTGGTAGAGTTGTGTATGCTGCTTCCGGTAAGTTCTCTCATGGAGACGAAGGACACTGTGCTTTTCCCCCAGATGTATCTTAGAGCAATTGACCAGTGTGATGCGGTGCGTACGTCCCTGTAAATTCAGCATTAAATGTCAGCACGGTGCCCTGAGTGCAAGGACATGCACGGGTCCTGTGTTTCTGAGCAGAGGGGGACGTCAGTGCCGTGTGTGGGACATCTGGGGACTGAGGCAGGTTGGCCAGACTGTAGGTCGTGTGTCGGAGCAAACGCACCCATGACCATGGGGACAACACACACTGGGTGCTCATGTGGAGGAAGGCTGGTGACTTCACACTTAAATCCTCAGATAAGGAAAAGAGACACATGTATTCAGCACGTCTGAGGGTCTCTATCTCGGGAGGAGAGACGGCCCTCCCTTCCTGCCTTTGTTTTGGTAACAAGCACAGGGGACATTCTGGGTGGCACTGTGTCCACACAGGGGACCCAGCCCCCGGCTTGTTCATGGTCAGGCTCTTGTTGCTGGGACAGTCGCACCCCTGAGCTCTCACTGAGACCGCCCGCATGCGGTGGACTCCTGGAGACCCGATTTATAAAAAGCAAGGAAAAGGCTGCTGGCTGTGTCCCCTGGGCTGTGGGCTCCATCTCCCCTGCGCTCTAGAGACAGAACCACCTCCCGAAGCGCTTCACCCTACAGAGCTCACCTTTAAAGCCACTGGCGTGGTCTGAGCTTAGTAAACATTTCATTTCTGTTTTGGGTCACTTTCCTTGGGGCATTTGTTTCCTTTTGGTGAATTCCAGAATATTACTTCCCACCTTCAAATAATTCATTTTTTACCTGTAAAATTTTCCATCTCGAATCCAGCCGAATACAGATAAGGGACCTTGATTTCTACACCCCTTCTTGTTTCTGCTTTTGTTTTTCATTTGAATCCTATTAAAGCCAATAGATATGGCAACGTTGGCAAAAATAGAAGCAAAACGTAGGCGTGCGGATATTGATGCCCTCCACCTTCCTGCCAGCCTCTATGGGGGATGATTACCTGCTCTCCTCATCTGTAACAAGGCTCTTTCAACAGCACCTTCATCTGCTACATTACTTGGAATGCACATCTCACTAAACGGTGCCCCTCATCAAACTCCATACAACACTTCCTTGAATTTTACTATCATAAACAGAAACAATCACATGCACACACATGGACATGTATACACTCCTACACATCAGCACACTTCCTCTGGTTCTAGGCTATACTGCATCCTGAAACAATTAAATGACTGAGATCCATTAGGGGAGGCATCTAGAGAGCATCTACTGTTTTTTTTTTTTTTTTGAGACAGGCTGGAGTGCAGTGGCGCGATCTCGGCTCACTGCAAGCTCCGCCTCCTGGGTTCACACCATTCTCCTGCCTCAGCCTCCCAAGTAGCTGGGACTACAGGCACCTGCCACCACGCCCGGCTAATTTTTTGTATTTTTAGTAGAGACGGGGTTTCACCGTGTTAGCCAGGATGGTCTCGATCTCCTGACCTCGTGATCCACCCGCCTCAGCCTCCCAAAGTGCTGGGATCACAGGCATGAGCCACTGTACCCGGCCTGACGGCATCTACTGTTAGTCCTGGTTGGTGTGCAGCCAGCCTGGTCTCCATGCACGGGACCCCCAGAAAGCCCACCAACCCACCCTCCTGTCACACAGAGCAGTCCCTGAGGCCCCACGGTTGGAGGCCACGTCCACCCTGGTCAGCCTGCACACCCAGAGCCTGCCCGCACCAGGAGGCAGCCACACGGATGAGCTGAATCATGGGCTGCATGTGGCAGTGGAGGCTCAGGACAAGACAGATGTGCCTACGGCCCCGGAGAGCTCTGGGTCCAGCAGCAGAGGCGTTCCCCCAGGCCTGGGGGCATGCCCAGCATAGGGAGTGAGTGTGCAGACACAGGGTCCCACCCCCATGAGCACAACCCACTGAACAAGACGCCCCTCTGGGGTGAGCGGCACCATCTCCACCTAGGATGATGTGTTTCCAAGTGAACTCTCACCCGACAATCAGTATTAAGTCAGCATGAAGGGTAAAGATGTTTACAGCTGAGCCACATGCACGTCAGGAGACAGGAGCAGCAATGCCTGGGGCTTTCCACGGTGAGCTCCCAGCACACAGCAAGCATGTCGCCAGAAAGAACAGAAAGTTCACAAAGGGAGGGCCAGCCTGTGCACAGCCTAGCACCGTCCTGGGAGGCCATCATCACCTGTGCTCCTCTGAGAGGACAGGAAGATGCTGTTTTCCACTTTTTTCTCCCCAAGACCGTTTATTAGCAATTGAAGGAACAACGCATGTATCAAAGACTGGATTTGAGAAATTCCAACAAATCTGCCCCCTCGCAGTTGGGAGCTGGCATCGTGCAATCTTCGGAATGCAGCCTCTGGCTCTCCCATCAAAAGGCAACGCAGCCCCCTGTGATTTCAGCTTTGACCTTGTGGGTAATAAAAGAAGGAAAGAGGAATGTCTGCTACTGGAATCCTGGATGGGGTCCCCGCGGCCGAATCCCCCCTCCCGTCCCCTCCTGTGTCACCTGTCATGTCTCAGACTTTGACCGCCTCCCGCAGCTTCCTTTTATTCGTAATGTCTAAAGCCAACCCAAGCGTCTTTGCCGGCTGACGTCTTAGCCAAATCATGTGGGAAACCCGTGAAGCAGAACTGACCGCTGTGAGGGCTGGGAGTACACTGGGCATCTGAAATACTTCAGCCCAGGAAAACGTCCATCAGTGGACACCGTCGGTTCCCAGGTGGCCTCTGGAACAGGAAAGCAGTCACCCCCTCGTCCGATCCCACAGGAAACCTCATTCCACTCTAGTGGCAGTGGCTGGGGCTAGATCCCCCTGAGCCAGGAGACGACGGGCAGTGCCCGGACAAGGCTGTACTCTGTCCACAGCTCCTCCACTGTGGCTATGAGGGAGGTTTAAAAATCTCAGTCCAGTGGGGGGGGTCAGCCCCCTGCCCGGCCAGCCGCCCCGTCTGGGAGGGAGGTGGGGGGGTCAGCCCCCGCCCGGCCAGCCGCCCCGTCTGGGAGGGAGGTGGGGGGGTCAGCCCCCCGCCCGGCCAGCCGCCCCATCCAGGAGGTGAGGGGCGCTTCTGCCCGGCCGCCCCTACTGGGAAGTGAGGAGCCCCTCTGCCCGGCCACGACCCCGTCTGGGAGGTGTGCCCAGCGGCTCATTGGGGATGGGCCATGATGACAATGGCGGTTTTGTGGAATAGAAAGGCGGGAAGGGTGGGGAAAAAATTGAGAAATCGGATGGTTGCCGGGTCTGTGTGGATAGAAGTAGACATGGGAGACTTTTCATTTTGTTCTGTACTAAGAAAAATTCTTCTGCCTTGGGATCCTGTTGATCTGTGACCTTACCCCCAACCCTGTGTTCTCTGAAACATGTGCTGTGTCCACTCAGGGTTGAATGGATTAAGGGCGGTGCAAGATGTGCTTTGTTAAACAGATGCTTGAAGGCAGCATGCGCGTTAAGAGTCATCACCACTCCCTAATCTCAAGTACCCAGGGACACAAACACTGCGGAAGGCCGCAGGGTCCTCTGCCTAGGAAAACCAGAGACCTTTGTTCACTTGTTTATCTGCTGACCTTCCCTCCACTATTGTCCTATGACCCTGCCAAATCCCCCTCTGCGAGAAACACCCAAGAATGATCAATAAAAAAAAAATAAAAAATAAATAAATAAATAAATAAAATAAAAATCTCAGTCCAAAGGCTTTCACCGTAGTCTGTCTAAGGGACAGATAACATCGTCTCTCTGAATTTGGGAGGGGACTGTTCTCTGTTGGTAGCCAAAAGGGGCCCAGCAAGGTGCTAGGGTTCCAGTCTCCCTGAGTCCTCAGGCAGGTCTTCCCAGCCCCCACCCTGGGACTCCCTGCCCTGCTGCAGGGGAACGTGAGGGTCAGGGGTCCCCAGATTCCTGGGAGCTGGGGCCGGTGCCCTGGCAGAAACACGGCCTCAGGCAGGGTCCAGGGCCTGTGGGGGTGAGTCACGTTGTTATGGGCTGAATTCTCTCCCCAAAACTTACGTCCAAGCCCAACCTGGTGCCTCCCAGTACCGTATTTGGAGACAGTGCCTTTAAAAGGTGGTTAAGATAACATGAGCTGACTGGGGTGGGCCCTGAGCCACTTTGACTGAGTCTTACAAGAAGAGGAGGTCGGGGCACAGATGCACATGAAGGGCGCCAGGGAAGGACAGACCCTGACACACAGAGGAGTGGGGACTCAGCAGAAGCCAGCCCTGCCAACACTTGTCTCAGACTTTGAGAGGTAAGTGTCTGTCGTTTAAGCCCCCCGCCAAGCTCACACACACACACACCTGTGTGCCTCGCTAGGGCTGCCCCAGCAGACTCACACATCACACCTCCCTCACCACCGAGTCCCTGGGCAGCAACGTGGGCCCGGCTCACAAGCAGTGCTGGAGACAGCTTGAGCTTGGGTTGACTGCGCCAGCATAGCATGATCTCTCTCTCTCTCTCTCGCTCTCTCTAAGGAAAAAAAGAAGATAAGAACTAGAGAGTCAGAAATGTCATCTCTTTCTTTCTTTTCTTCCTCCTTTCTTTCTTGCACTCCAGCCTGGGCAACAGAGTGAGACTCCATCTGAAAAAAAAAAAGGAAAGAAAGAAATTGATTTTATTAACCAAAACTAGTAAAGGGGAAGTGGCCAGATAGCCATCCATGGCAACCACTTCAATTTTGGGGAGGAAGGCAGGGGTTTAAGAAAGGAAAACTTGGCCGGGCATGGTGGCTCATGCCTGTAATCCCAGCACTTTGGGAGGCCAAGGTGAGTGGATCACCTGAAGTCAGGAGTTCATGGCCAGCCTGGTCAACATGGTGAAACCCCGTCCCTACCAAAAAAAAAAAAAATTAGCTGGGCATGATGGCAGGTGCCTGTAATCCCAGCTACTGGGGAGGCAGAGGTGGGAGAATCTCTTGAGCCTGGGAGGCGGAGGTTGCAGTGAGCTGAGATTGCACCACTGCACTCCAGCCTGAGCGACAGAGCGAGACTCTGTCTCAAAAAGAAAGAAAGGAAAACGTGATAAGGAAGAAATACGAGAATTGGGTGGGGTACAATGTCTGTGTGTCTCGAGTGGCTGTCTTGGGTCCCCATCCACCTGGGTCTCAGGCTGGCATCACCTCAACAGTGGCCAGGTGGTGAACTAGCCACCTTGATGTCATCTGTGGCACTTTGCAGCTTGATCTCCAGGCTTGGTCTGTCTCAAGATTAGCCCCTGGAACGTCTAAGAAGGTGCATAATGAGATGCGTGCATAATGAGATGCGCACATACAGTTAGAGAACTGTGAAGCGGGTATAGACAGTGAGAAAGGCGGGGACGTGAAGCCTACTTTAAGGCTAAGGGAAAAGGCTTCTGCAGTTCGCTTCAAGGTTATATCTTAAAATCCAAGAGAAAGGGGAAAAAAAGTTAAGATGCATTTTGAAGTTAAGCTGCCTGGTTACAAGTGAAAATACATAAGAGTACTGGTTTTTTTCCGGTTAATCCTAACTTTTCTAATATATTTTGCTAGCAGATATTTAAAATCTGGTGGTTTAGCCAAAGAATTTGGGACAGCAAGACTATACAATCTTCCATCCGCTGCAAAGAGATGTTCGTTTTTTCTCAGCGTTTCTGAGAAGCTGGAAAACAAGGTGAGCTGCCGCCTTGGACACCCTCCTCTTAATTCTGGTTCCTTCCTGCTCGACATGGGGACGGGACAGTCCGACGCTCCCTCTCATGGGAATGTATTTGCAGACATCATATCATGGAAAATACTAAACACAAGTGTTGCCTCAGAAGCTCACGATGAGCCGGGTTCACGCCGGTGTAATTCTGCGGGGGCCGGACCCTGAATCTCATGCACGCGCGGCTGCGAAGGCGACGCAGCTTCTGCCTCTGAGCCGCCTCCTTCGATACATCCCGTGGGAGCGGGAGCCACACTGAGCGCCAGGTCTGCGGCCAGCCGGGTGGGAAACAGGCGCTGCTGCCAGCAAGCTCCTCCCACTCTGCTCACCTGCCCCGAGGTTCCCAGAAGTTCTCAATCAGTACCATGTCCTTTCCCCTTCTCGAAGAAAAACACTGTTGGCAATGGAACAGCGCATCCCATTATCCTCCTGTCTTCACCAGGAACAGGCTCCCCAGACAGCAGACACTGTTTTCCGCGAGCCGGAGGCAGCCAGATTTGAGCCCAGATACCGCCATGGCCACTCCTGCGAAACCCTAGAAAGCCAGGGACATATTCAGGGGACTTCTCTTGCTCCAAGAAGCCGTGCCTGGCAGTCAGCGCCTGCACACAGGCAGCTCCCATGGCAGGAGCATGGGTGGCCAAAGGGGCCAAGGTTCTCTGTTGTCAGTCCTGCCTCGCCTGCCTCCCCTCCCTCCCCTGCCTCTCCTCCCTCCCCTCTTTCCCGTCCCTCCCCTCCCTCCCCTCTCCCCTTCCTCCTCTCCCTCCTCTTACTCCCCTCCCTCCCCTCCCTCCTCTGCCTCCCTTCCCTCCCCTGCCTCTCCTTTCTCCCCTCCCTCCCCTCACTCCCTTCCCTCTCTTTCCTTCTCTCCCTCTCCTCTCTCCTCTCCCTTCCCTGCCTGCATGACCTTGAGCTTTTCCTCTGTTAGTCCCAGGAGCAGCTGCACTGGGTCAGGAGTTTCTGAGCCTGGCTGGTCCTCAGGCCGTCTGTGGACACTGAGACACGCCCCAGCCCTGAGATTCTGATTCTGTAGGCCTGTTCTGGTTGCCAGGTCTGTTTTGCCAAGCTGTGTGTTTCTGGTGCAAGGCGTAGGGTGCGCGCTCGATGGCCTCCTGGGTGCTGCCATCTGCCCATCTGTATCTGCATCTGATGCCCGTGAGGAGACATAATGGAAGCAAGAGTGTGGGGTGGGAGGCCCTAATTGTTTCAGGGAAGTGTCCCAGCTTGGAAGTGGATTCTTGCAGGGGCTCTGGTCTGGTGGAGAAAGTGGAGAAGGCAGCCTGGGGACGTGGCTGGGTGGGGAGTGGGCGCAGGCACAGAGCCAGCCTGCATGCTCCTTCTCTCCCTCCATGGACATAAGGACAGTGAAGTACTGTCCATACCACCGCGTCCAGGCATCTCACACGCCCTACACCTGAGAAACGGAGCTGAAAAATGAATTTGTGCTGTCCATCCACCACATCAGAAAGACGAGGGACAGTGATGCCTAGTGTGGGTCACCAGAGAGGCCCACAGGGGACCCCTAACCTGCTACAGTTGTGCTCTAGTCATTTGTTTCTTGGCATTAGGGGCACTTTAAACCATCAAATTAACAACCTCACCATAGTAACAACCTGTTCAATGTCACCAGGGGATCCTAATTGGCTCACAGTTAAGCCCCTTTCAACCTTCGCACTGTCGTGGTTGTCAGGACTGCCAAGCCGCCCTCCCATGCCTGCTCCTCATGCCTGTCCACTCTACAAGCCAGCTGTAAAACCCCTGCCCCCACCCTCTGTGTCGGTCCATGGTCACCACCCTGTCACCTCCAGCATCAGTCACGCCTCCGTGGTGGGCGTGGGGGCCCCACCCGAGGCTCCCGGGCATTTCTCTGATGGCTAATGAGACTGATCTTTGATTTTTGATCTGCTCATTGGCCATTCAGCTTCCTCTTCTGTGATGTGGTGGCCTCTGCCCACATTCTGCTGGGGCAGTTTGTCTTTTCCAAGTTGATCGCAGGTTTTTTTCTGGTTTTTTGTTTTTTGTTTTTGAGACAGAGTCTCACTCTGTCGCCCAGGCTGCAGTGCAGTGGCAAGATCTCGGTTCACTGCAACCTCCACCTCCCGGGTTCAAGCGATTCTCCCACCTCAGCCTCCCAAGTAGCTGGGATTACAGGCACCTGCCATCATGCCCAGCTAATTTTTGTATTTTTACTAGAGATGGGGTTTCACCGTGTTGGCCAGGCTGGTCTTGAACTCCTGACCTCAGGCGATCCGCCCGCCTCGGCCTCCCAAAAGTGCTGGGATTACAGGCGTGAGCCACCTCACCCAGCAATCAGATCACAGTTCTTTTTAAATTCTGGATTCTGATCCCTTGCAGTTAACTCTATGTCCTATTACATCTTCTCCCGTAATAGGTGATCCAGGAGGCTACAACAGGCTGAAGTCTGTGTGTCCCACACATTCCTATGTTGAAATCCCAACCCCCGAGGTATTAGGAGGTGGAGGCTTTGGGAGGTGATGAGGTCATGAGGGGAGCGTGAGACTGGTCCCCTTGCAAAAGGGACCCCAGGAAGCTCTGTTCCGCCACGTGAGGATGCACACGAAAGCAGCACCGCCTGCAGCCTGGAGCAGCACCCTCCCCAGAACCCGACCATCCCACCCCGATCTGCGATCTGCGGCTTCGGACCTCCAGGGCTGAGAGAGCCCAGGCTGCAGGGCAGAAGCCCCACTCTCCAGCCCCCGCCTGAGCTGCATAAGGCGGCCGCCCTTCCTCCACCCCCCTCTCTTCCGGGTCTCTGCTTGCGCTGGTTTCCTGTTGTTGCTGTAACAATTGCCGACGGAGCACCACAGATTCCCTCTCTGACAGCCCTGGGCGTCAGGAGCCCACAGGCCCTGCCACAGAACTGAAGCCAAGGTGCCAGCTGGACTGCTTCCTTGCCAGGGACCTGCAGGAAAATTCATCCTGGCCTTTTCTGTGGCCTTGCCCATGGCCTCGCCCATGGCCTCTTCCTCTGGTTCAAAGCCCATCATTCCAACCTCTGCTCCTATCATCCCCTCCCCTCTCCTTCGTTCCCTCTCCACTGCCTCTCCCTGCCCTCCTCTGCTGCCCTCCCGAAAGGACCCGAGGTGATACAGGCCCACAGGGCAGTCTGGCACAGCCTCCCCCGCTTCAGGTCCGGGGTTTAATCACATCTACAAAGTTGCTTTGGCTGTGGGAGCCAACGCTCACACGTTCCAGGAATTAGGACCAGGAAATCCTGGTGGGAGGGTGGGGGCAGATTCTGTCCTCCACCTGGCTGGGGGACCAAGTTGGCAGCGGGGCCTTTCCTGACTGCCCTGTCAGAAACTGCAGCACCACCCTACCCCACTCCACCTCACCCCTACCTCACCCCACCTCACCCCTACCTCACCCCACCTCACCCCTACCTCACCCCACCTCACCCCACCCCACCCTCATCCCACCACACCCCCACTCCACCCACCCCTACTCCACCCCACCTTTACCCCACCCCACCCCTGCCTCACCCCACCTCACCCCACTTCCACTCCAACCCACCTTACCCCGCCCCTACTCCACCCCACCCCTACCTCACCCTCATCTCACCCGACCCCACCCCACCTCCACTCCAGCCCACCCTACCCCATCCCCACCCCACCCCACCCCCACCCTCATCTCACCTGACCCCACCCCCAGTCCACCCCACCCCCACTCCCCACTTTGGGTACAAAAACCAGAAAAGCCCAGGCGAACGGCAGGAGGAGGTAGGTGTCCCGGCCCCATGCGCGCCACATGGCTGGCTTGTTCTGTCTGTCATTCCCCTACTCCTTGTTCTGTCCGGGGTTCCTCCAGCCCCACACCTCAGCATGCCTGTGATGCCACCCTCAGACAGCCGCAGGCCCCGCCCTGTGGTGGTCCCCAAAATTCCAAGTCCGACTCCAATGGCCCGAGACCGGCCAGGCTGGCAGTTTCATCTGGTTAGGGATGCGTGGGCTCCTCCACATTCCACCTTTTGAGATGTGCTGTAACCTTCTACCTGGACCCCAGACAGACAGGGTCAGCCGAAGCCCCAGGCACTCCTGGACTCAGGCACCCGTGACTGGCAGCAGAGCACGTCCCCTAGCCAGGGCCACGTTTGTCATGGGATCGCTGGACATTGGCCACCAGAATGGTGCTGGCATGCTGAATTGGGGTGGTTCAAAGTGTCTGTATAGATAGGCACCCTGCAGAACCTCCCTTCCTAGGATCCTGAACTCCCCAGGGCGGCCAGGTGGCTGGGACATGCTAAGGGTTCAGTGACCATTTGTGGGATGAGTGGGTGGATGTGAGTTGTGGTTGCCAACCTAAAGAAGCATGGAGGACAAAACCCACAGGGCAGATTGTGCTGGGGGACAAGGGGGTCCCCTGGTAGGCAAGTGTATTCATGTGATGTGTGTGCCTGGGCACGTGTGTACATTATGTGAGGACGTGCACATACCACTCACCTAGCCCTGCTTCCAGCTAAGAGAAAGGAAGCCAGAAACATGCAAAGATGCCAAGCAAGCACCCTGGGCACGGTTTTCCAGACCTCGCAGGGAACAGAGTAAAAGCTAGGAACGCTGGGCTTCACGAAGGAGCAGAGGGGGCAGGTGCGGAGGGAGGAGGCCGGCAGAGAGCAGGTCCCTCCTGGAGCAGCGCGATCGGGCGCCGAGGCCTCATGCAACATCCGACAACTACTCATGGCAAGGAGAATTCTGGACTGACTTTCTATTGTTTTGATTAAAAGTAATTTTATCCAAAAATCCAAAATGTACTGGACGTGCCAATCAGAATGGAACAGAAGGAAATGCCGCACTACCTGGCTGCCTCTCCCCTCGGCTGCTGGTGGCTGCCCATAGACCCCTGTAAACAGCTGATGCATGTCCCACCTGCACCATAGGGCCTGGAGGAAGCGGCTGTAGCAGGACTCGCAGAGTTCCCCGTGCGTGGCCACCGGCCCTGCCTCCATCGCTGTTGTCTCCCCGCAGGCCAAGGCGAGGCAGGTGGGGCGCACTGCATGGCTCTCAGGGGAAGGATCCACTCAGATGTTCCCTCTGCCCATCGCCTGCCCACCTTGGACTGCCCACCATCCTGGATGGAGCCACTGGAGGCTCCCGTGGCCCACACTGGCCCCTCCAACACCCCTGCTAACCTCAGGCATGGCCCATCGCTGCAGCTGTGTTGGGGTGCCTCTGCCATCAGGATGTTGCCCACACAGAAGCCACCTGCTCTGCAGAGAGCAGGAACTGGGGGTTAGGACCTGCATGTGTCGTTTTGGAGACACGATTCAACTCACGACACTCTTATAGTCTTAGCTTTCCCATCTGTCAACTTCTACCTCTTCAGTTGTTGTGAAGTTTTAATAAAATGAAGTCACGCCAGGCAAGTGCTTTGCATGAGGTCTGGTGCTCCTCGGGTACCCCTCGGGGCCTGCCTCATCTCTCCTGTGTGTGGAGGCATCGTTACTCCTATTCCAAGCAAGCACGGGTGGAGCTGTTAGTTGGGAACGTCTTTTCCTCAAACAAGCCAGGATCTGAGGAAAGCAGAGGGCAGGAACTGTGACCAAAAGAGAACAACAGACTCAGAGTACATGTGGAGATCTGGGATCTGCCAGCGGGGTCTCCCTGAGAGGCCTGGGATAGCTCAGGGGCTCTACAAACTGGGTAGTGTGACATGGGAGGGGGAAACTGATGGAAATGGGCAAGAAGGAAAAGGTTGACAGGGAGGTAAGAACCCAGGAGAACAAATCATGACCATAACCTACTTGGTCAATTTCAAACCTAAACTTTTGCCTTTGACTGCCTGGACACAAAAGGAGAGTGTGTCAGCTAGCCCTGGCTGTGTAACAAACCTCCCCAACACTTAGTGGCTTGAACAACAATGTTTATTATTTCTCACAGTTCTGAGGGTTGACAGGCAGATTTTTTGGTCTGACCAGCCCGGCTGGAGCTGGCTGGTTTACGATGGCCTCAGCCACACGTCTGCCACTTCGTTTGCCAGCAGACTGCAGTTTCAAGCACACGTCTCTGTCATTGTGTGGCAGGCTAACAAGGCTCATTCACACGGTGACAGGTGGTTCCCAGCAGCCAGAGAATGTTAAGTCCTCCTAAGTCTCAAGCACTTTTCAAGTCTCAGTATGCACGGATCCTTACCTCTCATCGGCCACAGCAAATCACATGGTCAAGCCCAAGTTTAAAAACTCGCTTCACAGCTGGACACTGTAGCTCACGCCTGTAATCCCAGAACTTTGGGAGGCCAAGGTGGGTGCATCACCTGAGGTCAGGAGTTCAAGACCAGCCTGGCCAACATGGTGAAACCCTGTCTCTACTAAAAATACAAAAATTAGCCTGGCATGGTGGCATGTGCCTGTAATCCCAGCTACTCGGGAGGCTGAGGCAGGAGGATCGCTTGAACCTGGGAGGTGGAGGTTGCTGTGAGCCGAGATTGTGCCACTGCGCTTCAGCCTGGGCAACAGCAATAATGAGAAAAAAAAAGAAAAAAAGAAAGAAAAATCACTTAATGACAGAAGGAGCTGCAGAGAATTTATGGCATTTTTTAAATTTTTTATTTATTTATTTATTTATTTATTTATTTATTTATTTATTTTGCAATCTACCAGAGTGAGGAAGATGGCTAAAAGCAAGATTGGGAGTCATTCTTCAAGCATCTGTCTTTAAATGCCCTTTTCAGCTTTCTCTATCACCAAGTCCCTGCTGCTTTTTCTAACACTTTCAAGAGCTACTTGACTCCAGGGTCAGGGCACACCACAACCCTTTATTATAAAGAACAGCTGAGGCCAGGCACTGTGGCTCACGCCTGTAATCCCAACAGTTTGGGAGGCCGAGGCAGGTGGATCACCTGAGATCAGGAGTTCAAGATCAGCCTGGTCAATATGGCAAAACCCCATTTCTACTAAAAATACAAAAAAAAAAAAATTAGCTGGACGTGGTGGCACACACCTGTAATTCCAGCTACTCAGGAGGCTGAGGCAGGAGAATCGTTTGAACCTGGGACGTGGAGGTTACAGTGAGCCAAGATCGCCTGGGCACCAGAGTGAGACTTCGTCTCAAAAAAAAAAAAAAAGAGAAAAGAAAGAATAGCTGAAACGTTAACTTGGCATCCGATGCTATTCTCCTCGAACTCACACTGAAGGATTCCACCTTCTAAGACTATTGAAACCCTCCATGCGGTGCTCCGAGAGACTGCCGGAGACCTGCTGCTGATCCAGTTAATGCTACCCCAGCACTGACGGGGTGTTGGTTACAACCAGCGTGAGTCAAGGAGGGAGTTAGCACCTAACTTCCAAGACTCAGGAGTGTGTAAAAAATGAGTGCCTTACATCTGGTGTTATTTTACCTCACCAGTTTTTATACATAGGTGTTTATTTTAGCCAGCCATCAAAGGGACCTTAAAAATGTAAAGAATTCTTACACATTCTCCTTGCAGCACAAATCTGTAATTAAGGGATTCTCAAAAACGAGTGCAAAGTTTTATTCTGAGACCCCCAGTGCTCACCGAAATTGTCACATTTGGCCTTCCACATGGTGGGAGAGCAGAGTCACTCAGTTTCTGCGAAGTTTAAAGGAGATTTGAAGCTTTCAGGCAACGCTGAGGAAGGTGGATAACAGTGTTTTACAAGTGGGAGAAACTTCAAATTAAACAAAGCACAGCCAGGTGCAGTGGCTCATACATGTAATCCAGCACTTTGGGAGGCTGAGGCGGGAGAATTGCTTGAACCCAGGAGGCAGACGTTGCACCATTGCACTCCAGCCTGGGCGACAGAGACAGACTCTATCAGAAAAGAAAAAGAACAAAAGAAAGAAAAGAAAATTTACAAAATAAATATCCTTACAAAAATTAAAAATAATAATAATAAATAAATAAAACAGGCCGGGCAAGACAGCTCACACTGTAATCCCAGCACTTTAGGAGGCCGAGGTGAGTGGATCACTTGAGGTCAGGAGTTCAAGACCAGCCTGGCCAACATGGCGAAACCCTGTCTGTACAAAAAATACAAAATTAGCCAGGCATGGTGGCGCACGCCTGTAATCCCAGCTACTTGGGAGGCTGAGGCAGGAGGATCACCTGCACAGCCATAGAGAAAAAGGAAATCATGTCCTTTGCAGTAACGTGGGTGCAGTTGGAGGCCATTGTCTGAAGCGAATTAACGTAGGAAGGGAAGCCACATACCGCATTTGCTCACTTCCAAGTGGGAGCTGAACACTGAGTGCACAGGACGTAAAGAGGACAGCAACAGACATTGGAGACTATTAGACATGGGAGGGAGGAGCCAGGGCTGATAAACACCTACTGGGTACTATGCTCAGTACCTGGGTGACGGGATCAGTTGTACAAACATCAGATAAACACCTACTGGGTACTATGCTTAGTACCTGGGTGATGGGATCAGTTGTACAAACATCAGCATCACGCAATGTACCCAGGTAACAAACCTGCACATGTACCCCCGAATCTAAAATAAAAATTGAATTTTTTTTAAAAAAAGAACTTCTTATATTCTAGGCATAGTATGTTCAATATATATAATGGCAAATGAAGAAAGATAGTGTTCTTTCCCTCATCAATCCTAAAATAATATGAATCAAAAAATTAATTATGGGCCAGGCGCAGTGGCTCACGCCTATAATCCCAGCACTTTGGGAGGCCAAGGTGGGTGAATCACCTGGGGTAAGGAATTCGAGACCAGCCTGGCCGCCATGGCAAAACCCCGTCTCTACTAAAAATACAAGAAAATTAGCCGGGCGTGGTGGCGGGTGCCTATAATCCCAGCTACTCGGGAGGCTGAGGCAGGAGAATCGCTTGAACCTGGGAGGTGGAGGTTGCAGTGAGCCGAGATCGCACCACTGCACTCCAGCCTGGGCAACAAGAGAACACTTCATCTCAAAACAATTAGATTAAATTAAATTAATTACGGCAAGAGTAAGCAGCATTGTTGTTTGTTGACAAATGGCTTTGAGTTCTAAGACTGATCTTCATGATCATATCTGTGTATTAATGTATGTTATACATGAATATTCAATTCATGTAAGATTTCTGTTCACTACGTGGGTTACACAAGACACAATAAAGCAAAATTTCAAAATAAGAAGAAAGCATATAGAGAGATCCCATGTGCCGTTATTCTACATACTCGTCCTCTGTTGGATATAGGGCTTGCAAATAGTTCCTCCCAGTCTGTAATAAAAGGCCCCAGGTCTCCTCAATGCTCACATCTTCTCTAACATATCATGATGTCACAGGCAAGAATGGACAGTGACACACACGAGATTCAGAACACTCCCCAGCCACCTCCCAACTCACAGACATCCCTCCAGGGATCCACAGGATCCCTCCAGTGCCCCTTGTAAGACCCGTTTGTATAACCATTGAGGACATCCAGGCTAGTCCACTGTTTGGCTTTGACAGGTAAATCTGCTAGGAACATTGATCCACTGGTTGTTATGAACATGAGTCTTTGCCTGTCTGGGCGTGCCCAGGAGAGCAATCCTGGGGCTGTATAGTAATTGAACATGGAGTTTTGTAAGAAACTGCCAAACCGTTTTCCAGAACGGCTGCACCTTTTACATTCCCACCAGCAATGCACAAATCGGTTATCTTTTTGTTACTGACATCTAGTTTGATTCCCCTTTGGTCAAAGTACACATTCTGTATGATCCCAACTCTTTTACATTTATTGGGGTTTAATTTATGGCTCATTATGCAATCCATCTTGGTACATGTTCCATGAACGTTTGAAACAAATGTGTACAGCCAGTCATGGTAGCTCACGCCTGTAATCCCAGCACTTTGGGAAGCCAAGGTAGTGGATTGCTTGAGCCCAAGAGTTTCAGACCAGCCTAGGCAAAATGGTGAGACCCCCATCTCTACAAAAAATACAAAAATTAGCCAGGCATGGTGGTGTGTGCCTGTAGTCTCAGTGGGAGGCTAAGGGAGGAGGATTGCTTGAGCCTGGGAAGCAGAGGTTGCTGTGAACTGAGATCGCACCACAGTGCTCCAGCCTGGGCAACAGAGTGAGACCCTGTCTCAACAAAAAAAGAAAGAAAAATAAAATAAAAGAATGCGTACAGTGCTGTTGTTGGGTAGAGTTCTGTGAATGTGGAGAAGGTCATGTAGATTGACAGTGTGTTGAGTGCTTCTATGTCCTTGTTTGTTTTATGTCCAGCAACAATGGCAATGGTCTTTCACTGAGGGCTGCAGCCCCACCAGACAGTCATCTCCATGCAGCCATCTGCTCCACATCCAGGTGAGTCTCCTCTCTGCCATTTCAGACCTAAGGGAAGGCAGGAAAGGCACAGCTGCCTGCTCTCCCTAGCCCTGGAATACTGAGTTCTCTGCCCCCTGCCCACAGCTTTGTAAATAGTCCCATTACTAAACTTTCCTCAGTGACCCAGTTTTCCGTGATATCTCTGGCCCGCTGTGGCCTTATGACAGATATCCCAGGGGGCTACTGCCATTACCTAGGACTCCTATGGAAGAAATTCCCACTGAAAATGAGCTCACAGAGTGAGTCCATTAGGCTGTGGCTGTAATAAGATGCATAACGGAGACTTCCATTTCCTCTTAGAATGTAGAAAACTGCAAAGAACATTGCTCCCACACTAACAATGAGAACAGTCAGGTAATCCTCAACGCCACTGGAGAGGTGAATCACAGGGGAACAAAGTGAACTGAATTCCAAAAAGGATGGGCCCCTTCAAGCAGAGAGAGAGCACATGAACTGCTTTATTTTTGACAGGTGTCAAAGAAAAAAATATTCAATAACACTTGTGTCTTTTTTGGTTTTGGGGTTATTTTGTTTTGTTTTTTGTTTTTTTTGGGGGGGGAGGGTCTCACATCTCACTCTGTCACACAGGCTGGAGTGCAGTGGCACAATCATAGCTCACTGCAGCATCAACCTCCCGGGCTCTAGTGGTCCTCCCACCTCAGCCTCCCGAGGAGCTGGGACCACAGGTGTGTGCCACCAGCCCAGCTAATCATTTTTCTTTTTGAGAGAGATGGGGTCTGGCTATACTGCTTGAACTCAGGAGGTGGAGGTTGCAGTGAGCCGAGATCGTGCCACTGCACTCCAGCCTGGGCGACAGAGGGCGACTCCGTCTCAAAAAATAAAAATAAATAAATAAACTGACTTAGCAGGATTCTTTGCTAAAGCTGGACTTTACAAGAAGTGCACAGATGGTCCTAAGAGAAGTTTCTGGAGCTTGACTAAATTTTGGTCAAGCAGATAATCTTATTACAGAGTATAGAAGAAACAGTGGCCACCATATGGATGGACAAGAAAGATTCAGTAAAATTCTTAAAGGCGGGCCGGGCGCAATGGCTCACGCCTGTAATCCCAGCACTTTGGGAGGCCGAGGCGGGTGGATGAGGAGGTCAGGAGTTCAAGACCAGCCTGGGCAACATGGTGAAACCCTGTTTCTACCAAAAATACAAAAATTAGCTGGGTGTGGAGGCCCGCGCCTGTAATCCCAGATACTCGGGAGGCTGAGGCAGGAGAATCGCTTGAACCCGGGAGGTGGAGGTTGCAGTGAGCCGAGATCGCACCATTGCGCTCCAGCCTGGGCGACAGGGCGAGACTCTGTAAAAAAAAAAAAAAAGAAAAAAAATTCTTAAAGGCCAATTTGTGTGACAGATGGGGAGAGCTGGGGTCCCATACAGAAGGGGATCTTGCACTCACTTGTAAACGCTCCACCATGGGCCTTTAAGAAAGAGTGGGGACTGGCCGGGCGCAGTGGCTCACACCTGTAATCTCAGCACTTTGGGAGGCTGAGGCAGGTGGATCACGAGGTCAAGAGTTTGAGACCAGCCTGGCCAATATGGTGAAACCCCATCTCTACTAAAAATACATAAATTAACTGGGTGTGCTGGTGCACACCTGTAATCCCAGCTACTCGGGAGGCTGAGGCAGGAGAATTGCTTGAACCCAGGAGGCGGAGGCTGCAGTGAGCCAAGATCGCGCCTCTGCACTCCAGCTTGGGCAACAGAGCAGGACTCCACCTAAAAAAAGAAAAAAAAGAAAGAGCGGGGACAGGGCAGGTGATGACAGACAGCCCTTGTGGGTGATGTGGATGTGCGAGAGGGGATGGTGCTGGGGCAGGTAGGAGCCCCAGCTGCTCCCTGGACACTCTTACAAGCAGAAGACTTGAGCTGCTGAGGAAGGTGCATTAAACCGTCTTGCTCCCAGGGCATAAGCAAAGCTCCATTGATTCTAGGGCAGAAGAAAGGGAAAATCCCATCTGCCCTCAGTTAATTTAGAAAGTTTATGTTGTGAAGGTTGAGGACGCGCCTGTGACACAGCCTCAGGAGGTCCTGAGGTAAAGAAAGGCAGATTTGGCCAGGTGCGGTGGCTTCATGCCTGTAATCCTAGCATTTTGGGAGGCCAAGGAGGGCGGATCACCTGAGGTCAGGAGTTCGAGACCAGCCTGGCCAACACGGTGAAACCCTGTCTCTACTAAAATTACAAAAATTAGCCAGGCATGGTGGCATGTACCTTACAACACGTGCCCAAGGTGGTCGGGGCACAGCTTGGTTTTATACATTTTAGGGAGACGTGAGACATCAATCAATATAGGTAAGAAGTACATTGGTTCGGTCTAGAAAGGCAGGACAACCTGAAGCAAAGGCAGGAAGACTCGAAGCTGGGAGGGGGCTTGCGGGTCACAGGTGGGTGAGAGAGTTGCATTCTTTTGAGTTTCTGATTAGCCTTTCCAACAGAGGCCATCAGATATGCATCTATCTCAGTGGTGGGGGTGGGGGTGGTGACATTGAATAGAATGGGAGGCAGGTTGGCCCTAAGCAGTTCTCAGCTTGACTTTTCCCTTTATTTATTTATTTAGCTAGTTAGTTAGTTATTTTTGCAACGGAGTCTTGCTCTGTCACCCAGGCTGTAGCACAGTGGCGCGATCTTGGCTCACTGCAACTTCTGCCTCCTGGGTTCAAGCAATTCTCCCTGCCTCAGCCTCCCAAGTAGCTGGAACTACAGGCACGTGCCACCACGCCAGGCTAATTTTTGTATTTTTGGTAGAGACAGGTTTCACCATGTTGGCCAGGCTGGTCTCGAACTCCTGACCTCAGGTGATCAGCCTGCCTCAGCCTCGCAAAGTGCTGAGGTTACAGGCGTGAGCCACCACGCCCAGCAGACTTTTCCCTTTAGCGTAGTGATTTGGGGGTCCAAGATTTATTTTCCTTTCACACTATCTTGTTTCCAGGGCGTAAGCGAAGATCCACTGATTATAGGGGTGAAGAAAGGGCAAAACCTGTCTGCCCCAGGGAAGGGATGGAAAATACTCTTCCTCCAGGACCTTGGCAAAAATCCACCCCCCGTGAAGGAATGGTCAAGGGTGTGGACATGGGGCCAGATGGGAAACTGCCACCCAAGACCAACCACAGAGAAAAGGTGCTGCGGGGCGCCATACAGAGAGGAGAGCAGGGATGCTTGGAGATGGCCTCCCTCTGAGCTGCAAACCTGCAGGCACAGCTGAAAGCTGGGGGCAGGGGGGTGGGTAGGAGCCTGAGAAGGACCCCCGGCATGAGGTGGCTGCCTCCCACAGCTTGAGGAATTTGAAGTCTCCAGTGCGGTGCACTGAGATGACCATTACAACAAACCCACACCCAGCCCAACTGCTGACTAGATGGTGGTCTCACCGCCCCCACCAAGAACCTGGAGAAGATGAGACAGGCCAATTTCCAGGCACAAGGAGTCTGCCTACTTGTTCTAGTGATCACCGAGAGGGCACTGTAGATGTCTCCAGCTCTAGTTGTGGATTTGTTTATTTCAGTGTTTGTTCTTTCCAATTTTTTTGTATATTTTGAAGCTCTGTTGTTAGGTATACACACATGTAGGATTGTGATGTCCTAATGAAGACTTCATCGCGGGTGCAACTGGCTGGGGCCAGCGTCATGGTCAGTAAAAGGATTTACCGGCCAGGCACGGTGGCTCACACCTGTAATCCCAGCAGTCTGAGAGGCCGAGGCAGGAGGATGACCTGAGGTCAGGAGTTCGAGACCAGCCTGGCCAACATGGCGAAACCCCATCTCTACTAAAAATACAAAAATTAGCAGAGCATGGTGGCGGGCACCTGTAATCCCAGCTACTCGTGTGGGATATGATGAGGTTTCTCTTCAAATAATCTGATCAATCTTTTATTCTTTAATTCATAGTGCCTCCCCAACTTCTCCTTTTTCTCCTTTTTTCCTCTTCGCCTTTGTTAGATGCCCAGGCATGCCATAGTACTAGGCGTTATCAGTACCAGCTCCATTCCTTTCCTTATTTGGAAAGAGGACTAACTTTCTAGCTCATTACAGACACCCCTTCCCCTTCCTCTCCACTTTCTTTTATGTGCCTGCCTTATGTAAAAAAAAATCCAATGTTTAGCCAACCAGGATTAGTTTAGATTGTAGGACCTGACCCCAGCCAATGGGGAAAGGGTACAGGGGCGGGGTAGGACTTGCATCAGGAATAAAGGCTCTTGTGCCCCTTGTTCAGGTGTGCTCTCATGGCCATTGGCCAAGGAGGCACCCCTCTGCGCAGAAGGAAAATTGCTTTGCTAAGAATCCTTTGTTCGAGTGTTCAATTTCCTTAGGATTTTGAGCATTATTCCTAACACTCAGGAGGCTGAGGCAGGAGAATCCCTTGAACCCAGGAGGTGGAGGTTGCAGTGAGCTGAGATCACACCACTGCACTCCAGCCTGGGTGACACAGCAACACTCTGCCTCAAAAAAAAAAAAAAAAAAAGAATTTACCAAGACAGTCGTAGGTAAAGAAAGGCAGATTTGGCCAGGTGTGGTGGCTTCATGCCTGTAATCCTAGCACTTTGGGAGGCCAAGGAGGGCAGATCACCTGAGGTTAGGAGCTCGAGACCAGCCTGGCCAACATGATGAAACCCTGTCTCTACTAAAATTACAAAAATTAGCCAGCCATGGTGGCATGTACCTGTAATTCCAGCTACTCAGGAAGCTGAGGCAGGAGAATCCCTTGAAACTGGGAGGCGGAGGTTGCCGTGGGCCAAGATCGCGCCACTGCACTCCAGTCTGGGTGACAGAGTGAGACTTCATCTCAAAAAAAAAAAAAAAGGCAGATTTATTTGAGAAAATACGAAGGTGCGTTGCAAGGATGTAACAGGCAGCACAGCAGAGAAGGAGCTGTCTGCAAAGAGGCAGGGGCTGGAGGGAGGTTCTGCAGGTTCGTGCTGCAGGGGCTACGTCCTGAGCGAGGTAGTTGTGCCAGAGGGTTGCCTGTGGTTAGCCACCTCTCAGAGTAATTCTTCTCCCTCACCTGGGACCTCTTCCTCATTCTTGCTTACTTACCTTATCAGGACTCCACAGACTTGACCCCTTGATCTTTATGCAATATCCCTCTTTATCCGTGGTGTCAACCTAAACAGAGAGGGGCTTTCTAAAAGAAGCTGAAGTCTATTTGGGATTGGAGCACTGCTGTGGAAATCCGTGCACCATCATACACTCTGTGTTACTCAGGGAGGGAACACAGCGAGACGACGGGAAAATGAGGAGGGTCATATCATTGTTTTGAGATAATTATCCTTAGCTACGAAGACCAGTAACAAAGGTGGCACCAATCCAAGGTTGGGCAGGCAGTCGCTGGGCAGATGTCCTCACAGAAGGACCTTTGATGTGAGGTTGCAATGGCCTTTTTGCAAGGCTGTGGGTTTTGCATTCTTCTGGGATAGCTGTGCTGTCAGACATTCATGCTCAAGAACCGTCTCTTCCTGGTCTTCTCTGGCTTCTCTGTCTAGGCTTTTTTTTTTTTTCCTTTGTGATGGAGTTTCACTCTTGTTGCCCAGGCTGGAGTGCAATGGTGCGATCTCGGCTCATCGCACCTCCGCCTTCGGGTTCAAGCAATTATCCTGCCTCAGCCTCTGGAGTAGCTGAGATTACAGGAATGTACCACCACACCTGGCTAATTCTGTATTTTTAATAGAAACAGGGTTTCTCCATGTTGGTCAGGCTGGTCTCGAACTCCCGACCTCGGGCACCTCGGCCTTCCAAAGTGCTGGAATTACAGGCGTGAGCCATTGCGCCCGGTCACAAGGTTTTTGGTTTTTGTTTTTGTTTTTAACACAAGAGATTCCATTTTGATTCTGACAACTTTCACACTGGTAACATTTCTTGTACCAAGCTTTGTTTAATATGAATATTGCGTTCCAGCTGATTTTATAGTGTGTGTGTGCACAACATATCTTTTCTCATCCTTTTATTTTTAACCTATTGTGAAAGGAAAATAAATCTTGGGGCCCCCAAATCACTAAGCTAAAGAGAAAAGTCAAGCAGGGTACTGCTTAGGGCCAACCTGCCTCTCATTTTATTCAAAGTCATCCCTCTACTCACTGACACAGATGCATATCTGAACGCCTCCTTTGGAGAGGCAAGTCAGAATCTCAGAAGAAAACAACCTTTTGTCTCTTATCTATAGGTGGCCTGGAAGCCCCCTCCCCTGGCTTCCAGTCCTCCTGCTTTTGCTCTGAGTAGTCCCGCCTTTCCAGACCGAACCAATGTTCATCTTGCGTATGTTGATTGATGTCTCATGTCCCCCTAGAATGTATAAAAACCAAACTGTGCTCTGACCACCTTGGGCACGTGTCGTCAGGACCTCCTGAGTCTGTCACAGGTGCGCATCCTCAACCTTGACAAAATAAACTTTCTAAATTAACTAAGACTTGTCTCAGATTTTCCAGGTTCACACTATCTATGTCTTTATACTTAAAATGAGTTTCTTTTAGATAACATATAGATTTAAAAAAAGCATCCATGAACCATGAAACAGGTTATCGTTTTTAAAGGAGAATATTTTAAAGCAAATAAAAATGTTACTATAGTTATTATGATCCATTGACATAAAATATTTGACATAAGGATTATACAGTAAAGCAGAGACCAGTGCTGTAACACAGAAGATAAAGATTGAAAAAGTAACGAAAACTTTAGATAATGTAGACAAAAAGACTCAAACTTTGTAAAATATTTTAAGACATTTATTCTGAGCCAAATATGAGCGGCTGTGGCCCATGACGCAGCCTTCAGGAGGTCTTGAGAACATGTCCCCAAGGTGGTCAGGGCACAGCTTGGCTTTATATATTTTAGGGAGGTGTGAGATGTCAATCAAATATATTTGATAAATAGATTGGTTCAGAGAGGTGGGGCAACTCAAAGCGGGTGGGAGGGGAGGGTGGGGGGCGGGGCTTCCAGGTGAACGTAAACATTTTCTAGTTGACAATTGGTTGAGCTTCTCTAAAGACCTGGGATCCAGTAGACCAGGTACGGTGGCTCACACCTGTAATCCCAGCACTTTGGGAGGCCGAGGCAGGCAGATCAGAGGTCAGGAGATCAAGACCATCCTGGCTAACACGGTGAAACCCCGTCTCTACTAAAAAATACAAAAAATTAGCCAGACGTGGTGGCGGGTGCCTGTAGTCCCAGCTACTCAGGAGGCTGAGGCAGGAGAATGGTGTGAACCCGGGAGGCGGAGGTTGCAGCGAGACGAGATCGCTCCACTGCACTCCAGCCTGGGTGACAGAGCAAGACTCCGTCTCCAAAAAAAAAAAAAAGACCTGGGATCCATAGAAAGGAAATGCTCAGGTTAAGATAAAAGATTGTGGAGACCAAGGTTCTTCTGAAGTCTCATAGTAGCTGCCCTTAGAGACAATCGATGACAAATGCTTCATATTCAGACTTTTAAAAGGTGCTAGACTCTCGGTTAATCTCTTCAGGATTGGGAGGGCCGGAAAAAAAAATATCTGGCTATGTGAATAGAGATTCTTTACAGAAGCAGATCTTCCCCCACAAAGGATGGCTTTGCAGGGCATTTCAAAATACGGCAAAGAAACATGTTTTGGGGTTAAATATTTTGATTTTTTTCCTTGTCTTATAATGTTATGCCAGAGTCAGATTGGAAAGTCAGTAATGATATATACGGTTAAATAAAACCATCTGATGAGAATTTATGGTTTGCAGGGCATGACTCCCCAGACCCCTTCGATAGGAATTTGGGCAAGATAAAAAATCAGAGCTTAGTCCTCAAAAAGTTTAAGAAAATAGAGTAAGGAGCTCTAACATGCATTTTATAAAGAGAAAATGGAGAAAATGAAAGAGACAATATTCAAAGGTAAGAGAACTTCCAGGCCAGGTGCAATGGCTCATGTCTGTAATCCCAGCACTTTGGGAAGTCAGAGTGTTGTAAGTAAAGTTTCGGTGCCACAAAAGAAATTTTCTTGTAATTCCCAACAAGGCAAGTAACTTCTACAGAAGGGTGCGCCCTTACAGATGGAGCAATGGTGAGCGCACACCTGGACAAGTGAGGGAAAGGGGTTCCTATTTCTGATGCACATGGTCCCTACTGCTGTGTCGTTCGCCTATTGGCTAGGGTTAGACTGCACAGACCAAACTAATTACGACTGGCTAATTTCAAGAGAGTGATGAGGTGAGTGGGTTGGCAAAAAAAACGGTAATGAAATGAGTCAGGGTGGAGAATGAATCGGAATGAGTCGGTGGAGTAGGTCATCAGAATGAGTCCAGGTGGAGAATGAGTCAGGGTGGAGCAGGTAATTGAAAAACGTTGCTTTACAAGGAAGTTAAGTTTAAAAGTAGAAGGCAAACAATTGAACATACTGACATATTAATTCTTTGAAGAGAAATGTAGAATTCATATTTAACAAAAGCAGGAGGATTGCTTGAGTCCAGGAGTTTAAGACTGGCCTGTGCAACATAGCGAGACCTCATCTCTACTAAAAATTTTAAAAAATTAGCCAGGCATAGTGGCCTGCACCTGTAGTCCCAACTGCTAGGAGGGCTGAGGTGGGAGGATCACTTGAGCTCAGGAGGTGGAGCCTGCAGTGCGCCGTGATCGCTCCACTGGACTGCAGCCTGGGTGACGGTGAGACCCTGTCTCAAAGGAAACAAAAAAAGGAGAACTTCCAGACTTGGGGTAAAAAACTGTCCATTGGTTGGATACTATGTTTTGCTGCTGGTTATAGAAAATGAAAATAAGACTGATTTATCTTGATAGCATGAACATGACAGAGGCTTATTTTTCCTCATGTTGAGAAGACTGAAGAGAAGCAAGCATGAGGTCAAATACTAAGCAAACCTCTTGCCAGTCTTGCAGCTCCTCAAGAGCCTGAGAGCCACCTCTTTGGTGGTGGTGGTGGTGGTGGTGGTGGTGTTTGAGGTGGAGTTTTGCTCTTGTCGCCCAGGCTGGAGTGCAATGGTGCGATCTTGGCTCACTGCAACCTCTGCCTCCCAGGTTCAAGTAATTCTCCTGCCTCAACTTCCCAAGTAGCTGGGATTACAGGCATGTGACACCACACCCAGCTAATTTTTTATTTTTAGTAGAGAACGGGGTTTTTGTCATGTTGGCTAGGCTGTTCTCAAACTCCTGATCTCAAGAGATCCACCTGCCTCGGCCTCCCAAAGTGCTGGGATTACAGGCATGAGCCACTGCGCCCGTTCGGAACCACCTCTCTGAATCGTCAAGGAAGCTGACACCACCTTGCGGTTTCCTAGAGTTTCCTTTAGACTACGAAATACGGTGAGTTGACCAATTGTACCTTGAAAACCTGAAGGCCAGGGGTTGTATCTTTCACACGCGTCCGTGTGAAGAGACCACCAAACAGGCTTTGTGTGAGCAACAAGGCTGTTTATTTCACCTGGGTGCAGGCAGGCTGAGTCCGAAAAGAGAGTCAGTGAAGGGAGATAGGGGTGGGGCCGTTCTATAAGATTTGGGTAGGTAAAGGAAAAAGGGGGGTTGTTCTCTGGCGGGCAGGAGTGGGGGGTCACAAGGTGCTCAGTGGGGGAGCTTTCTGAGCCAGGATGAGCCAGGAGAAGGAATTTCACAAGGTAATGTCATCAGTTAAGACAAGGACTGGCCATTTTCACTTCTTTTGTGGTGGAATGTCATCAGTTAAGGCAGGAACCGGCTATTTAAATATCACTTCTTTTGTGATTCTTCAGTTACTTCAGGCCATCTGGATGTATACGTGCAGGTCACAGGGGATATGATGGCTTAGCTTGGGCTCAGAGGCCTGACATTCCTGTCTTCTTATATTAATAAGAAAAATAAAACATAATAGTGTTGAAGTGTTGGGGCGGCGAAAATTTTTGGGGGGTGGTATGGAGAGATAATGGGCGATGTTTCTCAGGGCTGCTTTGAGCGGGATTAGGGGTGGTGTGGGAACCTAGAGTGGGAGAGATTAAGCTGAAGGAAGATTTTGTGGTAAAGGGTGATATTGTGGGGTTGTTAGAAGAAACATTTGTCGTATAGAATTATTGGTGATGGCCTGGATATGGTTTTGTATGATTTGAAAAAAGAACGGAATAAGACAAGGAGAAAAACAGGTATTAAAGGACTAAGAATTGGAAGGACCCAGGACATCTAACTAGAGAGTGCCCAAGGAGGTTCAGCATAGCCCTGCCAGCAAAGATTATTTATTTACTTTAAGAGGGAGTTAAGAGTGGTGATTTAGGGATAGCACCAGTAGATATCAGCTGTGATGGCTTGGAGAAACAGTGTAAACCAGCAGTGTAAACAAGAGCAGGGCATTTATGAGTAGTTGAGAACGGCGAATAGGAGTATGATTAGACAGAAGATAGTAGGGATGACAAGTTTTGTTTTTTTTGCGGGGGGGAGGGCGCCGCAGTCCAACTTGGTCTGGTGTCTGGAATGAGACTGGGGCCTAATAAAAAGGAGCGTCTATACAGGAGCTCAAATGGGCTGTACCTTGTGGCATTCTGAGGACAGGCCTGAATTCTGAGGTCAAGTGGTAAAAGTATTGTCCAGTCCTTTTTAAGTTGGTGGCTGAGCTTGGTGAGGTGTGTTTTTAAAAGACCATTAGTTCACTGAATAAGAGCTTGAGAAACTGCTTGGCTGATTTGACTAATAAAGGCTGGTCCGTTATAGGACTGTATAGAGGTGGGAAGGCCAAACCGAGGAATTATGTCTGACAGAAGGGAAGAAATGACCGTGGTGGTCTTCTTAGACCCTGTGGGAAAGGCCTCTACCTATCCAGTGAAAGTGTCTACCCAGAACAAGAGGCATTTTAGTTTCCTGACTCGGGGTATGTTGAGTAAAGCCAATTTGCCAGCCCTGGGCGGGGGCAAATCCTCACGCTTGATGTGTAGGGAAAGGAGGGGGCCTGAATAATCCCTGAGGAATAGTAGGATATCAGATGGAACACTGAGAAGTTATTTCCTTGAGGATAGATTTCCACGATGGAAAGGAAATGAGAGGTTCTAAGAGGCGGGCTAGTGGCTTGTACTATAGCATAGCCTGCCTTTGCTGGTGTGTGGCAATTAGGCCTGGTGGAAGTGCCATCAATAAATCAAGTGTGATCAGGGTGAGGAACAGGAAAGAAGGAAATATGGGGAAACGGGGTGAATATCAGGTGGATCAGAGAGATACAGTCACGGGGGTCAGGTGTGGTATCAGGAATAATGTGGGAGGCCAGATTGAAGTCCACGCCAGGAACAATGGTTATTGTGGGAGACTCAACAAAGAGTGAGTACAGCTGAAGGAGCCGGGAAGCAGAAAGTATATGTGTCAGGTGTGAGGAGGAAAACAGATTTTGGAAGTTATGAGAACTGTAGAGAGTGAGTTGAGCATAGTTTGTGATTTTAAGGGCCTCTAAAAGTATTAGTGCGGTGGTGGCCGCCGCATGCAGATTTGAGGGCTAGGCAAGACAGTAAGGTCAAGTTGTTTGGATAAAAAGGCTACAGGGCGCAGTTCCGGTTCTCGTGTAAGAATTCTGGCTGCACAGCCCTGCACTTCGGCTGTGGGTAATGAAAAGGGTTGGGATGAGTCAGGGAGAGCTAGCGTGGGGGCCAACTCTAAAGCTGTCTTCAAGGAATGGAAAGAGGAGTGGGGAAAGGATTTAGGATCTATGGGCTCAGCTAGGTTTCCTTTTGTGAGTTTATATAATGGTTTTGTTAGGATGGCAAAACCAGGTATCTAAAGTCGAAAGTATCCAACCATGCCTAGGAAGGAAAGGAGTTGTTGTTTTGTAGAAGGTGTTGGGGTTTGAGAGATCAGTCGGACACGATCGGCAGGGAGAGCACGTGTGTTTTTATGAGAATTACGCTGAGATAGGTAACAGATGAGGAAGAAATTTGGGCTTGACTGAAGTAATGGGGGCTGGCTGTGAAGCCTTGCGGCAGTACAGCCCAGGTAATTTGCTGAGCCTGATGGATGTGAGGGTCAGTCCAAGTGAAAGCGAAGAGAGGCTGGGATGAAGGGTGCAAAGGAATAGTAAAGAAAGCATGTTTGAGATCCAGAACAGAATAATGGGTTGTGGAGGGAGGTATTGAGAATAGGAGAGTATATCGGTTTGGCACCACGGGGTGGATAGGCAAAACAATTTGGTTGACAAGGCACAGATCCTGAACTAACCTGTAAGCCTTGTCTGGTTTTAGGACAGGTAAAATGGGTGAATTTTAAGGGGAATTTGTAGGCTTTAAAAGCCCATGCTGCTGTAACAGGCGAGTGATAACAGGCTTTAATCCTTTTAAAGCATGCTGTGGGATGGGATATTGGCCTTGAGCAGGGTAAGGGTGATTAGGTTTTAATGGGATGGTAAGGGGTGCATGATCAGTCTCCAAGGAGGGAGTAGAGGTATCCTATACTTGTGGGTTAAGGTGCGGGGATAGGAGAGGAGGATGTGAAGGAGGCTTTGAACTGGGGAAAAGGGCAGCAATGAGGTGTGGCTGTAGTCCAGGAACAGTCAGGCAAGCAGATAATTTAAAGTGTCTCGGCCTAATAAGGGAACTGGGCAGGTGGGGATAACTAAAAAAGAGTGATAAAAGAGTATTGTCTAAGTTGGCACCAGAGTTTTAAGAGGTTTAGAAGCCTGGCCGTCAATACCCACAACAGTTATGGAGGCAAGGGAAACAGGTCCTTGAAAAGAAGGTAATGTGGAGTGGGAGCCTCCGTATTGATTAAGAAGGGGACGGACTTATCTTCCACCGTGAGAGTTACCCAGATCGTCTGTGATGGTCCTGTAAACTCCCGAGGTGATCGGGCAGCGTCAGTCTTCAGCTGCTAAGCCGAGAAGATCTGGGAAGGAGTCAGACAGCCTTGGGCCAGAGTTCCAGGCACTCTGGAAGTGGCTGCCAGGTGAGTTGAACAGCCCGATTTTCAGTGGGGTCCTGCACAGATGGGACATGGCTTAGGAGGAATCCTGGGCTGTGGGCATTCCTTGGCCCAGTGGCCAGATTTCCGGCACTTGTAGCAAGCTCCTGGGGGAGGAGTTTCTGGAGGAACCCCTGGCAGCTGCGGTTCAGGCATTTGGAGTTCTTGTGTGCTGGAGATGTGGCTGGGGTTTGTCTCACAGTGGAGGCAAGGAATTGCAACTCAGAAATATGTTACTACTTAGCTGCCTCTACTCTATTGTACACCTTGAAGGTGAGGTTAATTAAGTCCTGTTGTGGGGTTTGAGGGCCGGAATTTAATTTTTGGAGTTTTATTTAATGTCAGGAGCGGACTGGGTAATAAAATGTATATTGAGACTAAGACAGCCTTTTGACCTTTTAGGGTCTAGGGCTATAAAGCATCTCAGGGTTGCTGCCGAATGAGCCATGAACTGGGCTGGGTTTTTCATATTTGATGAAAAAGAGCCTAAATGCTAACTGATTTTGGGAGAGGTCGGATAAAGAAAAGGGAGCATTAACCTTGACTATGCCTTTAGCTCCAGCCACCTTTTTAAGAGGAAATTGCTGGGCAGGTCGGGGAGGGCTAGTCGCAGAATGAAACTGTAAGCCAGACTGGGTGTGAGGAGGGGAGGTGATAAAAGGATTATGGGGTGGGGGAGCAGAGGCTGAGGAAGAATTGGGACCTGGCTCAGCCTGGCAAGGAGCAGCCTGGGGAGGAGGCGTGAAGTCAGATGGGTCTGTAGAAAAGGAGAATTAGAAAAACTCAGTGACGCTTGGGATTGGGACTGAGAGGACAGGCGGGAGGGAAAGAAGGAGGATTTGGGACATGTCACATTGGGAACAGAGGCTAGGGAGGGAACAATGTGTAAAAGAATGCCTGGACGTCAGGCACCTCAGACTGTTTGCCTATTTTACGATAAGAATTATCTAGATCTTGTAGGATGGAAAAATCGAAAGTGCTGTTTTCTGGCTATTTGGAACCACTGTTGAGTTTGTATTGGGGTCAAGCGGCATTGCAGAAGAAAATAAGGCATTTAGGTCAGGTGTGAGTTGAAGAGGTTTTGAGTTCTTGAGAACACAGGCTAAGGGAGAAGGAGGAGGAATGGAGGGTGGAAGGCTGCCCATAGTGAAGGAGGCAAGCCCAGAGAAAAGAGAGAGTAGAGACACGGAGAGAAGGGGTTGAGGGGTTCTTGCCCCCTAGAAAAGCGGAGAAGGGGTAGAGACACGGAGAGAAGGGGTCGGGGGGTTCTTGCCCCCCAGAAAAGCAGTACTTGCCGCTAAGGGTGAAGGACCAAGGCAGGTGTCCCCGCATGGTCAGACACCTCTGAAATGTGGGTGAATAATCAGGCAGGCGTCCCTGTGTGATTAAACACCAAGGGAAGATTGTCTTCCCGAGTCTGTGACTGGCGCCAGAGTTTTGCGTCCATGGATAAAACACGTCTCCTGTCTCTATGAGAAAAGAAAAGGAACTGAAATTAAGAGAAGGGAGAGATTGAAGTGTGGCACCAAGATTGAAAGGAGAAAGAGGGTGAAGGATAGTGAGAGAGGTTGGAGAAGAGAGTAAGAAGAGGCCACTTACCTGATTTAAAATTGGTGTGATGTTCCTTGGTCTGGTTGGTCTGAGGACCTGAGGTCGTAGGTGGATCTTTCTCATGGTGCAAAGAGCAGGAGGATGAGATTGATCTCCCAAGGGAGGTCCCTCAGTCCGAGTCATGGCACCAAATTTCACTCGCATCTGTGTGAAGAGTCCACCAAACAGGCTTTGTATGAGGAACAAGGCTGTTTATTTCACCTGGGTGCAGGCAGGCTGAGTCCGAAAAGAGAGTCAGCCAAGGGAGATAGGGGTGGGGCCATTTTATAAGATTTGGGTAGGTAAAGGAAGAAGGGGGGTTATTCTCTGGCGGGCAGGAGTGGGGGTCACAAGGTGCTCAATGGGGGAGCTTTTTGAGCCAGGATGAGCCAGGAGAAGGAATTTCACAAGGTAATGTCATCAGTTAAGGCAAGGACTGGCCATTTTCACTTCTTTTGTGGTGGAATGTCATCAGTTAAGGCAGGAACAGGCAATTTAAATATCACTTCTTTTGTGATTCTTCAGTTACTTCAGGCCATCTGGATGTATACGTGCAGGTCACAGGGTATATGATGGCTTAGCTTGGGCTCAGAAGCCTGACAGTATCTAATCCACTTTGCTATACAAAGGCGTGAGATTCCTACTGTCTTTCCAATCCTTTGAGTGGATTCCTGGGATGCACATTACATTCTCGTTAAATGCTTCTTTGATAATGCAATGGCTTCCTTCCTCTTCTGCTTTGTGGAGAGGTTTTCTTGGGTTGGGAGGAGGCTTTGTTTCTAATTCTGCTTCCCCAGTACAGTCTTGGCTGGTGGAGCAGCTTTCCCATTTGTCAGCGTTTCAAGTCCTTTTATGTTTCTGCGTCAGTTTCCTTAATATGTGGCATTGTGGAAACAAGCAAAGACCACCTGCCTAAGACCAAGCACGCGCCGTGTATTCCGAGCTGGCTCTAGTGAGGGGGCCACCTCCACCACCTGCCTTTGGCAGAGACTCAGGGAAGGCATGGGGGAAGCTTGGTGATGGACGACAGACCCCGGGGTGCCCGGATGAGGCCTTTTTCAAAAGGAAGCTGGGCAGGCTCGTGGGAGCGGACATCCTAGGGGTGCATATTTGACTTTCTCTAGTTAGTCCAAAATTGGAAGCAGGGACAAAAATGAGGGAAGCTGACAGTTATTAATCAAATCCTGGGCAGTTTGGACCAATTGTTAGAGGGGTCATTGTTTGGCTTCCCTGACCAGTTACCTGTGGTAACAGGCTTACTACAGAGCTGACTTAGAGAGAGAAGGCTGGCTCCCGGGGCTGGTTACAGGGGATCACAGGTTGGTTTCCTGAGCTGGTTGCACAGATTATAATTCGGGGTTCTGTTTTTATATGAGGTCTGACCATTGTTCATTTGTATATTCAGTTTCTCAATATTTGCCATCAAGGTGACCTCATGGTCCTAATGTAGCAGGACGAGCCGCGGACAAAATCCCTCAGACACTGAGATAGTGAAGGGAGTGGCTTTAATCAGCTGGGAGCATGGGCAGGCTAGCGTCTTAAAATCCGAGCTCCTTGGGTGCTCAACTTCTGTCCCTTTTAAGGGCTCACAACTCTAAGGGGGTCCGCGTGAGAGGGTCGTGATCGATTGAGCAAGCCAGGGGGTACGTGACAGGGGCTGCGAGCACCGGTGGTCAGAGTGAAACAGAACAGAACGGGAGGTTTCACAATGTCCTTCCATACAATGTCTGGAATCTATAGATAACATCAGTTGCTAGGTCAGGGGTTGAATTTTAACTACCAGGCTTAGGTCAGGCAGGCCCAGGCCTGGTTTCAGGTCTGGTTCCTAGGCACCGGGCTACCTGCCTTTAGTTTTGCTTCTCTTTCTTTTTCTGAGTATAAAACAATATAAAACAATATGAGAGGGTCTCTCTCGTCCCTCACTAATGTGGTAGGAGTTATTAAGAAATTATTTTAGGCAGATAGGAAAAGTTTTCATTTCTTTTAAAGCAGCTCCAAAAACATTTCTTGTCTAGAAGGATAGCAGGGTGGCAACCTTTGATATGCAAATGGAGGATATTAGAAACTGGGTCCACCTAACATGGCAGTTCTCACGGTGTCCTCTTGCCCTTGCCCCCACATGTGCCTGGCAACATGACCGCCCCCACAGATCCCCACGTGTGTAGAACATCATGGCGCTCTGCATTTGCATATTAAAAGGCTAGGGTGGGAGGGTCAGCTTTTTCACAGGCCATGTGAATGACATGCCTGGTCAAACCAATGACCTGAGCCCTGTGCAAATCAGACGCCACCTCCTACGGTCTCTACATAAAACTGGCTGGTATCCGTGGCACTTGGGGTTTCCTCTTTAGGCTTTGGAGTCCCCCTCCCTCTGTCTCCGTATGAGGGAGCCTCTTCCTTCTGCCTTTTCTTTCTTGCCTATTAAACTCCCCGCTCTTTATAGCCATTCTACATGTGCCCCATGTCGTTTTATCTAAATTGCACAAGACAAGAACCTGGTGTTCCTCCACCCATCGGAGCCGTATCACTAATAGGCCACTGGAGATCCAGCCATTGTGACCACATTCCAGGCAGGAAGAAGAAAGCAGAAGGCAAAGAGCACGCCTCCCAAGTGAATCCCTATACAGGTTCCACCCAAATGCATTTGCTTCCATCTCTCTAGCCCTCTCTGCCTTCAAGGATGCGGGGAAATTTGTTTACTGGCACAAATCATGCCCCCAAAACAAGAGGACTTCTGTTGAAGGACAAAGGGACGCTGGATATTGCACAGGGAACCAACAATCTTGTTCACACCTTCAGCCTGAAAAATTAGAAAAATAGACCCAGGAGGAAAACACATTTATGAAGAATGCATCACTGAATATCATCTTGAATGTATTCTTCAATACGAAATAATTCTTTTAAGACAATTACTTTAATAAAGGATTGGTTGACAGTCACGATTATGTGCTCAAAATATACTCTTCTGATGCCTTCTCAAATCCCCCTGTCTTTACTCCCCACACACCCCATCTCCAGGGCACTAAGGCAGAGACAGAATGAAGGGTCAGTGTGCTGATAGAAACACAAGTTGACGACCACCCAAGGAAAACGAATTAGTTCAAAGAAGCAATACATTGGGAAGTTGGTCATTTGGCAAATTGGCTCTTCCAAGAATTGGCTTTTTGCAATTGCACTACAGCAAGTGAGTGAGAAAAGCAAAAGCCCCATGGGATGGGGAGGAAGATCTTCCCTAAAGACTGCAGGGGGCCTTCCTGGGGGGCCAGAGATCCTCTTCCAAGTTCGGTGAGGTCCCCGGGACTGGAGCCTTGAGTCTACCGCAGAGTAATGACTCCCTTTAAACTCTATCATCTGTAGCCGCTGGAAATGATTAAATGAAGCAAAAGCTGAAAATCATTGAGTTCAGGAGAGACTGTGTCCTAAAGACACGCAAGGGAACAAGTCCTTTGCATGTTTGAGACTGGAGTGTGCTCCAGCAGCTTGGGAAGCAGGGGCGCCTCGCTGGGGAACCACATTACAGGAGGGAAGGGGAAGAATAAGGGCCTTAAAAAGCCTTTCACAGCTCTCCAGGGTGGGCAGCTTTTAATCCAATGCATCAAAAGTTCTCAGGATATGAGAGCAACCATTATGTGAAGGACCCAAATGCTGCAAGCACACACACACATGCACATGCACGCATAGGCACACACATGCACACCTACAGGCACACACAGGCACGCACACACACGTACATACTCATCACAGGTACATGCATGCCCAGGCACATACACACATGCACAGGCACTCACACACATGTACATACACACATGCACAGGTACACATGCACAGGCACATACATGCACACACACAGGCACACACTCGCACACGCACAGGCACGCACGCACACTCACATGCACACACGCACAAGCACACATACACATGCACACATTCCACTGTCTTTCCTTCCCTGGGGTTCTCCATTTCCCCTGCTGCTAGCAGTGGATCAGGAGATGCTTTCTTTCCGTTTGCACTGAGATTTGCTCCTCACTTCTCTTGCTCTGGAGCTGCGACGTCCTGGGGAAGCAGCTGTGCGCAGTAGTTGCCCTCCCCTGAGCGAGCTGTCAGTCCCCCTTGCAGAGGACACACATAGTGACAGTGTCCTCCTGCCTCTCCCCACAGGAAAAACAAAATTGTCATTCCTCCACCAGAGATTCACTTTTCTCCATTAGGGAACTGTCCATTATTAAAATGCAAGGCGGTGACCGCCAGTTGATAAAAGGATGGAGAGTGCCTCCGAACCCTCCTGGGAGACTGGGAAATGGGAAACCCCAGGGAGGGAAAGGGAGGTGGTGCCGGTCCTGCTTTGATTCAATCGGAGCAAGAATACTTCAAAGGAAGAATAGAAAAATATTGGGTTGGAAGCTTTCTAAAAAACAAAAAGCAAGCATGGATGAATAGATGAGTCATTGACAATTTAATGGGAATTAGCTCCTCTAATCATTTCTAATTGCAACTGACAAGAAAGGGTTTTGATGCAGAAGAAAGCAGATATTTTGCAAGGGTGGAACCCTGGGTGATTCTGTTTGGGAACTGCTGACTGGAGCGGGAAGGGACCGCCAGGGGTGAGGAGGAAACACTTGGGTGGAGGCTGCAAAGGAGGCTCCCAGGCCCTAGCTTCGGGCTTTCCCGCACAGGGGCCTGCCGCCCTGGTGATCTCCCTTGGGCCAGCAGGGACTCTAGACTCTGCCTCTACAGCCAGATAGCTGGGTTTACATTCAAAATCTATTCTTTGGCTGGGCACAGTGGCTCACGCTTGTAATCCCAGCACTTTGGGAGGCTGAGGCGGGCAGATCACCTGAGGTCAGGAGTTCGAGACCAGCCTGGCCAACATAGAGAATCCCCATATCTACTAAAAATACAAAAAAAAAAAACATTAGCCAGGCATGGTGGCGTGCACCTGTAGTCCCAACTACTTGGGAGGCTGAGGCATGAGAATCACTTGAACCCAGGCGTTGGAGGTTGCAGTGAGCCAGGATCATGCCATTGCATTCCAGCCTGGGTGACAGAGCGAGACTCTGACTCAATTAAAAAAAAAATGCATTATTTGCTTAACCTCCTGGGCCTCAGCTGCCTTCATTAAAAGGGGTAAGAGTCACATCACCACCTTGTTGTGAAGATTAAATGAAATCATGAATGTGCACCCATGCAGGGGTAGGGCATAGCGCCCTATGCAGACATAGGGCATCCACGGAAAAGTCAGCTTTTACTGTCCTCACACAGTGGGAGGGAAATGTTTGGTTTTTGAGGGTTTTTTTTAATTTTTTTTTTTTTTTTTGAGACAGTCTCTGTCACCTAGGCTGGAGTGCAGTGGTGCTATCTTGGCTTGCTGCAGCCTCCACCTCCAGGGCTCAGGTGATTCTCCCCTCAGCATCCTGAGTAGCTGGGATGACAGGTGCATGCCACCAAGCCCGGCTAATTTTTGTATTTTTTGTAGAGATGGGGTCTCACTGTGTTGCCCAGGCTGGTCTTGAACTCCTGGGCTCAAGCGATCCACCCTCCTCAGCTTTCCAAAGTGCTGGGACTACAGGTGTGAGCCACCGCACCTGGCCATTGTTTTATTCTAGATCAGATGATGCCCACCTCCAGGACTGCCTCTGTACTGACCACACTCCCTCTTGGTATGGTCATCCATGGGTCAGGTGTTTGGTCTTGCATAAAAATGTGTCTATGTGTGGTAAAATATATACTGTATAACATAAATTTTATGATTTTAACTATTTTTAGTTTTAGGGACAAACTACCCCAAAAAGCCTCTTGGTACTGCCAACATTCCCCCCAGACCCCTCCGTGCTGCCCACCCCTCCCTGAAAGCTTTTTACATTTTTAAGCCCTTATCTAGGCACCGTGGTGAAGCCAGCAGACTTTACCTATCAGGCCTTGCTACGATAAACAAACCCCAATTACAAACCATCCGTACCCCACAGTGGGAGGTCCTGGGAAGCATAAACAAACTTTACCTACACCCTCCTGTAAGTTCCTTCATCTAGCTGCTACCATAAACGTCATAAGGTGATATATGGCAAAGTTAACCAACAAACGACCCCAGGGTCTCTATCCCCCATATAAACCCCTCATTTTGCAAGCTCAGGGCTGCCTCCTCTGTCTGTAATGGAGCAGCCGGCAGGTTAATCAAGGCTTGACTGAACTTGGGTCTCTCTGGCTTGTCCTTTCTCTCAGCTGACCCTACATTCAGGTGTATAGTCGTCAATAGAGAAAAATGACGAGACAAATCTCATTTTAGGAAATTTATTTGCCAAAGTTAAGGGCACACGCCTGTGACACAGCCTCAGGAAGTCCTGATGACATGTGCCCAAGGTGGTCAGGGCACAGCTTGGTTTTATACATTTTAGGGAGACGTAAGACATTAATCAATATGTGTAAGAAGTACACTGGTTCCATCCAGAAAGGCAAAGGCTTCTGTAAAAAGTAAAAGTAGAGGTTCCTCTTCAAAGACTTTCCTCCCCATGTAACTAGGAATAAATAGTAACTTCTCTTAGAAGCAAAATTTATTCAAAGACCTATGCTCCTAAATATTTGCCCTGGCATGCTTATACTGGTCCAAGCAAGCATTAGGTCATAGCCTGTTCCTCTTCCTTATTTAAAAGTTTTTTTTACCTTTCTCAGCATTCCACAAGTTACTTCCTCCTTCCTTTGTTCTCCTCTGCCTTTGCCTCTTTAAAAAAGTTCTAAGGTGCTAGCCAGTCGGGACAAATACAGAATGTGAGGTCCTGTTCCAGCCAATGGAAACCAGACACAACAGTAGGGTGGATGCGTCAGGTTATAAATGACCCTGTCTCCTTTGTTCGGTGTACTCTCATGGCAAAACTGCTGGTGAGTGTACCTTTTCTACAGGAAGTAAAAATGGCCTTACTAAATAAATTAAATTATGTCCAAGTGCTATTTCTTTATGGCACCGGGAGCAAGCATTTAAAAGACTTCCATGTCACAGGTAGGTGAGAGACAAATGGTTGCATTATTTTGAGTTTCTGATAAGCCTTTCCAAAGGAGACAATCAGATATGCATCTATCTCAGTGAGCAGAGGGGTGACTTTGAATACAATGAAAGGTAGGTTTGCACTGAGCAGTTTCCAGCTTGAATTTTCCTTCTAGTTTTTAGGGATTTTAGGGGCCCAAGATATTTTCCTTTCACATTTCCCCCCTTTTCGTCTTTAAAATCTTTTGGAGAAAGCAGTTTAGAAGAAAATGGATCTCTGATCTTAGGTTTTATGTGATTTCTTATGGCTAGGACAGTTTATTCCTAGATGGGCAGGTCCCAAAAGCTCCTTTTCAGCATGTTATGAAGTCTCATGTCCTGTGAAGAGAAAATAGGGGGAGGAAGGGAGAAAAACAACAACAAACAAAAGAACAATCCTGAAAAATTCATATAGGCCACATTACTCTGAAGTCTATACATCAGTAGGCAGGTATGAAAGTGGCTTATGTATGTAAATATGTTGCTGTTACTTTCTTCTGAAGTTTAAGTTATCTGGTTTCAGTTCACAGGGCTTTAAGAAAAAACAGCTTAGTTTTCAGTGATTCCAAATTAGAAAAAAAATTGAAAAAAAGAAGGAAAACAATTTAAAAACATTATTTTCTGTAATGAGTATACCAAATTGTTAAAAGTATACTAAATTGTTAAAAGCTGTCAATAGTTTAAAAGAAAAGTCTTAAGACTCTGAAAAACAAAACAAAGGATCAGCAAACATTTTAAGCAAAAAGTCAAAAAGATTAGTTCAGTCCATACAGGTAATTCCTGTTCTGCTTGATACTCATGAACATTTTAGCTCTCTATGAGTCCTGAAAGCTTTTCCTCTATTCTGATGTCACAATCTCCAAAGTTATCAGAAACCTGCATTGAAGAGCACCTGTTAGAGTTTTATAGCTGATTATAAAACCATCATTTTAATAGGACCAAAATAAGACAATTGTTCATGAATGACAAAAAATTTTAGGACAGCCATAGTCAAAGACACAATTGACAAGGAAACTTGTTACCTCTATGGCACACAATAATTTTAACATAACAATTATGATTATTTCTGATAATGTACACTAAGTTATATCAGAATTATAGGAGTTTCCCAAAATTTTGGAATACATACCAATAACGTATTTATACAAATACAGCCCAAAGAAAACCCAACACCATTTCATATTTGACAATGCTTCCTGTATACTTTTTGTACTAAATAAACCAAATTATGTCATTGTTTGGACTTTAGGGAACCTAATATCTTAAAGGATTAATTAGGTCAGAAAAAGACATAATTTATCATTTGATTTTGGAAAGTTTGTCAAATATGAAAGGTTTAAGACACTTGATATCACAAAGTAGGATCCCAGGTCATTGTAAGTCATTCATGCTGGGCATGGTAGCTCATGCCTGTAATCCCAGCACTTTGGGAGGCTGAAGTGGGCAGATCACCCAAGGTCAGGAGTTCAAGACCAGCCTGGCCAACACGGCGAAACCCCATCTCTACCAAAAATACAGAAAGTAGCTTGGTGTGGTGGTGGACACCTGTAGTCCCAGCTACTCGGAGGTTGAGGCAGGAGAATTGCTTGAACCCATAAGTTGGAGGTTGCGGTAAGCTGAGATTGCACCACTGCACTCCAGCCTGGGCAACAGAGCAAGACTCCATTTCAATAAAAATAAAATAAGTCATTCACTTAACCAAAGTGATAACAAGGATTTCAGGAAAAAGGTGAAAACCTTTATTCTTTGAGAGAGGAGACTTAATTTTCCAAACAATAATCCCTAATAAAAACAGCATGAATCTAATTAAATTTGTTGTTCAAAATTTTATAAACAATCTATAAAATTTTAATCTTGATCATAAGATATAGCTTCGTATGCCTTTTATACCCTTTATAACCTTTATTAAAGAGCCAGTTAATGCTTCAAGAAAACCTTGTTAATCTGACACAGGGGCCCAAATGCTTGTCTTGCATCAGTGTACCTTTGATATTAATGATTAATTTATAGATAAATTGAACTTATTTTATCTTTCAAAATTCGCTCTTACAATCTCATGCACCCACCTCTTCCACAATAGTCTCTGGGCCTTGAGGAGTTGAACAGCTTTAATTTTTTACTCTGTGTCTCAGGAATGAGTTTATTTTGACTGGCATCTTCTATGGGCCTGTAGATGAGGCTTCAATTGCTGTCAATGTTTAAGACTTAGCAGGACTAGGTGTCCTTTTTAGACCCAGGAGTCAAAGCCCTGTAATTCAGTGTCACAAGCACTTTAAAAGCACATACAGGAAGATACGTGGATGTAATAAACTTAATTTAAAAAATTTTTATCCCAGTTTTTTTTCCTAAGCAAACCAAAACTTAATAATGACAACTTGATCATATTAAAGTTTCAGGTTTTTTTTAATACATATATCCTCTTATTGAGACTTAACACTGACTGTTCATGACATGCTTGGACTTTGTTTTGTCCTGAATATTCCTCCTTCTTAAACAACCAGTCATTTTATTTTAGGACTAAATTTACCATAAAAAAATTATTTCTCTTTAAGCTTTCTTATGACAAAAAAAAACTATTTTTATAACTTTATCTCTGTTTTTATTTCCTGATTCCTTTTACCCTGTTGTATACATAACATTTAAATAAATTTTGAATTAGACAAAACTTGTTTACCTTTTCTAAAAAGGACACAGTTTTTTTTAGCAAAAATGTTTTCCTACAATATATATTTATTGGAAAATACCCAAATAATGCAGTATCTATTATTTAATTTTTTTGAGACAGTTTTGCTCTTGTCACACTGGCTGGAGTTCAATGGTGCTATCTCAGCTCACTGCAACCTCTGCCTCCTGGGTTCAAGCGATTCTCCTGCCTCAGCCTCCTGACTAGCTGGGACTACAGGTGCACACCATCACACCCAGCTAATTTTTGGGGTTTTGGGGATTTTTTTTTTTTTGAGATGGAGTCTTGCTCTGTTGCCCAGGCTGGAGTGCAATGGCATGATGTGAGTTCACTGCAAACTTCACCTCCTGGGTTCAAACGATTCTACTGTCTCAGCCACCCAAGTAGCTGGGATTACAGGCACCCACCACCACACCCAGCTAATTTTTTGTATTTTAGTAGAGACGGGGTTTCACCCTGTTGCCCAGGCTTGTCTGGAACTGAACTCAGGCAGTCCACCCACCTCAGCTTCCCAAAGTGCTAGGACTACAGACGTGAGCCACTGTGGTGCCCTGCCTCAGTTATTTCTTTATAGCAATGCAAGAAAGGACAAATATAGGATGGACTTGAGAACAGTAGACCTTATTACCTCATGTGGTTGCTATGAGGACAAAATGGGTTAATATTTTTAAAACACTAAAGGCAAGTCCTGGCACACAAGTTTCTATACCTGCTTACTAAGTAACCATTTTCCTGCTCTGCCATCCTTTGTGAAGTACCTTATGGGCCAAAATGGTGCTGAAGCACCAGCCATTATGACTGCATGACAGGAAGGAGGATAAGGCACAATATTTCCCCTCACACTTGGAAAAACAATTTTCTAAAATTAGGATTCCATCACCAAGGAGAAACATTCATTTTACTACACACTGCTGTGAATTTATCTCACTAAATAATGCTATTGTCTTTGTCCATTTTCTGTTGCTTATAACAGAATTCCTGAGGCCGGGTCATTTGTAAAGAAAGGGAATTTATTTCTTCCATTATGGAGGCTGAGAAATCTAAGGTTAAGGCACCACATCTGATGAGGGCCTTCCTGCTGGTGGGGACTCTCTGCAGCACAGGGTATCACGTGAGGGGCTGAGTGTGCTAGCCCAGGTGTCTCTTTCTCCTCTTATAAAGCCATTAATGCCACCACCATGATAACCTGTTACTCATTTACCCATTAACCCATTAATGGACTAATGCATTCATGAGAGCAGAGCCGTCAGAACACAACCACTTTTTTTTTTTTTTTTTTTTTTTTTTTTTTTTGAGACGGAGTCTTGCTCTGTTGCCCAGGCTGGAGTGCAGTGGCACAATCTCAGCTCACTACAACCTCCTCCTCCTGGGTTCAAGCAATTCTCCTGCCTCAGCCTCCTGAGTAGCTGGGATTACAGGCACCTGCCACCACGCCCAGCTAATTTTTGTATTTTTAGTAGAGATGGGGTTTCACCACATTGGCCAGGCTGGTCTCAAACTCCTGACCTCAGGTGATCCACTGGCCTTGGCCTCCAAAAGTGCTGGGATTGCAGGTGTGAGACACTGCCCCTGGCCCCAATCACTTCTTAAACTTAATCTCTACATTGGGGATCAATTTCTAAATGGGTTTGGGAAAGGACAAGCATTCAAACATAGCAGGTTCTTTTCCTCAACAATAAATTCCCATCTTCATTTTATTGGGATCTCACTGTCTGAGCTCTTTATTCTCTTTTCCCCAGGAAGATTGTGCTTGAGAAACAATCATCAAGTCTGTTGGTCCACATCTCCCGCGCACTCCCTGGATACCCCCAACAGGCCAATCCATCAAGCCACAGCTCAGTTTCCAGGGCTTTAAGAGAAGCAGAAGAAACGCTTCCACAGTCCTCATTGTGTGCAGGGAATGAGCATGAGTTATGGGGGCTCCTCAATGCTGAGCCTAGCCACCCCACTGCTGCATCCCCACAGCCCTTCCAGAGGGTCTCTATCCCTCCTTATCTAAGAGCAAATCCGGGCTCCATGTCACTGAGTGCTTACTCATCCCCAGGAAGAGGCAGTTGTTGCACTACGGGGTTTTTTTCTGTAATAAATGTCCTTTATTTTATCAGAGCATGGCACTGAAAGAAAAGAAATCAAATGTATAACTTGCAAACCAGTGGAGTGAGGAAAAGAGGAGGAGGTGCGTAAAACACAACCAACCCAAAAGAAGGGGGTTGATGCCAGTTAAAAAGTGGATGCAGTAAAAAGAAAATACGAAATAAGTTGGGAAAACTGAGTCAAAATATACTAGAATTCTATTTCATATAAATAATGTAGTCAGTTAAAAGACAGACTTCTTAAAGTAAAAGAAAAAAATCCAGCCATCTGCTGTTTACAAGAGACATACCTAAAATATAATGAAAAAAGGAGGACTAAGAAAAGAGTTGGGGAAAATATACCAAGAAAATACGAAATCAAAAGAAAGCTGTTGTCACAATTTTGATATCACACAAAAGTGACTTTGAGACAAATAGCTTTATTAGGGATAAAGAGGGTCCTGGCTTAGTAGTAAAAGGAAGAATTTTTGAGGAAAGGCAAACTTTGAACCTATGAGCCACCAAGTAAATGTTTTCAAATATGTAAAACCTAAATTCAAAAAGTTAATATATTTTCAACTTCTTCCATTCCTCTTCCTTCTCCTTCCTCACTCTCTCCTTCTCTCCCTTCCTTAATAATTTAGTTTAAAATCTATTAGACTGAGCAAGGTGATGGTGGGCCCCCTGGTGGCATGAAGCGCAGCAGCAGGAGGAGGGGCAGCATCACAGGCCTGGAGTAGGTGTCAGAGTCCAGGTGGTGGAGGGGCCAGGATGGCAGACCAGCGTAGGATGGTAGGGTGGCAGGGCCCAGCTGGGCACTATGGACCAAGTTGTATCCCTCAACATTCAAATATTGAATCCCTATGTGACTACATTTGGAGATGGGGCTTTTAGGAGGTAAATAAGGAAGGTTCCATGAGGTCATAAGGGTGGGACCCTCATCTGATAGGACTGGTACCCCTCTAGGAGAGAAGAAGAAAGTCTATGTGAGAACACAGCATGAAGGTAGCTGTCCACAAGCCAGGAAAGGAGCCCTTACTGGGAACCCGACCAGGCCAGCACCTTGATCTCAGACTTCTTGCCTCCAGAAGCCCCAATGCAATGAGGAGGTATCCACGGGACCTGGCCCCAGAATTGTCCTGGTGCAGAGTTCCAGATCCCAAAAGGGATGAGGAGAGTTTACTTATGGGGACAGCAGTGGCCCACAGAGTGCCAGGACCCGAGAAGAGTGGTCAGGACATCCATGTTAGGAGGTGGGTCATCCACTGGAAATTGGTCAGACACTGGGGATTGATACAATAGTAAATACACTGATGATAATGGGAACCAGGTTTCTCACTGTTGGAAAAGGGAGTCACAAATCTGGAAAGGGAGAAAATGAGAATGCGCTCCATGGGGTTGGGTCGGAGGAACTGGTGTGCACTCATGGTCTTCAATATAAGTACAGAAATAGATCCGCATAGAAATGTGTGTATTAATATGCTTGTTTCCTTGCTCTGTCCACTGAGAAGGCCTTAGACCTCAACAGTAATGAATACACCTAGAGCTCAGATCTTGGTTTCTAAATACCATTCTCCAATATATAAAATCAGGGCTCCCTGGAGAAATGGCTGATTGTAGAGCTTGGGCAGGAAAGGTACAAAATAAGCCTGAAATCTTTTTTTATAGAAACAAGGCAGTGCTCAAAGAATGATGGGACATGTCAAAAAACAACACAGGGGAAAAGAGGTGGAGCAAGATGGCCAAATGGAATCCTCCACCAATTGTCCTCCCAAATTTAACAATGATCTACACAAAAAAGCACCTGCATAAGAACTAAAAATCAGGCTGGGCACGGTGGCTCATGCCTATAATCCCAGCACTTTGGGAAGCTGAGGTGGGTGGATCACCTGACATCAGGAATTCAACACCAACCTGGCCAACATGGCAAAACCCCATCTCTACTAAAAATACAAAAACTAGCCGGACGTGGTGGCAGGCGCCTGTAATCCCAGCTATTTGGGAGGCTGAGGCAGGAGAATCATTTGAACCCAGAAAGTAGAGGTTACAGAGAGCCAAGATCAAGCCACAGCACTCTGGCCTGGGTGATAGTGTGGGACTCCATCTCAAGAAAAAAAAATAATAATAATAATAATAAAAAAATGAGGTGAGCAATCACAGTTTTAACTTCGTATTACTGAAAGAGGCACCACAGAGGGTAGGAAAGGCACTCTTTAATTGCTGACACCATCCCTCTGCTGCCCGCTGGCAGCTGTCGCATGGCACAGAGCAATCATCTGTGTGCTTGTGGGAGGGAAGGTGCAGTGATTGTGGGACTTTGCATTGAACTCAGTGCTGCTGCTTTGTCACAACAGAAAGCAAAACTGGGCTGAACTCAGCCAGCGCCCACCCATGGAGGGAGCACTTAGACTAGCCCTAGCCAGAGAGAAATTGCCCATCCCAGTGACTGGAACTTCAGTTTGGGCAAGCTTTGCCACCACAGGCTAAAGTTCTCTGGGGGCCTAAATAAACTTTAAAGGCAGTCTAGGCCACAAGGACTGCAACCCCTTGGCAAGACCTAGTGCTGTGCTAAGCTCAGATCCAGTGGACTTGGGGGACATGTGACCTAGTTAGACACCAGCTTGGGTGGCTAAGGGAGTGCTTGCACCATCCCTCCTCCAACCCCAGGCAGCACAGCTCACGGCAATGAAAGCAACTCCTTCCTTCTGCTTGAGGAGACAAGAGGGAAAAATAAAGAGGACTTTGTCTTGCGTCTTGCATACCAGCTCGGCCACAGTAGGACAGGGCACTGGGCAGAGTTGTGAGGCCCCTATTCCAAGCCCTAGATCCTGGATGATACTTCCAGACACACCTGGGCCAGACAGAAACCTACTGCCTTGAAGGGAAGGACTCAGTCTTGGCAGGATTCATCACCTACTGACAAAAGGGCCCTTGGACCCTGAATAACTAGTAACGATACCAGGTAGTACACCACGGGCCTTGAGTGAGACTGAGATGTGCTGGTTTCAGTTTCTATCTCGGCCACAATGGGGTAGAGCACCAAGTGGGCTCTTGGGGTCCCTGACACAAGGCCTTGTCTTTTGGGTTCCCTGAGCAAGGCAATTCTGGACCTGCCTTGGGCAAGGGGGTGCCCATTGCCCTGAAGGGAGGGTCCCAGGCCTGGCAGCATTTACCACAAGCTGACTGAAGAGCCCCTGGGCTCTAAGTGAACACTGATGGTAATCAGGTAATACTCTCCATGGGCTTGTAACGGTAGTAGCCATGGGAGAGGCTCCTCTGCTTACGGAAGTGGGAGGAAAGAGTGGGAAGAAATTTGTCTTGTGGTTTGAGTGCCCACTTAACTGTAATAGAATAGAACACCAGCTAGATTTCTAAGGTTTTTTGAGTCCAGTTTCTGGCTTCCAGATGGCATCCCTGGACCCACTTGGGGCCTGGGGGAACTCACTGCCCTGAAAGGAAGAATATAAGCCTGGCCGGCTTCACCACCTGCTGATTGTAGAGCCCTATGGCCTTGAGTAAACATAGGCAGTAGCAAGGTAGTAATTACGGCAGGCCTTGGGTGAGATTCAGTGTTGTGCTGGTTACAGGTCTGACCCAGCACAGTCCCAGTGGTGGTAGCCACGAGGGTGCTTGTGTCACCCTACCCTCAGCTCCAGGCAGCTCAGCACAGACAGACAGACTCCATTTGTTTGGGAGAAAGTAAAGGAAGAGAACAAAATCTCTGCCTGGTAAGCCAGAGAATTCTTCTGGATCTTATCCAAGACCACGAAGGCAATACCTCTATGAGTCTGCAACAACCACACTGTTACAGGGCTTCAGGTGCCCCCCACCCCGCCCAGTGCAGATACAGCTTAGATCAAAACACCTAAGTCCCTTCAAATACCTAGAAAGCCTCCCCAAGAAGGATGGGTACAAATAAACCCAGACTGTAAAGACTAAAATAAATACCTAACTCTTCAATGCCCAGACATCAATGAACATCCACAAGCATCACAACCATTCAGGACAACATGACCTCATCAAATGAACTAAATAAGGCAGCAGGGACCAATCCTGGAGAAACAGAGATACGAGATCTTTCAGACAGAGAATTCAAAAGAGCTATTTTGAGGAAATTCACAGAAATTCAAGATAACACAGAGACAGAATTCAGAATTCTATCAGATAAATTTAACAAATAGATTGAAATAATTCAAGAGAGTCAAGCAGAAATTCTGAAATTGATACATGCAATTGACATAATGAAGAACATATTAGAGTCTCTTAATAGCAGAATTGATCAAACAGAAGAAAACATCAGTGAGCTTGAAGATAGGCTATTTGAAAACACACAGTCAGGGGAGATGAAAAAAGAATAAAAATAATGAAACATGCTGACAAGACCTAAAAAATAGCCTCTAAGGGGCAAATCTAAGAGTTATTGCCTTAAAGAGGAGGTAGAAAAAGAGATAGGGGTAGAAGCTTATTCAAAGAGATAATAATGAGAACTTTCTAAACCTAGACAAAGACATTAATATTCAAGTACAAGAAAGTTACAGAACACCAAGCAGATTTAACCCAAAGACGAGCACCTCAAGGCATTTAATAATCAAACTCCCATAGGACAAAGAAAGGATCCTAGAAGTAGCAAGAGAAAAGAAACAAATAACTTACAATAGAGCTACAATATGACTGGCAGCAGACTTCTCAGTGGAAACCTTACAGGCCAGGAGAGAGTGGCATGATGTATTTAAAGGGCTGAAGAAGAAAAAAAAAAAAAAAACTTTTACCCTAGAATAGTACATCTGGTGAGAAAATATCCTTAAATAAAGACTTTCCCAGACAAACAAAAGCTGAGGGATTTCACATTCTTTTAAATGCTGTATAATAACCCATAAAATGAATGTACCATATTTAACACGTAATGTTTAACACATTATTAAATGCCTAGGGGCATTATTCAATAATGAAGCATGCCTATAAAAACTAGAAAATAGCCTCAAAGGGGTGAATCTAAGAGGAGGTAGACAAAGAAACAGGGGTAGAAGTTTATTCAAAAAGATAACAACAAAGAACTTTCCAAACCTAGAGAAAGAGATCAATATTCAAGTACAAGAAGGTTATAGAACACTCCTCACCAGACTTGTCCTACAAGAAACGCTAAGAAAGTTTCTTCAATCAGAAAGAAAAGGACATTAATGAGAAGTAAGAAAACTTCTGAAGGTATGAAAGTCACTGGTAATAGTAAGTACATAGAAAAACACAGAATATTATAACACTGTAATTATGGTGTGTAAACTACTTTTAAGTAGAAAGACTAAAAGACGAACCAATAAAAAATAATAACTACAACAACTTTTTAAGACATAGACAGTACAATAAGGTATAGATAGAATCAACAAAAGGTTGAAAAGCAGAGGGATGAAGTTAAAGTATGGGGTTTTCATTAGTTTTCTTTTTGCTTACTTATGTAATCAATGTTAAGTTGTCATCAGTTTAAGATAACGCATTATAAGACAGTATTTGCAAGCCTCATGTTAACCTCAAATCAAAAAAATGCAATGAATAAGAAATAATAAAAAGCAAGAAATGAAATCATACCACCACAGAAAATCACCTTCACTGAAAAGAAGACAGGAAGGAAAGAAGGAAGACCACAAAACAACCAGAAAACAAATTACAAAACTGCAGGAGTAAGTCCTTACTTATCAGTAATACTAAACTCTCCAGAAAAGACATAGAGTGGCTGAAAGGATTTAAAAATAAACAAACAAAAACCAAAAAAAGACCCAGTTATCTGTTGCCTACAAGAAACACACTTCATCTATAAAGACACACACAGAGTGAAAATAAACAGATGGAAAAAGATATTCTATGAATATGGAAACCAAAAGACAGCAGGATAGCTACAGTTCTGTAAGACAAGATAGATTTCAAGAGAAAAACTAAAGAAGAGGCAAAGAAGGCCATTATATAAATAATAAAGGAGTCAATTCAGCAAGAGGATATAACAAGTGTAAATACATATGCACCCAACACTGGAGCACCCAGATACATAAAGCAAATATAATTAGAGCTAAAGAGAGAGATAGACCCCAATACAACAATAACTGGAGACTTCAACACCCCACTTTCAGTATTGAACAGATCTTTCAGACAGAAAATCAACAAAAATAATCAGACATAATCTCTGCTATAGACCAAATGGACCTAATAGATATTTATAGAACATTTCATCAAACAGTTGCAGCATATACATTCTTCTCCTCAGCACATGGATAGTTCTCAAGGAGAAATAATATGTTAGGTCACAAAACAAGTCTTAAAACATTCAAAAAACTGAAATAATCTCAAGCATGTTCACTGCCCACAATGGACTAAAACCAGAAATCAGTACCAAGGGGAATTCTGAAAACTATACAAATACATGGAGATTAAACAATATGCTAGAATCGCTCGAACCCAGGAGGTGGAGGTTGCAGTGAGCCAAGATTGTGCCACTGCACTCCAGACTGGATGATAGAGCAAGACTCCATCTCAAAAAAAAAAAAATTTTAAAAAAAACAAAAACAACATGCTCCTGAGTGACTAGTGGGTCAATGATGAAATTAAGAAGAAAACTGAAAATTTTCTTGAAACAAGTGATAACAGAAACACAATATGGGATAAAGCAAAGCAGTACTAATAGGGAAGTTTATAGCCATAGGGTCTACATTAAAAAAAAAAAAAAGATGCCAGGTGCAGTTTAATCCCAGCCTGGGAGGCCAGGCGCAGCCTGTAATCCCAGCACTTTGGGAGGCCGAGGCGGGTGGCTCACCTGAGGTCAGGAGTTCAAGACCAGCCTGGCCAACAGTGAAACCCCATCTCTACTAAAAATACAAAAAAATTAGCCAGGCATGATGGTGGGAGCCTGTAATCCCAGCTACTCTGGAGGCTGAGGCAAGAGAATCGCTTGAACCCGGGAGGCAGAGGTTGCAGTGGGCCGAGATTACACCATTGCACTCCAGCCCAGGCGACAGTGCAAGACTCTGGGAAAAAAAAAAAAAAAAAAAGAGAGAAAGAAAGAAAGAAGAAAGAGAGAGAGAGAGAAAGAGATAGAAAAAAAAGAAAAGAGAGAGAAAGAAGAAGGGAGGGAGGGAGGGAGGAAGGAAGGAAGGAAGGAAGGAAGGAAGGAAGGAAGTTCAATTAAACAATGTAACAATGCATCTTAAAGAAACAGAAAGGCAAGAGCAAACCCAACCCAAAATTAGTAGAAGAAAAGTCAGAGAAGAAACAAATGAAGTGAAATGAAGAAAACAATACAAAAGATCAATAAAATAAAAAGCTGGTTTTTTGGAAAGATAAAATTGACAAACTTTAGCCAGACTAAAAAAAAAAAGAAGATACAAATAAATAAAATTATAGATGAAAAAGGGGGTTATTACAACCAATATTGCAGAAACTCAAAGGATCATTAGTGGCTACAGTGAGCACTATATGACAATAAATTGGAAAATCTAGAAGAAATGAATAAATTCCTAGACGTATATAACTTGCCAAGATTGAAGCATGAAGAAATCCAAAACCTGAACAGACCAATAACAGGTAACAAGATTGAAACTCTAATAAAAAGTCTCCTAGCAAAGAAAAGCCCAAGACCCCATGGCCTCACTGCTGAATTCTACCAAACATTTAAAAAACTAATACCAATCCTACTCAAATTATTCCAAAAAATAAAGGAGGAGAGAATACTTCCAAACTCACTCTACAAAGCCAGTATTATCCTGATACTGAAACTAGACAGACACATCAAGATAAGAAAACTACAGGTCAATATCTCTGATGAATATTGATGCAAAAATCCTCAACACAATACTAGCAAACCGAGTTCAACAACACATTAAAAAGATCATTCGTTATGACCAAATGGGATTTATCCCAAAGATGCAAGGATGGTTCAACATACACAAATCAATCATCACTGTGCTACATTGTTATCAACAGAATGAAAGACAAAAATCATAAGATCATTTCAACTGATGCTGAAAAATCATTTGAGAAAATTCAATTTCACTTCATGATAAAAACTCTCAAACAACTGGGTATAGAAAGAACACATCTCAACATAATAAAAGCCATATACAACAGACCTACAGCTAGTATCATACTAAATGAGGAAAAAGTGAAAACCTTTCCTCTAAGATCTGGAACATGACAAGGATGCCTAATTTCACCACTGTTATTCAACATAGTACTGGAAGTCCTAGCTAAAGCAATCAGACAAGAGAAAGGAATAAAGAGCATCCAAATTGGAAAGGAAGAAGTCAAATTATTCTTGTTTACAGATGATATGATCTTATATTTGGAAGAACCTAAAGACACCACCAAAAAAACATTAGAACTGATAAATTCAGTAAAGTTGCAGGATACAAAATCAACAAACAAAAATCAGTAGCATTTTTATATGCCAACAGTAAACAATCTGAAAGAGAAATCAAGAAAGTAATCCATTTACAATAACCACAAATAAAACACCTACAAATTAACTTAATCAAAAAGTAAAATATCTCTACAATGAAAATTGTAAAACATTGATGCAAGAAATTGAAGAGGACATAAAAAAATGGAAAGAAAGTCCATGTTCGACCCAGCGTGGTGTCTCACACCTGTAATCTCAGCAGTTTGGGAGGCCAAGGCAGGCAGATCGCCTGCGGCCAGGAGTTCAAGACCAGCCTGGCCAACATGGTGAAACCCTGTCTCTACTAAAAATGCAAAAATTAGCTGGGCATGGTGGCGGGCACCTGTCATCCCAGCTACTCGGGAAGCTGAGGCAGGAGAATCACTTGAACCCAGGAGACAGAGGTTGCAGTAAGCCGAGATTGCACCACTGCACTCCAGGCTGGGTGACAGAGCAAGGCTCTGTCTCAAAAAAGAAAGGAAATTCCATGTTCATGGATTGAAAGAATCAATATTGTTAAAATGTCCATACTTACTCAAAGCAATCTATAGATTCAATGCAATCCCTATCAAAATACCAATGACATTATTCACAGAAATATAAAAAAAATCCTAAAATTTATATCAAACCAGCAAAGACTCAGAATAGCCAAAGCTATCCTGAGCAAAAAGAACAAAACTAGAGGAATCAGATTATCTGACTTCAAATTATACTACAGAGCTATAGTAACCAAGGTGCTAAGATTACAGGTGTGAGCCACCACACTTGGACTTGGCTCCTGTGAGTGTTTTTGTTTCTTTTTTTTAATTTTTAATTCTTGTGGGTACATAGTAGGTATATATATTTATGGGGTACATGAGATATTTTGGTACAGGCATCCAATGCATAATAATCTCATCATGGAATATTGGATTTCTAGCTCCTCAAGCATTTATCTGTTGTGTTACAAACAATCCAATTATACTCTTTTAGTTATTTTGAAATGTATAATTAGGCTGAGCACCGTGGCTCATGCCTGTAATCCCAGAACTTTGGGAGGCTGAGGGGGGTGGATCACCTGAGGTTGGGAGTTCGAGACCAGCCTGACCAACATGGAGAAACCCCGTCTCTGCTAAAAATACAAAATTAGCTGGGCGTGGTGGTGTGTGCCTGTAATCCCAGCTACTCAGGAGGCTGAGGCAGAAGAATCGCTTGAACCCAGGAGGCGGAGGTTGCAGTGAGCTAAGATCATGCCGTTGCACTCCAGTCTGGGCAACAAGAGCAAAACTCCGTCTCAAAATAATTATATAGATAGATAGATAGATAGATTACAATTAAATTATTATTGACTATAGTCACCCTGTTGTGCTATCAAATACTAGGTCTTATTCATTTTGTCCATTTTTTTCCCCCATTAACCATCCCCACCTCCCCTACCCTCCCACTACCCTTCCCAGCCTCTGGTAACCATCCTTCTACCTTCTATGTCCGTGAATTCAATTATTTTGATTTTTAGATCCCACAAATAAGTGAGCACATGTGATGTTTGTGTTCTGTGCCTGATTTATTTTCTTTAACATAATGACCTCTAGTTCCATCTATATTGTTGCAAATGACAGGGTCTCATTCTTTTTAATGGCTGAATAGTACTCCACTGTGTATATGTACCACATTTTCTTTATCCATTCCTCTGTTGATAGATACTTTGGTTGCTTCCAAATCTTGGCTAGTGTGAATAGTGCTGCAACGGACATGGGAGAGCAGCTAACACTTGGATAGACTGATTTCCCTTCTTTGGGTCATATACCCAGCAGTTTGATTGCTGGTAGTTCTATTTTCAGTTTTTTGAGGAACCTCCAAACTGTTCTCCATAGTGGTTATAGTAATTTACATTCCCACCACCAGTCTATGAGGGTTCCCTTTTCTCCACCTCCTCGCCAGCATTTGTTATTGCCTGACTTTTGGATAAAAGCTATTTTAACTGGAGTGAGATGATATCTCATTGTAGTTTTGATTTGCATTTCTCTGATGATCAAGGATGCTGAGCACCTTTTTGCATGCCTGTTTGCCATTTGCAAGCCTTCCTTTGAGAAATGTCTATTCAAATCTTTTGCCCATTTTTAAATCAGATTATTAGATTGTTTCCTATAGAGTTATTTGAGCTCCTTATATATTCCGGTTATTAATCCCTGTCAGATGGTTAGTTTGCAAATCTTTTCTCTCATTCCGTGGGATTTCTTTTCATTTTTGATTGTTTCCTTTGCAGTGGAGTAGCTTTTTAACTTGATGTGATCCCATTTGTCCATTTTTGCTTTGGTTGTCTGTTCTTGTAGGGTATTACTCAAGAAATTTTTGCCCTGACCAATGTTCTGGAGTTTCCCCAATGTTTTCTTTTCTTTTTCTTTGAGACGGAGTCTCGCTCTGTCACCCAGGACGGAGTGCAGTGGTGTGACCTTGGCTCACTGCATCCTCCACCTCCTGGGCTCAAGGGATTCTCGTGCCTCAGCCTCCCGAGTAGCTGGGATTACAGGCATGTGCCACCATGCCTGGCAATTTTGTGTGTGTGTGTGTGTGTGTGTTTTTAGTAGAGATGGGGTTTTACCATGTTGGCCAGGCTGGTCTCGAATTCCTGACCTCAAGTGATCCACCTGCCTCAGCCTCCGTTAAGTGCTGGGATTACAGGAGTGAGCCACTGCCCCTAGCCCCCAGTGTTTTCTTGTAGTAGTTTCATAGTGTGAGGTTTTAGATTTGTCTTTTTTTAAAAAAAATTATTTCATTTTTTTGAGACAGGGTCTGGCTCTGTTACCCAGGCTGGAGTGCCGTGGCACAATCATGGCTCACTGCAACCTCCATCTCCCAGGCTCAGGCCATTCTCCCACCTCAGCCTTCCAAGTAGCTGGGACTACAGGCACATGACACCATGCCTGGCTAATTTTTGTATTTTTTGTAGAGAAGGGGTTTCACCATGTTGCCTGGCCAGATTTAAGTCTTTAATCCATTTTGATTTGATGTTTGTATATGGTGAGAGAGATAAGGGTCTACTTTCATTCTTCTGAATATGAATATCCAATTTTCCCAGCCCCATTTGTTGAAGAGATTATCCTTTCTCCAACGTATGTTCTTGGCACCTTTGTCAAAAGGGAGTTCATTACAGATGTATAGATTTGTTTCTGGGTTCTCTGTTCTGTTCCATTGGTCTATGTGTCTGTTTTTATGCCAGTACCTTACTGTTTTGGTTACTATAGCTCTGTAGTATAATTTGAAGTCAGATAATCTGATTCCTTTAGTGCAGATGCCATGTTAATCTGATGGTCAAGGTTAACATCACCACCAATGGGCCACATTAAAGCTGTGTGCCCTGGCAGGATGCAGTGAGAGCTCTGCGTCGCTTTCACCATCTTCCTGCCCAAGAGGCATCACCTGAGCCTCATCGTGGGGGAATCGTCAGCCCAACCCGCAGTGAGGGGCGGGGGCTCCACAAGACACCTGGCCTGTGATCATCCAAGGGCAAAGTCCTGAAAGTCAAGGAAAGATGGAAAAGCTGTTCCAAGGAACAGCTCGGACCACTAAATGCAACAGACCACTAAATGCAAACACTAAATGCAGAGACATGACCACTAAATGCAACAAGGGATCCTGGAAGGGACTCTTGTGCTGTAAAGGACGTCGCTGGGGCCATTGAGGAAACTCGAACAGGACCTGTGGATCAGATAATCATGATACATCAGTGCTGATTTCCCGATTTCTATGTCTAGATGTGGTTACGTAGGAAAACATCCCTGTTCGTAGGTAGTTCACACTAACATATTTGGTGGTGGGTTATCATGGTGACAACTCAATTGGTTGAGAAAAAAAACAAACCCTTTGTGATATTCTTACAATGAGTGAATGAGTGAGTGAATGCTAACCCCTCACCACAGTACAGGAAGGTTACAACAAATGCAGTCATAAAGACTGGCTTCAGCCACCCTCTGCAGCCAAACCCATGTGATGGGCCTACAAGTCATCCAAAGTGTGCTCATTCATTCATTCGATGTACATTCATTCATTCCTTCCACATATATTAAGCACCTCTTGTGTGGACGGGACCGCACAAGGTTCAGGGAGCCAAGGACAAAGAAAGCCGTGTCTTCTCTCAAGGAGACAACAGTCTAGTCCATTGTAAGGTTTGACTTTGTGTTTTTTGGTTTTTTTTTTTTTTTGAGACAGAGTCTCGCTCTGTCGCCCAGGCTGAAGTGCGGTGATGCGATCTTGGCTCATGGCAACCTCTGCCTCCTGGGTTCCAGCAATTCTCCTGTCTCAGCCTCCCAAGTAGCTGGGACTACAGGCACCTGCCACCACGTCTGGCTAATTTTTATATTTTTTAGTAGAGGCAGCGTTTCTCCTTGTTGGTTAGGCTGGTCTTGAACTCCTGACCTCAGGTGATCTACCTGCCTCGGTCTCCCAAAGGGCTGGGATTACAGGCATGAGCCACCGCGCCCAGCCAGTTTGTTTTGTTTTGTTTTTTTGACACAGAGTCTCACTCGGTCATCCAGGCAACAGTGCAGTGGTGCGATCTCAGCTCACTGCAACCTCCCCCTCCCGGGTTCAAGCGATTCTCCCACCTCCGCCTCCTGAGTACCTGGGATTACAAGCACCCGTTACCCCACCTGGCTAATTTCTGTATTTTTAGTAGAGACGAGGTTTCACCACCTTGGCCAGGTTGGTCTTGAACTCCTCACCTCAGGTGATCCACCCATCTCGGCCTCCTAAAGTGCTGGTATTACAGGTATCAGCCACCGCACCCAGAGTGGGGGGTTGACTTTGGAGGAATGCCAGTTCCACCCCTGGCTCCAGCACCTTCCTGTGTGTGACCACAGGCAGTCATGGAGCGCCAGGCGCCTCACTCATGAAGTGTGACAGTGATAGCAACTTCCCTAGGTGGCAGTGAAACTTCAGTGTAGCGGCCGTGAAAACATTTCCCACGGTGGCCGGTGGGTACTTGGTCCTTGGAAAATATTTTTCTTCTCATTTCCGTGGAAATAGCCTTCAGAGTTCTCAGAATCGCTTTCCCCAAAACCTGAAAATCTTAAAGGGGAAACCATTTTCAGAATAAAAAGAGCCACCTCTCATGACTGACACTGCCCCCTGCTGTGGTCCCGATGAGAACCAGGGCACTAGTGGGTAAGGTATGAGCTGTGCCTGCCAGAGAGACAAGCCCAGTGTTTCCAACGTGAAGTAATACTTAGAAACTAAACAGGAGTTCCAAAAATTTTAAACTTGGTTTTTTTTTTTTTTTTTTTGGAGATGGAGTTTCACTCGTTGCCCAGGCTGGAGTGCAATGGCATGATCCCCACTCACCGCAACCTCCGCCTCCCAGGTTCAGGCGATTCTCCTGCCTCAGCCTCCCAAGTAGCTGGGATTACAGGCATGCGCCACCATGCCTGGCTAATTTTTGTATTTTTAGTAGACTGGGGGGTTTCACCATGTTGGCCAGGCTGGACTCGAACTCCTGACCTCAGGTGATCCACCCACCTCGGCCTCCCAAAGTGCTGGGAGTACATGCGTGAGCCACTGCACCCGGCCCTCCTGCTTCCTTTTAATGCTGTGTATATTCCTTTGGATGAATGTGCTGGAATTTGATTTTTGGACAAATCAAATTGGACATTTGGTTTGTTTCCAGTCTGGAGCTGTTGAGAATGGAACTGCTGTGAACATTTTTGTGCGAATCTTTTCAGGGACATTGCTTTCATCCGTCTTGGGTAAATGTCTAGGAGTAGGATTGCCTGGCCATCAGTGCATTTATGACTTGTTAAAAACTGCTGATTTTGTCTTTTTCTTTTTTTTTGAGACAACAGTCTTGTTCTCTTGCCCAGGCTGCAGTGCAGTGGCACAATCATGGCTCACTATAGCCTCCAACTCAGGTGTTCCTCCCACCTCAGCCTCCCAAAGTGATGGGGTTACATGTGTGAGCCACTGTGCCTGGCCCAAAACTTCTGGTTTTCTGAAGTGGTTGTGCCACATCCTTGCTAACTTGTTGTTTCCTTTGTGCATTTTTTTTTTTTTTTTTTTGAGACTGTGTCTTGCTTTATTGCCTAGGCTGGCATGGCTCACTGCAACCTCTGCCTGCTGGGTTCGAGCGGTTCTCCTGTCTCAGCCTCCCAAATATCTGGGATTACAGGCGCCCGCCACCACGCCCAGCTAATTATTGTATTTTTTTTTAGTAGAGACAGGGTTTTACCATGTTGGTCAGGCTAGTCTTGAACTCCTGACCTCAAGCAATCCACCTGCCTTAGCCTCCCAAATTTTGGGATTCCAGGTGTAAGCCACCGGGCCCGGCCTGCAATTCTTCTAAGCTGCTTTCCCCCCTCCCCCCGAACCCAGCTTCAAGTGATTCTCCTGCCTCAGCCTCCTGAGTAGTTGGGATTACAGGAATGTGCCACCATGCCCGGCCAAATTTTGTATTTTTAGTAGAGATGGGGGTTTCACCATACTGGCCAGGCTGGTCTTGAACCCGACCTCAAGTGATCCACCCACTTTGGCCTCCCAAAGTGCTGGGATTACAGGCGTGAGCCACCGTGTCCGGCCCTAGGCTGCTTTTAGCCATCAACGTGTATTGAGGGCAAGGACATCTAGAGTCGAGTGAATAGTGGCGAGGCACCACGGAAACGCAGCCACCAGACTGCATCAGAGGGACCTGTCCTTGCCCTGCCTTCCTCTGACTGTCTGGTCAATGTACAGGGTGGGGAGTGGGCCAAGGTTGGGTGCATCGTTTTATTTTAGTTCAATTGCACAGCAGTCTGAAACAGAGCAGAATGCTTCTTCCTGGACTGCGTGTCATTCTGTGTCTGCTTTGAAGTTTGCCATGCCTTTTCCCCACACTCACACGTGCTGTCTGCCAGCCCCCTCCATCATCTGCCAGCCCCCTCCAACCGCAGGACTACTCAGTATCTGTGGGATGCCTCTGCCACCCTCACTGGAGCTGTGGCCACGAGATGTGCTCTGGATGCCTCAGCGGGTCCCTCAGGACCTGCAGGGACAGTATCCAGCACAGCATCAGGACAAAGTGCTCTTGGCTTCTAGTTCTAGAACAAGCGGCTCGTGCCAATCAACCCTGCTTCCAGCTCTTCCTGTCTTTATTTTTTGACCTGAAAATGTGCATTTACCTGTTACTGGGGAGACTGGCTAGCCAGGCAGGGAGAGCGAATCCTAAGTGCACACACATTCCTCCGTGTGAACAGACCACAGCTTGCTTTTCATTGTCCTGGCCACATCAGGAAACAGCACCCGCAGCGGCTTTGCAGACCCCTCCCCTCAAGTGTTCTTGTATTCAACCCCCACACCCTGCAAGAAGTAAGGATGACCCTGACTTCTGACACCTGACGTTGGCTTTGCCTGTTTCTGAATTTGGTTGCAGAATCACTCAGCATGTTCTAAGGGCAGAGAGTCACTGGTGTCGCTGTGAGTATACATTGCCTTATCGAGGGTGCTGCCTCCCCGTGTCAGGCTGTGGTGCTGCTGGGAATTGCTTGCATGTGCCACACCTGACACAAGTTAGCCAGGCGTGGTGGCACGCGCCTGTAATCCCAGCTACTCAGGAGGCTAGGGCAGGAGAATCACTGAAACCTGGGAGGCAAAGGTTTCAGTGAGCCGAGATGTCGCCACTGCACTCCAGCTTGGAGACAGAGCGAAACTCCGTCTCAAAAAAAAAAAAAAGAGAGAGAAAGAAAAAGAAAACCTGGCAGATACCTCCTTACCCTTGTGCTCAAGGTCAACATTGCCAGTCATGAGACACTTGGACATGTGGACCCCTGGTGTGGTACCCTGGGAAGGACACAGCGCCACTGCATGCACTTCCCGCCAAAATGTGTAGCCTGTGAAATGATGTCCGGCCAAACATGGAGACACATTCCGCAGCACTCACCCCTCAGAGGTGTCATGGCCACTGAGGCCAGGACGAACTGAGGGACAGTCACAGCGTGGAGGGGACTAAGGCGACAGCAAAGGGCAGCCTGGGAGGCTGGCTTGGGTCCTGGGACAGGAAGATGATGGCGTGGGGACTTTTAAAGTACGGAGTCACTTGGCCTGGCTGTGTTTGTGCATGAACCAGCAGAGGGGGAGAAAGTGGTCAGGTCATAGCGGGAGGGCCACAGGGGACATCCAGGGGCAAGTGAGACCGGGAAGGACTCCTGCCTGATTTTCCTGCCTTCCTGAATTTCTGTGTTTGCAGGGGCGGGGAGGGGGGATGTAATTTACATACAGCAAAACAGAGAGATCTCAAAAGATGCTGTTGGGTGAGTACTGTCAAACGTGTACACCATGTAACCGTCACCCCAGTCAAGACGTGGAGTGTTTCCATCACCCCTCAGGCTTTGCCCTGTGCCCCACAATCATACTTCCCAGTGCTGCGCTTAGACCGGGTAGGCAGGACGCCGTGCCTCAGGGCTCGGGCTGACCGAGGAGGAAGCAAATACTTCAGCAGCCCTACTCAGGGGCCGCGCTCTAGTATTTCTTTGGGATTTTCCAAGTCTGTCTTTGGTGCTTGGGAATGGTTGGTCCCCATCTTTCCCATGCAGGGCACTCTCTGATCCTCTATACCCTACCTCCTAGGGTCAACCAGTCCATGCCTGTCTTGGCCTTCAGCAGTGCGTGTGTATGTGTGTGTGCGTGCGTGCATGTGTGCACACATACCCTTTGGTGTTCTGCTGTTCCACTTTTCTGGTTAAGCACCCAAGGTGGTGGGGTAGGGGCGGGGGTCCTTCACCCTGTGCACTCCAGGACACACCCCCATCCCCTCTGTAGGCTCCACTCCACACCACCTGCCCACCTCCACACCTATGACCTTGTCCCCTCTCGCCTCTGATCAGGATGGTGATGTTGTGGCGAGGTCGTGCTCTCCCAGGTCCATCTTCAGGCCTGTAGACAGAAAGACGGACCTTCCTCGCACAAGTGGACCTCTCTTCTCGCTTGACCCAGAGCCCTGCTGGAGGCGGCCAGGGAGGCAGGGGTGTGGGCGACACTGGGAATGCAGCCATCGTAGCTGAGGAGTCCAAGTGGGCCCATGACTGGAAGTCTCCTGCTTCTACTAAGAATTTTTTTTTTCAAGACAGGAGTTTTGCTCTTGTCGCCCAGGCTGGAGTGCAGTGGCCCACCTCGACCTCCCAAAGTGCTGGGATTACAGACATGAGCCACCTGGCCGTATCCAGTTATCTGTTGATATCAGTATGGATTTGGGGACATTTATTTTATGCTGTTATAAACCAATGCTATGGCCATTGACTCATTCCAGGTTTGGCCCCTGGGATCTCCCTCAGGCTGGCCCCTGGGTTCTTTCAACAATTCCCCATCTTTTTCAAACACATCCTCATTTCCTGGGTCTACAAAGTACTCCAGGCTTAGCTAGGATTTCGTCTGCCCCAGTCCTGGAACAAACCAGTTCTCCAAGGATTGCCAGTTTCATACGCTGGAGAATAGTGCTAGAAAACGAAGATCTGAGTGCAAGGTGAGCTCACTGTGGCTGGGATATCATCGTTTCTAGACCCTTTGAGCTTAAAGACCTAGAAAAGACATGCATACTTAATAGCCCAAGCATAGGCAGGCTTCTGCATTTATTCCTGTATCTACCTGCATATATACATGGTAAAAACCATGGGTTTACACAGATACCTTGGAGCCAACCCAACACCAAGGGCTTTCCTTGGCCTCCCTCTGGCTCTCACTGTCCGATGCAGATTAGATTTACCTGTGTGGTCAATCCTCGTGTGTACATACATTTCAGAACTGCTGGCCTGGACCCATGTGAAAAACAGTCACCATCTACAGCAGGGGTGTCCAAGCTTTTGGCTTCCCTGGGCCACACTGAACAACTGTATTGCACCACACATAAAATACACTAACATTAATGATGACTGATGAGTTAAAAAAAAAAAAATCGCAAAAAAATCTCATAATGTCTTACGAAAGTTTACAAATTTGTGTTGGGCCGCATTCAAAGCTGTCCTGGGCCGCACAGCCCAGAAGCCGCGAGTTGGACAAGCTTGATCTCCAGTATTCTGTCCAGTTCTTTTTGTCTTTAAACTTACTTACGGTATCCATCAAAATCCTATTTTCCAAAGTTACTTTTTTTTTCTTTTTAGATAGAGTCTCGCTCTGTGGCCCAGGCTTGAATGTGATCTCAGCTCACTGCAACCTCCACATCCTGGGCCTCCTGCCTCAGCCTCCCCAGTAGCTGGGACTACAGGCGTGTGCACCACCATGCCCAACTAATTTTTGTATTTTTAGTAGAGACAGGGTTTCACCGTGATGGCCAGGCTGGTCTTGAACTCCTTACCTCAGGTGATCCTGCCTCAGCCTCCCAAAGTGCTGGAATTACAGGCGTAAGCCACTGTTCCTGGCCCACAGTTACTCGTTTCTTTCCTTCACCCTGGATTCAGGATGGTAAAGTTATTCCTTTTGAACAGTGAAGTTTGCTTGTTACTGTTTATATCCATTTGGAATTTCTCCCACAATCTGGTTGATCTTCATTATTTTGGGGGGCTATGAAACATCACTGTGATTCTAAGAATGGGGCGCTTCACAGAAAGTCTCCTTAGAAAAATGTTGCTCCGCCCCATCCCTGCTACTCCATTCCCGTTCCCTTCTTTCTGCCCCACTCCCATCCGCCCCTGCAGGCAACAACTCTCTTTAGGTCCTGGTTTATCTTTCCTTCCTCCAGAGCACCCGAGTAACTGCTTCTCTCCCCATCTCCCTTACCTGAAGAGCACACGCTGCAGATACACATCTGCACCTGCTTCGTGCTCAGCAGCGGGTCGTGGGAACCACCCTACATTGTCACTCATCTGTCACGGCTGCACAGTGCTCCCTTGTGACACAATGCACAGCCTATAACCTTTTGGGTGTTTGCATATTGTTGGACGTGCATCTTCAGGGCAGACTCCACCAAGCGCTGCTTCTGGGTGTGGGTCAGACGTGGGACCTGGGAAAGGATCCAAAGGGCCCTGTGGTCCGGTCCAGACCAGGGTGAGGCATGGAGGAGGCTCTGCACAGCCATTTGCAGCTCAGCCAGCACCGGGTGATGGCAGGGAGGCCTGGGCTTCTGCACTGGCTTCTGGCCTCTTCTGGGCACCCACGCTTTGTCCATGAATGGAAAGCAATGCTGACGGCTGCCCAATGTGTCCAGGACGTTTCTGAAACTCCTGTTCCTCTCCCCGTCCCTCTCTCTGTCCCACTGTCCACCTCAGTGACCTCCTCTCTTCGTGGCTCTCACCCCACACTCTGCCACTGCCACATTTTCCTCTGCGCCCAGCCTCTGCCTCCACCTGAAACTTTCCTGGAAATCTCAAAATGTAATTCCAGGTCCCGCTGCCCTGGGCAGCACATCCCCCTTCAGAATAAAGGGCACCAACCGTCCCCTGGCACCTGCCTAAGCCATACCCCTTGCTCCCCTCCCCAGTCCCTGCAGCCCAAGGGTCCCCTCGACCACCCCAAGTCCCCACCTGGGCTTCTGCTGCACCCCCGCTGCCCTCCCTCCCGCTGGCCGGCAGCACCTTCTCCACCCGGGCCCCTCTGCTCACAGCGCTCCCCGCCCCCGTCTCCCCGAGGGGCGGGGAGCCAGGACATGGCCCTGAAAGCCTAGCCCTGGCCTTGACCTCCCCAGAGCGCCCTCCCCACCCTCCGCCCTCTGCCAACCCTGGCCCCTGCCCTGGCCCCGTCCTTGTCCTCTGCTGCTGGCCTTGGGGTCGCGCCCCGCAGACTGGGCTGTGCGTGGGGGTCCTGGCGGCCTGTGCCGTCCCACGCCTACGGGGATGGGCGAGGTCCTTCTTGGGGCTTCTCTTACCCACTCTCCAGTCACCTGAGGGCGCTGCTTCCCTGCGGCCACCCCAGGTTTCTGTGCAGCCGAAGCCTCTGCCTCTGCGGCCGGGTGATCCCAAGACCCCGGGGTCCAGGGAGGCACGGGATCTGCTCCCCCGGTCCCAAATGCACCGGCTGCGCCTTAGGAGGGACGGCCTCCACCCATGGCGCTGGCGCCCAGGGGCCGCTCCTCGGACTACAGCACTTGCTCGTCGCCCTGCGCCCTGTTTAGTTCTCATCACCAGCAGCCTGGACTAGGGCCCTGGTCCTTCTGGCCTCCTTCCACAGCCCGCTGCACATCTCACCCACTTCCCCGAGGTGCTGTCATTGTTTAGCTGGGCCCCTCAGCCTCCGTGGTTTAGAATCGTCAGAAAGCCCGGTTCATCAGGTCACTATTGATTCTGGTTTGCATAATCCTTTCTAAACTGTGTGACTGTTCCCTGTCAAATTTGTTTTTGAAATGGAGTCCCTCTCTGTCACCCAGGCTGGAGTGAAATGGCACGATCTTGGCTCACTGCAGCCTCCACCTCCCAAGTTCAAGTGATCCTCCTGCCTCAGCCTCTCAAGTAGCTGGGACTACACACACCACCAGGACCAGCTGATTTTTGTATTTTTAGTAGAGATGGGGTTTCACCTGTTGGCCAGGCTGGTCTCAAACTCCTGACCTCAGGTGATCCACCCGCCTCACCCGCCTCAGCCTCCCAGACTGCTGGGATTACAGGTGTGAGCCACCACGCCCTACCAAGCAGTGGTTTTTAAAGGCAAAATGAAGGCCGGGCACGGTGGCTCACGCCTGTAATCCCAACACTTTGGGAGGCCGAGGCAGGCGGATCACTTGAGGTCAGGAGTTCAAGACCAGCTTGTCCAACACGGTTAAACCCCGTCTCTACTAAAAACTCAAAAAAATAGCCGGGCGTGGTGGACACCTGTAATTCTAGCTATTCAGGAGGCTGAGGCAGGAGAATCTCGAACCTGAGAGGCTGAGGTTGCAGTGAGCCAAGATTGCACCACTGCACTCCAGCCTGGGCAACAAGAGTGAAACTCTGTCTCAAAAAACAACTTTGGGAGGCAGAGATAGGATAACTTGAGCCCAAGAGTTGGAGGCCAGCCTGAGCAACATAGCAACATCTCATCCTACAGGTTTTCTTTCCTGTTCCCATCTCTTTATCCTCCTTGGCTGCTTCCTCCACTCCATTCTCCTGCTCAGGAATTTGCTCTCCAGGGTTTTTCATTCCGCTCCTTAGCAGAAGGTGTTCCTGTTGCTTTCCAAGGTCAGTTTTCACTCCCAAGGCCTCTGTGTTCTTCTCCCTAATGGTGCCCTCCCCCAAATCTGATGGAAGCAAGCCCCTGCCTGCTTTGGAGGTCCCCAACCCCCAAACGTGGTGGGTGGGTCGCTTGGTGCTGCCACTGACTCCTGCCCCCAAGAGCTGCCTCTCATTTCAAGCTGATGCACTTCTCGCTGTGACCTCACAGGAGGAATGGCGTGTCCCACCTGTCTTGAGAGGTTGCTGTCTGACATCAGTGCAGGTGTAGAGAGGAGGGGGCAGGGGTGAAGGGCCATCGTGGTGCAAACCCCACTTCCTCCAAGGAGGAGCTGAGCAGAACAGGAAGCGTCGGGCCTTCAGCTCCCACGCCTCCGGCTGAGGCTTCCATACGTGACCCAGGGCAGACTGGTAGTGAAGTCCCCATGCTCAGCCAGGAGCACCGCTGAGGCCTCCAGTGCACCGAGGGGTGATGTGCAGAGGCCCCGCTGCATCCACGGTGGTTTTTTGGTGGGCAGCACTTGCATGCCCCGACCTGGAGTGGCCCCAGCCCAGGGGTGTCTGGCAGGAAGGGGTCTCGGGACCATCTGCTCCAGGGTCTCCTTTGAGACCAGTAAGGGGAAGTGCCTGCCATCCGTGAGTAGAGCCTCACAGAGTGCTGGGAGCGCCTGTGGGTGAGGATGGGGCTGGCCTGGGAGGACGAGGGGCTTCGAAGCCACGGGAAGGAGGCTGGGGCCACAAGCCCCCAGGGGGGTGGATGGGAGGGGCTGGGCAGGAGGAGGGTTCCCGGGCCGCCTCAAGCCCCCAGGGGGGCAGATGGGAGGGGCTGGGCAGGAGGAGGGTTCCCGGGCCGCCTCAAGCCCCCAGGGGGCCGCCCCTGTGTACCTGCTGTGCCTGCCTGAGTTAGGCCCTCCTGTCTGCACGCCACCCCTGCTGGCTGCAGTGACTCCATCTCCAGACCGTGTGTGTGTATGTGTATGAGTGTGCGTGGTGTGTCTGTGTATGGTGTCTATGCATGTATGATGTGTGTAAATAGTATGATGTATTTGTGTATGCGTATCTATGTGGTGTGTGTGTATGGTGTCTATATAGTGTAGTGTGTGTGCATGTATGATGTGAGTGGTACAGTGTGTGCACAGCTGTATGTGGTGTCTGTGATGCTGTGTGAATGTGTGCATGTGTGGGGTATGTATGTACATGTATGGTGTAAGTGGGATGGTATGTATCTGTATGTGGTGGTGTGCGTGTGTTTGTGGTATGGTGTGTCTGTGTGCATGTGTACATGTATAGTGTGAGTGGGATGGTATGGTATTTGTGCGTATGCATGTATGGTTTGTGTGTGTGGCATAGTACGTGGTATAATGTGTGTGTGGTATATGTGTGCACCTGTATCTGTATGGTGTCTGCGCATGAGTGGACATGTGTGCGTATGTGGTGTGGTGTGTGTAGTGTAATGTGTGGTGTGTATGTGCGCAATGCACATATTGTGCGAGTGTGTATGTGATGTTTGGTGTGCATGTGTGGTGTGAGTGTATGTGCACATATGGTGCATAAGTGCCTGTGTGGGGTGGTGTACTGTGATGTGTGATGTATGAATCTATGTATGTGCATATATATGGTGCGAGTGTGTGCATACGTGATTGGTTGTGTGTGGGTGCCTCTATGGTGTGTGCATGTTCTGTGTGGTGTGTGCCTGTGTGTATGTGGATATGTGCATGTATGGTGTGAGTTTAGTGTGGTGTGGCACATGTGTGTATGTGGATGTGTGGTATGTGAGTGCATGATGTACCTGTGTATGTACATGTATGGTGCGGAGTGCGCACGTGTGATGTGGTGTGGTACATGCGTAAGTACATGTGTGGTGTGGTGGGTGTGTGTGCATGGTGTGGAATGTGCACGTGTGTGATGTGTGGCACATGCATATGTACGTGTATGGTGCACGTGTGTGTAGTGTGGTATAGCGTAGCATGGTGCATGCTCCACGCTCCTCTGGGACCCTCAAGCTTCCCTGCCTCCTCTGTGGGGACCCCTGGGTGACGTCTTGCTGTAGAGGAGAGGGCGCTGCTGTGCAATTCTGGTCCAGATGGTTCAGCTGGTGACCCTGGCCTCCCCATGCCAGGCTCCTGGAGGCCATTCCCAAGGTCCTGGGGGGAGGATTGAAACCACGCCCCTGGGTCCCACACCCACCTGGCCCCCTACCCCCGAAACTGCCGCCACACCCAATCCCCCCTCTCCCGGATCTGGGAGCTGGGATTCTGCCCTGCTGTCCCCGTCTGGGGCCCCTCTCCTCTGCAGGTGCCTCAGTTGGGAGAAGGAGGGGTGGCTGTGAAGGTGAGGATGAAGGAGATGGCCCAAGAGCACAGCCTGGGGGCAAGTTCCCAGGGAGGCACTCGCTGGTAAGGGAACAGGGAACACTCGCTGTCACCCACCTTCCTTGTGACAGTGGCGCTGTGGCCCATCCACCATCACCCCAGCGCTTCACCATGAGCAGCTTCACGAATCCATGCCCAGCTCACTGCAGAATCCCCGGGCACCAGCGCTTCGCCAAGAGTGGCCTCCAGACTCCACATTTTAAGAAGGAACTCCCACCCCATTCAGCTCGCTGCAGAATCCCCAGGGTCCCTGCCAGCCTGGCACCCAGCGTGCCCCTCAGTATTCTGGGGATTAGTGGGGGAGTCCCTCTGCCGGGAAGAGGTCCTGGCTGTGTCCCTGCAGGGCAGTGGCTGAGCCCATGCCTCGACCCCAGGGCCAGTCCCCGCCAGGTGCCATCCTGAGCAGGGCCACAGAACAGATGTCCCACATGGCCAGGACCCCTGTGGCCACCTGACCCCGGGGGGGCTGTGGCCCTCGGTGAAGCAGGTGACCGGGCGGGCTGTGGGGTTTGTCAGCTCCGCAGCGTCACTGCCGCTCAGCGTATGAGTTTCCACTCCCAGCACTCAATGAACAGCTGAGCAACTGCAGGTGCCTCCGAGTGCTGGGAGAGGGGATGCTCAGCCAGCCAAGGGCCTTTGCCCCAGGGGAGTAAAATCGGGGCATTTCCTGGTGGGTGTGGGCTGGGCTGGAGAAGCTGGGCCTCCGGGCAGGGGCTGGCATACTGTCCAGACACTGCACGGACTGCCAGACACTCCTCACCTGGGCCTCGGGCTTCTCACCTGAACCACAGGGTGGTAACCCCTGCCCCTCAGGTGGCATTGACGTGACCTGCCTAGTGCACAGTGAGCCTGAGGCAACACGGCCACCACCAGGAGACTCCCTGGGGAAGAGGCCCCCAGACAGCCAGGTGCCCATGAAGTTCTGCACAGGGGCCGCCGCCGTCCAGGAGATGGGAGGGCCCTGTCTGCACCCTGTCTGGAAGGGGAGTGGGGCGAGCGGGCCACTTGGCCTCCCTGGTATAGGTAAGGCCAAGGCAGCTAGAACTGGGGACAGAATACCCGCAAAGGGGAGGGGAGCTGCACAGATGAAAGGAAATACACACCAGCGTCCCGTTGGGGTCTTCGGATGAACACCAACCTACACATTCTGTAAAACCCCAGGACGCCAAAGAGTAGCTTTTGAGGAAAAAACAATCCTCCGGAGGGTAAGACAAACAATTCCCGCCTTGCACAGAAATCACCCTCGTCCCTCCAGCCAGTGTGCAGACACTTCTGAATACCCAGGATTCTGCAGGGACAGCAGGAGGGTCACACCTGGGAAGGACTAAATCATCCAAGGAAAGGCTACTTCAGCCTCACTCTAGTGAGCTTAAAACAAACCTGAAAAAGACCAAATTAATCTACATGGGGCTTAACAGCCGGCCAGAAAGCGTAATATTCTTTAAAGGAACCTTAACAAAACTTCACACTTAATAATGTAAATCTCACCATGTTCCTAGTCAAAAATTTACTACACAGACTCAGTAGCGGAAAAACATATCCCATAAGCAGAGGACAAATCACAGATGCTCCTCGACTTACGATGGAGCTACATCCGAACAAGCTCATCGTCGGCCGACAGATCGCACGCAAGTGGTCCACGGATCGCACATAAGTGGTCCACAGTCGACAGAAACAGACCTAGATATGACAGTAATAATGAATTAGCAGAAAAGGAACAATTATCTTAAATTTGCTCCATATGCTCGAGGGTATTTTTTAAAGCATGATTATGATTAAAAGAGAAATGGAAGACACTGGTGTGCTTTTTTTTTTTTTTTTTTTTTTTTTTGAGACCGTCACTCTGTCACCCAGGCTGGAATGCAGTAGTGCAATCACGGCTTGCTGCAGCCTCAAACTCCCAGGCTCAAGTGATCCTCCCGCCTCAGCCTCCCGAGCAGCTGGGACTACAGGCATGTGCCACCACACCTGGCTAATTTTTTTTTTTTTTAAGACAGATTCTTGCTCTGTCGCCCAGGCTGGAGTACAGTGGCGCGATCTCGGCTCACTGCAACCTCCGCCTCCCAGGTTCAAGCGATTCTCCTGCTTTAGCCTCTCAAATAACTGGGACAACAGGCATGTGCCCAGCTAATTTTTTATATTTTTAGTAGAGACAGGGTTTCACCATATTGGCCAAGCTGGTCTCAAACTCCTAACCTTGTGATCCACTGTCCTCCCAAAATGCTGGGATTACAGGCGTGAGCCACCGCACCTGACCTTTTTAATTATTTTTAAAGATGAGGTCTCACTGTATTGCCCAGGCTAGTCTCAAACTCCTGGGCTCAAGCAATCCCCCTGCCTCAACTTCCCAAAGTGTTGGGATCACAGGTGTGAGCCGCCAGCCTAGCTGGAAGACATTTTTTTAAATACCAAAACCAAATTTATAGAGATGAAAAAACACAATGGCTCATACAGAAAATGGCCATAGCTTAACAGCAGCTTAAAAGATCAGTGGGCTTGAAGACGTGGAAACAGAATCTACCAAAAATGAAACGCAAACTGAAGAAGATGAGCAGACTCACGGACCCATGAGTCCACAGCAAGCAGCCCATTCGAGTACCTGGGACTGCAGGAGGCAGGGGAAGAGACCGAATAGCTAGAATATTTCCAAATTGCATAAAAATGACAAAGCCTACAAATCTTGACAAACCCCCAAAACACACACACATACCCTAAAGCTTATCAAATTACAGAAAACCAGGGATAAAGAGAAAAAAACAAAAGCAGCCGCAGAATACATACATGATGACTATCATGTATCAGTCAAGAGATAGAAACATTTAACACGAAGAATGATTCAACAGGAACAGAGGGTTCCACTAACATGTAAAGAGACTTCCGAGAACGGAGGCGCTGAGGCCTCGGGAGAACCTCCACCGCCAGGACTGAGACAACAAACCCACAAGCGTTGAGTCTGGATCTTGGTGAGAACCTCGGAACCCCACGTCGGCTGAGACGCAGCTCTGACCTGAGTGGGGCTATGATGTGCCGGGTGGTGCAGTTGGCCAAGGTGCAGCAGGCCAAGGCCTGAGAGCAGGAAGCCCGGGGCAGGAGTGCCAGCGAGACTCACCCAGAAGCTCTCCCTGGGGCAGGAGGGAGGCAGACGCCCTGGGAGCTGGACAGAGGCAAGGAAGCTTAGCAGGAATCCTTCCCACCGTGGTGAATGAACCTGGGTGTTGCTAAACTCCTGCAGACTGTCACTGAGAGCCCCCGCCCCCACCATGAGGCTGGCAGGCACACACCACGGAAGCCAGGAAAAGCAAGCACACTGGAACCAGGAGGGCAGGCCCCTCCCTCCTGTGGAGTCCCTCCAGCTCCTTCCAGTGACAGAGCCAAACACTGTGCCAACCTGCAAAGGAGGGTACAGGGAGGGCCCAGCCCAGGGTCACACGGCAGGGCTGAGAAGGGTGCACTGGGCACGGAGAGGCAAGACACGGATAGCTGGAGATACCGTGTGGGGGCCACACATATCTGCACGTGCACATACAATCACCCTCCCACTATGAAGCACAAAACAGGGCTCAACAAATCTAAAGAGAGGGAAGTCAGCAAAGTATATTCTGAGACCACAGTGGAATTAAAACCAGAAACCAGAAACAACAACAAAATCTGGAGGAAAACCCTAAATGTTTGGAAATTAAACCATACTTCCAAATAACCCACAGACCAAAGATCTCACAAGGGAAATCAGAAAGTAAAACGTATCACGTCAACATATATGGGGTACAGGAAGAAACACAGAAAGCTCTCCTTCCCGGAGGGGCCCTCGCGGCTGGTCAGCTGCTGCTGGCTGCTGGCAGGAGGCCTCAGTTCTCTGCCATGGTAACCTTTGTAGGCTGGCTGAGTGCCCTCGTGAGCTTGCGGCACATTTCCCCCAGGGTAAGTGATCTAAGACGGGTAAGTCAAGGTTTTGGTAAGGTGGCCTCAGAGAACAGGATCAAGGTTAGGTCTGGATCGAAGGTGGGCAGTGTCACTGGCTCCCTGCAAAACTCCACACCACACACTGTGGGCCTTCCAAGTCGATCATGAGCCGCCACAGCCGCAAACACTAGGCGTTGAGGATGCACTGCGTTTTCCACGCTGGGGTCGGGGTCTGGGATGAAGGACTGGCAGGATCTTCTAAGAAATGTGCATAACTGAGAGCCAGCAATTCCACGCGCAAGTACACACCCAACAGAAATGCTTACAAATGTTCCAGAAGACGGGTGCTGGCCGGGGGCAGTGGCTCACACCTGTAATCCCAGTGCTTTGGGAAACTAAGGCAGGAGGACTGCTTGAGGCCAGAAGTTCGAGACCAGCCTGGGCAGCAGAGCAAGACACCATCTCTACAAAAACTACAAAAATTAGCCAGCACGCAGGCACACACCTGCAGTCCCAGCTACTCAGGAGACTGAGGTGGGAGGATCGCTTGAGCCCAGGAGGCCCAGCGAGCCAAGGTCACACCACTGCACTCCAGCCTGGGTAACAGAGCAAGACCCTGTCTCTAAAAATAAAAAAAAAACAGAAGACAGGTGCCAGCATGTTCATCACTGCACTATTCCTAACAGCCAAACTGTGGAAACTACCCAAATGCCCATTGATAATAGAATGAACGTGCTGTGGGATTTTCACACAATGGAGTACTTGGCATACAGAGCACTGAGAATGAACAATCCACAACCACAGGCAACAAGGTGGATGAGCCTCACAGAGAGTGGAGCAGAAGCGGCCACAGCAAGAGGGAAACTGAGGTCAGGCCGGCCAGCATGCCTGTGCAGTGCCTAGAAGGGAACATGGGCGTGGGGGCTTCTCAGCAGGTGCTAAGTGTCCTGCTTCTCGTGGGTAGTCACACACGTGCATTCAGTTGCTGAAATCCCAGTTCCAGCATTTCACATGCACTTCTCGGATGTACAGTACGCACACTGTAATCAAAATGAAGAAAGACGGGCTGGGCATAATGGCTCGTGCCTGTAATCCCAGCACTCTGGGAGGCCAAGGTGGGAGGACTGCTTGAGCCTGGGAGGTTGAGGCTGCTGTGAGCTGAGATCACACCACTGCACTTCAGCCTGGGTGACAGAGTGAGACCGTCTGGAAGAAAGTGCTTAGAATTAAATACAATAGATTGGGTGCAGTGGCTGACACCTATAATCCCAGCACTTTGGGAGTGCGAGGCGAGAGGATCACCTGAGGTCAGGAGTTGGAGACCAGCCTGGCAAACATGGCAAAACCCCATCTCTACTAAAAATACAAAAATTAGCCAGGCGTGGTGGCAGGAGCCTGTAATCCAGCTACTCGGGAGGCTGAGGTAGGAGAATCGCTTGAACCCGGGAGGCGGAGGTTGCAGTGAGGTGGAGGTTGCAGTGAGCCGAGATTGTGCCACCGCACTCCAGCCTGGGCAACAGAGCGAGACTCTGTCTCAAAAAAAAAAACCAGATACAATGACCAAATTTTCTTCATCAATTAAAGAGGTAGAACAAAGTCCAAGGAATGTCCTAAAAGTAAAATACATAGAAACTAAAAAAATAACGGAAGAGAGCAGATTAAATTGAAGGAGTGAGATCCTCCCAGATGGCAAACAGGGTGGCGACATCTCACAGAACAGACCCAGTTGCGAGGCAGTCACAGGGGACGGGAAGGTGGTGGGTGCTGCTGTTCTGGGTGAAGGGGCAAGAGACAAAACTCTAAATACACGCGGAGCTGGGTTCAACCCATGCAACTGTAAGAGGTATTTCTGGGATGACTTCGGGCAGGTGAACAGGAACCAGTCTATCAGTCAAGGTACCAGCAAGAAGGCAGCTGCGCCATCCACTGAGACACAGAAACGGCTCTTGGCAGAGGGACCAACTCAGGACCAAGGCAGGATGCTGAGGAATAGCAGGAAGCCAACCCCGCTGGGGAAGAAGCAGAGCCTCAGAGTAGCCCCGCGGTCCTGGTGGAGAGACGCGGCCCCGTGAGGAGGGCGTTCCGTCTCAGTCCCAGCCACTCCACTCTGCAGCCGTAGCACAAAGCAGACACAGATAAGACATGGACAGACAGGCATGGCTGCATCCATAAAAGTTTATTCTCAGATAATGAAATGTGAATTTCATGATTTTCATGTCATGAAATATATTTTTAATTTGTTTTCAACCACTTTTAAAATGTAAAAAAGCCATTCACAGGCCATCTATCAGGCCGTGGGCAGGATGCAGCGCATGGGCCTGTCTGCCAGACCCTATTTTAGGTGAAGATGCCAGCAAGACCAACCTGAACCTCTCCTAAAACCAAGACTTTCAAAGCAGACTATGAATGAGAAAGCATGCCCTGCGCCAGATGCCCTGGCAGCGTGAAGGAGGCCAGGCTGCTTGTACAGGACAGTGGCCCAGCATGGCCCCTGCCTTCTGAAACCCCTGATCCCCAGCAGAGAGGAGTGGGCCTCAGCTTTGCAGACAGCACTGTTTCCAGATCAATGTTAAAAGGAAAACAAGGCACTTATGAAAAATTTGAAGCATTCCAGCTTTTGATACACAAAAGGATTCTGAGTACCCAGCGATACCCCACATCATAGTCATCGCCAGCATGAACCTGTTCCTGTGTGGAGACTTCATCACTGGACAGCAGGTAGGAGCCGGCCTGAACGAATTAAGTGATGTACCCAGAAGCCTGCCCATTGCAGAAGCCTCTTCCCAAATCACGCGGCGCACACCTCACTCACATGCAGCGCACGGTCACGCAGTGCGCACCTCACACACACACAGCGCACGATCACGTGGCCTGCACCTCACTCACACAGCACACGATCACGCGGCGCGCACCTCACTCACACAGCGCACAATCACGCGGCGCGCACCTCACACAGCGCACGATCACGCGGCGCACACCTCACTCACACAGCGCACGATCACACGGCGCGCACCTCACACAGCACACGATCACGCGGCGCGCACCTCACACAGCACACGATCACGCGGCGCGCACCTCACAGCACACGATCACGCAGCGTGCACCTCACACACAGCGCACGATCACACCGCGCACCTCACACACACAGCGCACGATCACGCGGCGCGCACCTCACTCACACAGCGCACGATCACGCGGCGCACACCTCACTCACACAGCGCACGATCACACGGCGCGCACCTCACACAGCACACGATCACGCGGCGCGCACCTCACACAGCACACGATCACGCGGCGCGCACCTCACACAGCACACGATCACGCGGCGCGCACCTCACTCACAGCACACGATCACACCGCGCACCTCACACACACAGCGCACGATCACGCGGCGCACACCTCACACAGCACACGATCACGCGGCGCGCACCTCACACAGCACACGATCACGCGGCGCGCACCTCACTCACAGCACACGATCACGCAGCGTGCACCTCACACACAGCGCACGATCACACCGCGCACCTCACACACACAGCGCACGATCACGCGGCGTGCACCACACACACAGCGCACGATCACACCACGCACCTCACACACACACACAGCGCACGATCACGCGGCGCGCACCTCACACAGCACACGATCACGCAGCGTGCACCTCACACACACACAGCGCACAATCACACCGCGCACCTCACACACACACAGCGCAGGCACCAAGGAGTTTTGCCTGGTATATTCGGTTGCTGCTAAACATTCCTAGGAAGTTGAGAAGGTTCATCCTTGCTGATCGGTGATTGAAATTCAGCAACATCCCTGTGGCTCTGCAGTGTGTGCCAAGGTCAAATCAAATCATAACGACGTCCTCAATCACCTCCCTGTAAACCGGGTGCCAGCCAGGCCCGTGCTCACACTTCCTGAAACAAGTTCACCATCTGTGCCACCGATGCCAGACAGAGCTCCCTGCGACTCCGAAACGTGTTTCTCACTTCCCACAAGGGAGCCACTCTCCAGGAGCAGCTCCTGAGCACAAGGGCTACGGCTGGGGCTGGGGCAGGCTCAAGCATTCGTGCTGAGTTTCAACAGCCTGTGTGGCGAGCAGCTACTGCGGGACAGCACGTCACCTGGATGCTGAGACGGCGGAACAACATGAAAACATCCACCATGCCAGAAACGTCAGCCCACAGATGCTCCTAGAGGAAGATGCAGCGGACACGAAGGGCGGTATGAGAACAGGAGAAACACAGACAGCTGCCGCCACCACCGGCTCACACGCAGCCTCCGACATGAAAAGAAAGTGCTTCAAGAGCTTCCACTCCACTGGTCTGGCTTCCCTTCAACCAGAAAGGGGGCACAGGCACCCAGCAAGAGCCTGTGCTGGTGACACAGAATGTTCTTTCTAGAGCCCAGGGGACAGCCCCATCCTCTGAGCTGGTCACAACTGATGTCACCTTTTCCTTCTTGAAGGGACATGCCAGGATGCAGGGGAACAAGTTAAAAAGCTTTTCCTAATTTGAGGTGAGAGACACCACTGACCGCCACGATCAGCAACTTAGCGTCGCCTCCCCCGGTCTCATCTTCTTGGCATGCCCGTCGGGCCCAGGCGGGGGACTCCGGCGCCGCTGCTTCTTCTCTAGCTGCTGCTGCAGTCTCTCCTCTTTCTTCTTCAGGTAGGAGGTCACGTTGTCGAACGTGGCCTTGTAGAGACTGCTGAAGCTGGCGTCTGCGCCGGCAGAGCCTGTGATGGGGGAACAAGGACAGGTGCCAGGTGGGGCAGGAACATGGGACTCGGCCACCACAGCGGGCCCCCTGCAGCAGGGAGTTACCTCGTGACTCCCAGAGTCCTCGGTGGACCGTGGGGGGCGCCTTCTGGGACGGCTCCCCACGGTGCCCACCTCCTGGGACCCACACCCTGGCTGGACCTGAGGACTGGCTACTAACAGAACGGGGCAAAGATGAAAGAATGTAATGGAAACCAGGGCACCAAGGCTGGGCCTCCACCCCGCCAGCACTCTCTGCTTGCACGCCCGGAGAAAGCCACTACTGCACCATGAGCCGCCCTGTGGAGGGGCCCAGGTGGCAGGGGACCAGGAGCAGCAGCCTCTGGCCAACAGCCAGAGAGGCCCCCTGTCCTGCCGACAACCCAGACTGAGTGAAGTCGGGCCCTGCCTGGTGAAGCTGAGATGGCCACCTGCAGAGACACAGCTCAGCTGAGTCCGGACCCCTGACCCACAGCAACAGTGAGACAGTAAGGGTGGGGTGCCTTAAGGCATCGAGTGTGGGATAGCATGTTCTGCCGCCACAGGGAATGGACACGGATTTCATCTACTTTATCTAAGTGCCAAGGATTGGGGGCAATGACTGACCACAGGCACACGGAGACAGCCTCAGCCTGGCCAGGAAACCACAGGCCCAGCCGGTAACCCGCGCACCAGCGACTGCCTGAAGCCTGCCCATCCAGCAGGTGGCGCAGCCTCCCCGCCCCTCCAGCGACTCTGCTGCTTGTGGGACACTCTAGCAGCAGCCCTCCCCGGTCCCTCTCCCAACGCAGGCCCCCAAGTCTGCGCCGGGAACAGGCTGCTCTATCTATGGAACATCTCAGGAGAGCGAGCCCAGGCTTTGGCCTGAGACTGTTGTGCAAGGTGACACTCAACAGGTCTATGCTGTCCGTGGCCTAGAGCACGGGGGCCATGAGCACTGCAGATGCCCGGCCATGAGCACTGCCGCCTGCAGTCCCTGACACAGCCAGTGACAGGCCCACTCTGAAGTGTTCCTAAAGCAGATCCCAACCACGCTGGGGGGCCCAACCCTGCCCGTCTCAACCCTCAACATCCTAAGCAAAGCAGGAGGGAGAGAAGCCTCAGAGGCAGAGCCAGCGTGCCGCCACTCGGGGAGCCTGGCAGAAGGCGGCTGGGCCCCAATCAGCGGAAACTCCTCCGACCTCAGTGTGAATCCCTCCAGAGCTCCAAGGAACCTCAGTGCTCACTGCAGTGGGGTTTAGCTTTGCAAGACTTCAGAGCAGCAACTTCTTGTCGTGAATGAGGCACCTGGATTCCATGCTGGGCTAATCCATCCTGCAGACACCATCACCTCCAAGACTGCAAGGTGCTGGCACAACGACGCACCCAGAACTACAGTGTGTCGTGTCCCCAGAAGGCAGGGTAGAAAATGTTCGTCCAGCTCCTCCCTCAGCCTGGCTGCTCTCCTTCCTGCAGCCGCAGCCACGGGAGTTGCTGGCTAGATTCCCTCCCCTCAGCTGAGTGTTCCTGTCAGGACAGTGACCATCCTGCCCCTGCTCAGCCTCCTGAAGACCCCCGGGGCCTCTGGCTAGACCCCCACTAAACCTCCCAGTGAGGCCCTGCACTTACTGACGCCCACTGCAGTGGGATCAATTCCCTCAACACCATGGACCAGGCATGAGGCAGCACAGCACCAGCTCCCTCTGGGAGCCACCAGCTGCCAGCCCTGCCCTGGGGACCTTCAACGCCCAACTCTGAAGGCAGGTGCTCAGACCCTGAGCCCCCGGTTCCTAAGTGGCTCTCGTTAGCCTGACTCCCATGGGGGGCTCCTTCTTCTGCTGTGCGTCACCCACCTCCTGCCCTGCCCCGCCTTCTGGATGGGGACACACGCTTACTCTCCCTCTTTATCTGCACACCAGGTACCCCGGGCAGGTCACAGTGTGTGCTTCTGCTTTCTCTGGGGACCGCGCTGGGTGTGACCCCCAAGGGCAGCCTGCACCCGTGCTCTCACCTTCCAGCATGGCCCAGTTCCCACGAAGAACACCAGAGACTTTCTTTAACACGGTGCTCTCAGGAACAGACTGCAGGCGACAAACAGGAAATCTTCATCAGAAAGAGGCAGGCCTGGAAACCCAGCACCAGGACGCAACACATGCTGGCCAGAGAGGCTTGCAGGGGAGGTCCCCTCCTGGTGCCTGGGGACCCCCATTCACCTTCTGTGGAGACCTGGGGAGGCAGCCCCCGCAGCTGGCCCATGATGCCAGGGCAAGCTCTTCACATGCAGTTCATCAACCTCAGGGGCCAGCAGGTGCGACAGGCACCCACTGGGGACATCATGTGGCCTGCCACTTCTCAGGTAAAAAGAACTGGATGGCTTAAAAGTGCTTCCAGGTCAGGCGCAGTGGCTCATACCTGTAATCCCAGCACTTTGGGAGGCCAAGGCGGGCGGATCACCTGAGGGTGGGAGTTCAAGACCAGCCTGACCAACATGGAGAAACCCCGTCTCTACTAAAAATACAAAATTAGCCGGGTGTGGTGGCGCATGCCTGTAATCCCAGCTACTCGGGAGGCTGAGGCAGGAGAATCACTTGAACCCGGGAGGCGGAGGTCGCGGTGAGCCGAGATAGCGCCATTGTACTCCAGCCTGGGCAACACGAGCAAAACTCCGTCTCAAAAAAAAAAAAAAAGTGCTTCCAAAGTGCTCAACTGAGCTTTGGCAAATGGGTACCTACTCCACTCAACTCCACAGCAACCCTGTGAGACGCAGGGCGGGCAGGGGCATTGCTCCGTTACCAGGAGCGATGCAGACAAGGTACAGGGTTCGCCCCGTCCCCCAGCAAGGAAGCAGCTCGGCCCGCCGCCCTCGCCCAGAGACCCCACTGTCTCCCCAGAGGAAAGCAGCTCAGCCTGCCGCCCTTGCCCCCTCCTCTACCCGGGGCTCCACATGCTCCTGAGGACTCAGCCAGTGCCCCAGGCCCGAGGCTGTGCTAATCCAGCCTCCAAGTGTTAGTCCCACACACCCTTGCCACACTGAGTGCCAACTTCATCGCTAAGTGTGGTGTGGGGGGCCACACACTCACCCAAAAAAAGAACTGTTGCAGACATCACCACATGGGACAAGCCAGCCACGCCGGCCTGGCACCCGGCTCCCTTCACCCACGGTGGAAGCCCCAGCCACTGCCATTCAGGACACAGACCCTGGGCCCCAGAAGTGGCTGAGTTGAAAGAGGCTTACCCATGGACCCAAAAAACATAGCTGCCGCCCCACACCCCCAGGCTTATGGAAAGGCAGGGCATAGGACATCTGGAAGGTGCCGAGTCTCACCTGCCACTGGTCGCCCACAGGCCTGTAGAGCACCAGGGGGGCTTCCTGGCAGTCCTGGAGCACCCACAGCCCCTGGGTCTCCTCGAAAGCCACGTCCCACACTTGGTGCTGGAACGCCAGCTGCTGCCTGTACACCAACTGCTGTCTGCGGGCGTCCAGCTGGAAGATGTAGACCACAGGAGTGCTTGCCACGAAGAAAGAGAGCATGATTACTAGGACTGCAGGCCCACGGGCTCCGCTCTGCAGCCAGCACCCCAGACGGTGCAGCCCTCGCCGGTGCCACCTCAGGAGAGCCTACGCTGAAAGCCCCAGCTGCGCCACTCCCAAATGCCGGCGCCGGGGAAACCATGGGGTGACGTACACTTTTTTAAGTCCTAAGCTCTGGAGTGGCTCGTGGTGCAGCAATAGCTAACCAGCACGGTACAGGCAGGCAGGGCAGGAGGACGCAGGCCCTGGGCTCAGGCGCAGCTCTCCTCTCACACCTGCGTACTTCCAGAACGAGCTAAGAGACCTCCCCAGGCTGTCATAAGGACAAGATGAAAAGTGCCGAAAGCACCAAATAGAATACCTTTCCTGACACACACAAGTCACTCGGGAAGAAGCAGCAGAACTGCACTCCACCCCTAAACCCACCTTGTCAGCACCGCCAACCCCAGGGGGTTCCCATCCGACCAGCCCCGAGCCGGGAGTGAGGTGATGCCACCACGACTGGCCCAGGGGAAAGTCTGTCATCTCAGAAGGCCAGGCAGAGGCTGCTGGTGCTCTTTACGCCAGGGGAGTTCAACGTCAGGTTGAAGAGCGCTGGCTGAGAGGAGCCCTCACCCTCATGCAGCAGCAGTCATCAAAAGTGACATTCTCAGAGGGAGGTGCTAGACCAATACCACCACCGTTCAGGACCTCTTCATTGAGGACGTGGGCCAGTGGCCAACCCGCTAACTCTTCCCCCTGCAGGTCTGCAGAACCGGAGGCCATAGAGGTGCCGCCGCAGCTTACCCGTCGCACAGGAGCGCCACGCAGTTCTCCTGGCACCAGAATGCAATCCTGGACGCGGCAAACTTCTAAAAGGAGAAGAAGCCCATTAACTTCACGCCACCTGCAGGGGCCCGACGCCGGGCGCTCTGATCCAACAAGAGCAAGACCGAAGGACGCTCACGCCCCCACATATCAAGGAAGAGGAAACAGCACTGGAACATTCTGGAATCAGTGGGGAAAGGAGGGTAGCTGATTCCCTGTTTCCCAAGCAGATGACAAAAGCCCCCCAGTGGTTCTGGCACTCCCTGCAGGGCCTGCGACAGCCTCCAAAGCCAACAAGATAGGTCAGACAGTGAGGAGAAGAGGGAGCGGAGGACACAGGGGAAAGGAAGAGATGAGAGCTACACATACAACTGCCCTGTGAGCTCCCACAGTTCCTGGCAGAGGAAATATTAAAAATGAAGAAGAGGCCGTGCACAGTGGCTCACGCCTTTAATCCCAGCTACTCAGGAGCCTGAGGCGGAGGTTGCTGTGAGTCGAGATAGCACCACTGCACTCCAGCCTGGGCAAGAGTGGGACTCCATCTCAAAAAAAAAAAAAAAATTTTTTTTAAATGAAGGAAACTTCCAGGAACCTGAGTCCACGTGAAGCATGAAGGAAAAGGCCTGGTCCTCTCTTACACAGCTGCCTGGCAGGGGGCAGAGGCCACACCACACAGTTCTCTAGGAAATGGAACAGACCGTTTGGCGGGAAACTTTGCCAAGGCCTGGGCTTTCAGGGTGTCATGAGATTGCTCCAAGCTGGCCGGAGAATGCTGGAGTGGGCCTGGCCCCACCCCTGCCCCACCTGGCTGGCAGACCCACAAAGGTGCATGCTCAAGCACCTCCATTCCTTCCACTTCAGAGCAGGATTAGAGGCCTTCCTGTACATTAACTGTTTGCATGCAACAGGGAGACAAATTATTTCCCACTGACATGACGAGCCACCTTCAGAATTTGAAATACGAGATTTCCCTCACACAGGAGGAAGTCTGGCATTGAGAGCAAACGTTTCCAACGGCGAAGTGACTTTTCCACTCAAGTCAGGCGACTGCCGGTGTCTACAAGCACTCAGTCGCCCAGGAGTGAACAGAAGCAGCTACCTGGGGGGCCTGGGGGTCCACCAGCTCCTGCAGACTGGCCAGGTGACAGCAGTGCAGCTGGCGGCCGCTCCTGTACTCCCAGAGCCTCAGGGTGCCGTCCTGCACAAACCAAACACACAGGTTAGCACATGGTTGTGGGGCTTCCGTCAGGTAGGGTGACAGAGAGGACAGCTGCGTGTGGTCGGGGTTCCACTCCGTGACAGCCATGCCACCCACCCTCAGGAATTAAAGGCTCTCTGCTCTGACTGTGTAAATCGCTCATGCAAATCATCAAGGACAACGGTGGGGAACGGAAGGTGACCGATTCCCTGTTTCTCGAGTGCCAATATGCCCAGGCAGATGACAAAGCCAATGAGGCAGATCCTAGCAAAATAAGCCAAGGCCGCTAGATGGCCAGGTTGTCATCCGCCAGGAGGCCAGACCACATCTGCTGTGCCCGGGCCGGGCATAGACACGGGCATGCACACAGGTCTGCGCAGACACTTCAGCAATCATGCATTCCCACGGGGAGACACGTGTGGGCTCATGAGCTCGTGGCCACTGCTCCACTTCACTAAGAATGACAGGAAGGACATGGCCATCAGCAACCGTCCCACGACAACTGGTACAACCCTTCAGGAAGCCGACACAGGAACCAAGAGGCTCCACGCTCTAAAACCATCATCAATGGAAAAAAGCGTTTCTCTTTTTTTTCTTGGTTTTATCTGTTGTTATTTTTTTGTTGTTTAATTGAAATGGGGTCTATTCCACACTGCCCACTGCACTGCAGTGGCTATTCACAGGCTTGCTCCTGGCTCACTGCAGCCTCTGACTCCCAGGCCCAGGCAATCCTCCCGCCTCAGCCTCCGAGTAGCTGGGACTACAGGCATGAGCCACCATACCTGGCTTAAAAAAAATTCATTACAGCACTAATTCAGTGGAGAGAAATAAATCAATACTCATTAAATCTAATGAGAGAGTGTCTGTGCACTATTTGTAAGTATTTTTAAATGACTAAATGAAAAAGATGAAAAGTAAATACCCCAAACAGCTAACAGTAGATGCATATCCTCTGGGTGCCGAGGTAAGAGTGGATGTATGAATGCACACACACACGCATGCACATACACACGCACACACACACACCTTTCTACAAATGTGGCAGATAAACATGGAGACCAACACACACATCTACAGGCATTTCACTCACCCCCAAACCTCTCTACGAAGACAAGAAAAAGATGTTTAATAACCATGAACCCACTAAGACAAAGACAACAGGCAAGAAGAGAAGGCAGCCGCGGAGAGACAGCAAGGAAACCTGGGGGCTGGAGGCCAGGGAACAAATGCACCAGCCACAGAGAAGCCCGAGAGGTGCCAGGACCTGCCAAAGACCAAACCGGGCCAGGCAGCCTGAAGACCAAGGTGGTGAGGGGAGCTGTCAAATGTCTTTACAAAGAGAAACGGGACCTCCCTGATGCATCCTCAGCCCCAAACTCCAGGCCAGCAGAAGGCTCTGGGGAAACGGAGCCGAGGGGCCCCTGTCTCGGGGATGCCAAATACTCACTGAGAAGAGAGTCACCTAGCCCCTTCGCACTCACCTCCCAGAGCCCCAGGGGACAGACCTGGGCAAGAGTGAAGGCCGGGACACTGACCACCCAGAAGAGACCGACTGACCCACACGTTCTACGGAGTCCACAGGCAAGGGGCTGCTGCCCACAGACACCTGCTCTGAAGCCCCTCGGGCCCCACCCTGGGTGCACACACCCAGCCTCTGAGGCCGGCTGGTGCTGACTCCCATCACACACAGGCAGATGGCATCGCCAGACATCCGAGGAAAACCTCCAATGAGAAAGGCAGACAACACACTCCAGAGAAGGCAATCAAACACAAGGCCAGGAAGAAATTGAAGAAAGAAAAGTCCACGCTCATCTCAGTGAGATAAGAGACACGTGCACTATCCGAGAATGGGTGGCTGCAAAAAAGAACGTGCCGAGGGCAAGAAAGAACTAAAGATTCAAAATAATCCTAATAAAACTCAAGTCTCCACAGAAGGCTGGAAAGTAAAGTTGAGGCAATCTCCCAAGAAGTAAGACTATTCCTAAAGGAGTAGAAATACGAGATTGAACAGGAAAGAAAAAAAAACAGAGAATTATGGCCCAGCATGGTGGCTCTCGCCTATAATCCCAGTGGGCGGAAGTGGGTGGATCGCTTGAGGTCAAAAGTTTGAGACCAGCCTGGCCAAGCTGGCAAAACCCCATCACTACAAAAGTATAAAAAATTAGCGGGGCATGGTGGTGTGTGCCTGTAATACTAGCTACTCGGGAGGCCTGAGGTGGGAGGATTGCTTGAGCCCGGGAGGCAGAGGCTGCAGTGAACCGAGATCACGCCACTGCACTCCAGACTGGGAGACAGAGCAAGACTCTGTCTCAAAAAAAATAAGAATCAGAGCATTAAAGTGGTTCAACTAACACAAGCTTTAGAAAAAGTGAGCAAGAGGCAGGGGTAGAGAACAGAAGGTAATCATGTAAGAAAATGCCCCAGGTCGGAGGACACTGAAAATCACTGGCTGTGTGGCCAACTCCCCTCTGGGGCCCACCAAGTCACCTCAGTGGCTTTCACATCGCACACTGGAGCAGAGAAAGTCCTCCAGGCAGAAGGAGAGCCCAGCTGTCACCCCACGGACCCACGGCAGACAGCTGCAGGTTTCTACAGGAAGCGCGCGGGAAAACCCACAGGAGCAACCAGCTGGAGAGCACACTGTGCAAGGCCTCCCAAGCTCCGAGGGAAACCGTTTCAACCAGGACTTCTACGCCAAACTAACAACCAGGCCTCAAAGGAGATTAAAGGTATTTCCAGAAAAGCAAAGTCAGAAAACACTGACCCTCCTCGCGCCTTTTGGCAGCTACCAGATGACGTGTTCCACTCAAACAAAGCAGTAAGCCATGAGGGACAGATGGGGCCTGGGGAGGCTTCTCTGCCCGTGGAAGATTTTCCTCATATTATGAAAAAGACTGGAAGGTGCACAACAAACCGCTGACGAAGCCTGACCCTGACCCTGACCCTCTGGAGATTATGGCCACACTTTTCTTCTTCTCTCAGGTCGCGTGGCTGTGTGTTAATTTGAAGAGCAGGAACAGGAGGCTGTGAATGAAGCCCAATCAGAGAAGAAACATAGAAGCGGCCAGAAGGTCCATCAGCCATCCTGCCACACCACACAAAGGACCAACACAGACAACACAGGGAAGGACAGCGAAGAGGAAGGTGGTGGTGTGCGGGCAACAATTCCGCAAGAGGACAGAATCAGACCCTGTGAGGAATCCAAGGCCCTCACTTTGGCAAAATCACTAACAATCCTTCTAACACATTCCTTAGAGAAAACACGTCTCTCATCACTAAACTGTAAGGCTTCCAGGACCCAATTGCTGGGACACAGAAGCTGTACCCAACAAGCAAAAATGCACTGTGGTAACCCGGGTGCGGGCGCTCGAGCCTGTGGTCCCAGCTACTTGGGAGGCCAAGGAGGCAGATCGCTTGAGCCCAGGAGTTTGAAACCAGCCTGAAAAATGTAGCAACACCCCATCTTAAAAAAAAAGAAAGAAAGAAAAAAAGGAAAGAAAAGGAAAAAAAATGCAGCCCGTAATGGGATGGACTGAGACCCCTCCAAGAGTCAGAGAAGCCCCCGTCTACTGTTTCTACCTGAGATCCTGATCCCCGATACCATCGTAGATGCAGCAGCCGCCCTCAGAAGGGAGCCTTCCACACACCCGTGCTAGTTCATCCCACAGGCGAACACACACGCACCTACGCACACCCCACACGCAGTCCTGAGTGAGCGGCCGCAGGCGGGGAGCGAGCCGCAGGCAGCTCTAAGATCTAGTGGACAGCCACAGCCAGCCAGGGGCCAGCGATCCACAGGGGCCAGGTCCAGGAGGCGCCCACCCCACCCTCCCTGCAGGCTCAAGAATCCAGAGGTGAGTGACGCTGGGCAGAACACTTACCCCAGAGGAGGACAGAAGCAGCCCGGGCTGAGTTGGCACCACGGAGATACGGCTCACAAACCTGTGAGGGCGAGAGAGAGCGGCAGAGTCAGCGAGCCCAGCGCCCGCAGGGACCGGGAGGCCTGGGGAGGCCGCCTGTTCATCTAAGGAAGAGAAGCCTCTGCCCTAAACCCCCTGATCCAATAAAAACAGCCAACATGGGAAGTAGCTGTTAACCCTAACCTGGTTAGGGTTAACCAGGTGGAGGCCCCTGGACGCAGTCGGGGAGGTGAGTGAGGTCATTCCTGGGTCCCCAACAGCACAGCAACCTCTAACCCAGGCCGCTCCTCAGCCATGCCTGCCAGAGACCCAAGCGCCTCTGTGCCCCTCTGCAGCCCCCTCTGCAGCAGCTCTGCTCAGCGGCACCTCTACAGGCCCCCCAGCACCCACCCTGGCCCAAGGCACCTGCACTGTGATGAAAGGAGCCTTGGGGGAGACTCAAAGACACGGGGGAGACTCAAAGACACAGCACACAGGGAGGAGGGTGGAGGGAGGAGGGCAGCCAAGCCCACAGGTTCCTATCAGGGTCCTGACGGCCCCTCAGCAACAACTCTGAGTGACCTGGCCAGACAGCTGTCTCTGCTGAGCCCGGCCCAGTCCTCCTGTGAGGGGTTGGCCTGCAAGCACAGGACTCAAAGTCACAGGGACCCTCCCATCAGAACAGCCATGAAGAATAACCCAAGCAGCCCAGCTCGCCTGGAAACCCATCTTGGCTCGGGCACCTACAAGGGTGACAAGGCCCCTTTTCTTCCCACTCTAACACAGTGGCCTCAAGCAATCCCTCATGCACGGGGTTCCCGGGGACCCTGGAATGGGGTGGCCCGTGAGCCTCACTCCATCTCCACCAGTCATGGCCTCTGCTACCTTGGGCTAGCCATCGCGTGAGCCGGGCCCGGTCCCGCAGCCACCGCCCTGCACGGCACCACAGCACCAACAGCAGCCCACAGCCCAGGACAGATAGGGCACAGGACGCCCCGTGCAGAGGGCACGAGTGGCCTCACAGTTCTCAACGGTTTGAAAGGCCGGGAAACCAGTTTCCAGGGGTCTGAAACAAAATCTCAAAACATAATTCGTCCAATCACTGCAGTTATCTACTGAGCACCTACTCATGCCAGGCACCACGCTGAGGGCTGCACACACCAACAGGCCCAACAGACCCACAGAACCACTCAGACGCAGCGGGAGACGGCCAGTGAACCAACTGATACTGCAATGTCAGCAAAGGGCACAGAACAGCACATCCAGCAGAAACACACCTCCAGCCACACACAGGGGCCACGGGGCTTTGTTTTCAATTTGCCAGCCACTATGTTGAAAAGTAAACGGGCAGGCCGGGCACGGTGGCTCACGCCTGTAATCCCAGCACTGTGGGAGGCCGAGGCGGGCGAATCATGAGGTCAGGAGATCAAGACCAGCCTGGCCAACATAGTGAACCCTCGTCTCTACTAAAAATACAAAAAAAAATTAGCCGGGCGTGGTGGCAGGGGCCTGTAGTCCCAGCTACTTGGGAGGCTGAGGCAGGAGAATCGCTTGAACCTGGAAGGCAGAGGTTGCAGTGAGCCAAGATCACGCCACTGCACTCCAGCCTGGGCGACACAGCTAAGAAAGAGAAAAGAAAGGAAGGGAGGGGAAGGGTGGGGTGGGGAGGGGGGAAGGAAGGGAGGGAGGGAGGGAGCAGTTGAAGTTAATTTTAATACTATGTTTTTACTCAATACTTCTAAGTGATGAAGCATTTCCCTAGAAGGGTGAGAAGCGTGTTCCCGTCAGCAGAAACCTCCCTCACGTGCCTGGCGAGGCAAGGGAGCTGCAGAGACCCCAGCGAGAGATGGTGAAGGGGAGGGGCCGGGGGGCTGCAGGCCAGAGAACTCCAGAGCTGGATCACTAGCGAACTAAATGCAAGTCAGAAGAAGCTATCCTGAGGCACACACCAGTGACTGGCCTTCTTAAACAGGAAATGTTTGGATCAAAACCAGGAAAACACAGGCAACCTCGGCACTGAATTTCCTCCCTCCAATTTCTTCCACTGCCTCAAATAATATATTTTAAAACATTTCAGCCAATTACACTAAGCGTTTTTCCTTTGTGTAAATTCTAATGAGCTTTTTGTGTGAGACAGGAGCGGGCATTCAGAAACACCTCCACATGGGTCCTGGCAGAGTGTGCTGCCACGAGAGACGCCGCCACCTGGCTGCAGAGGCCGCTTAATTCTTGGACAGCTGAAATCACTAAAGTTCATCCTCGCCCCCAACACCCCCACCACCCACCAGCGAACAACTCCCGGGCATGGTGCAGGGGTCTCCACACTGAGACAGGGGTTTCCCGGAAACAAGCCCTTCCTGTTCGGTCAGGCCCAATGCCAAGTTACTGGCACAGACTCCGGGTAACAGCGCAGAGTGAACCCCACCCTTTCAGGGCTTCTGCAGGCAGCACCACGGCGCCTGCAGTGACCAAACACCAAGCACGGGGGCTGCTGTCACCCGCGTGGGGCCTCGCCAGCTACAACGGCACCTGCTGAGCCGCAAGCTGACGCTGTTTTCAAACAGACCTTCTTTCTGCTGGAGGGGCAGGAAGGGGCACTCACTCTGTGTGCCCCAAGCAGAAGGACTCGATGCTATGGGGCGCCGCGGCCCAGCTGACTCGGATCTTCTCGTCCCGGTCGGCAGTGAGGATGAAGCGGTCATCAGGACTCACAGCCTGCATCACCAGGGGCCAGAAAAGAAAAAGCCGCTCACCTGAGTCTTCCCGAATCAAGTCCCTCATGGAAGAAGGCAGGGAAGCTGCAGCCTGGCCGCCAAGAGGATGAGGCCTTCGAGGACAGACCAGCGTGGCTCCTCCCCTCCTCCCGTCCCTACGTCTAATTGGTGGCCCTCATTCTCCCTCCCCAGAGGGTCCCTGGCCACCTCTAGCCCTCACTCCTCAGTGCTAGAGCAGGCTTCTGGGGTGGGGCAGTGCCACCCCTGCCTGCCTGTCTCCCGCACCTTGGCAAATCCAGGCCCCACGCCCATTTCCACCCGCCACAGGCCTGCTGCACCCTCCTGCCCAACACTGGGTTGCCTTCCTTGCCTTCCTGTCACACATGTCCCCACACCCATCTGTCACCAAGTCCCAGTGAGGTTCCCTTTGATACCCCACACTCGCCATTGTTCCTGACTGTCCCTGTGTGCGTCCAATCCCAGCTCCACCACCCGGGCTGTGGGCCTGCGCCCTCTGGGGCTCCAGGTGTGTGTCTGTGACACACGGGGCACACAGAGTGGGGTGACAGGGGCTGCTGGGAGCAGTGCTGAGGTGATGCTCCTACAGCACCTGGCACAGCTCCCGGCCAAGGAGGCGGAGCCAGAGGCTCGTGGCTGCACCTGCTCCTCCCACACCTTCACTTCCAACCTGGGGCCACCTACTGACCACCTCCTGTCTCACTTGCCTTCTTCATTCTCCCTGCTGTCTGCTCCACCTTCCTAAATCCTGTTCCCACCACTCCCCTGCTCCCAAATCTGCAGAGGGCTGTCCCTGCTACGGGGGAGCCCCATTCTCCCCACCAAACGCTGGGGCACAGACCGGGCAGACGTTGATTCAGCCTGTACCCCACATACCATGTCCCCCACGTACTGCGTCTAACAGCATGGACAGGTGCCTGAGCCTTGACAGGGTAGACATTGACTCAGCGTATGCCCCACGTGCCACGTCCCCCATGTACCGTGTCCCACACCTGCCATGTCCCCCACCTACCACGTCCCCCACCTACCACATCTAACAGCATAGACAGGTGCCCCAGCTCTAGACGGCCACACCCGTGTGGCTCCAGCACCGAAAAGGAGTAGACGTCTCCAGACTTGTCGGCCACCAAGACCTTCTCCTCCGAGGCTATGAAAGTCAGGGCTGTACACCTCCTTGCCACGGTCCTAGAAGGCCAGAAAGACACCCCCATTAGCTTCCAGGAGCAGCGCAGGGTCCTCGACAGCCTGGCAGGCCACGTGGGCGGTGGCAGGCACCGGTACCTGGCCATATGCTCTGTTTTCCAGCTGCTGAAGGTGGTGCCAAAAAAATTAAGCAATGCTAACAACTGGAACAAAGCCAATGCCTTCGACAAATTTACTTTCACAACGTTTTTCTTTAAGAAAATTGCTCCTAGCCGGGCGCAGTGGCTCACACCTGTAATCCCAGCACTTTGGGAGGCCGAGGTGGGTGGATCACAAGGTCAGGAGATTGAGACCATTCTGGCTAACACGGTGAAAACCCCGTCTCTACTAAAAATACAAAAAATTAGCCAGGCGTGGTGGCGGGCGCCTGTAGTCCCAGCTACTCGGGAGGCTGAGGCGGGAGAATGGCGTGAACCCGGGAGGCGGAGCTTGCAGTGAGCCGAGATCCCGCCACCGCACTCCAGCCTGGGGCGACAGAGCGAGACTCCGTCTCAAAAAAAAAAAAAAAAAAAAAAAGAAAAGAATAGAAAATTGCTCCTGATGGTGGGATCTAGGTGGTGGATAAATGCGTGACAAAATCCTCAACTTTCCTGTGTGTTTGAAAACTGTCATCAAGAAATGGGGGAATGGTTCCTTAACCCCAGAGTCTTCATCATGCATTGAGGGAGACAACGGCCCTCTCCATAAACGCTGAGTGTGCTGGGGGCCACTGTCAAGGACAAAGGCAGGCACCAGTCTCCAGGGCCCCCCAGCCTTGCCGCTCCCCTGACCCACACTGACCCCTGCTGCTCGTTCTGCTGCGTCGAACCAGGAGCCTCAGACAGAGAGCCGTGCCCCATGCCCTGCAGAGGGATGGAGGGGCCTGGCCACCCTCAGGGCAGGACCCAGCCCAGGGCAGCAGTGAGGCAGCACCCTACCCTCCTCGGGAGGAAGCTCGGTTATCCAGCGTGTGAGAGGCCTGCGCTCCCCCCAGTCCACATCCACATCAGCACATCCATGAATCCAACCCCGACCCAGAGTCATGGATGCACCAGAGTTCCGGATGCAGCACGTTTGCACACTGCTTCAGCAAGAACCAAAGTCACAGTTCGCTCCCTCTCCTTCGCCAGGGCTCAGGGCTACACTACTTCCTGGGGCTCTCATTTCCACATCATTTCTACTGGAATCGTCCCGTATTTATGTCCTCTCCACAAGGCAGGGACCCATATGTTCTATTTTACATAGATATGAGTTGTAGCACAGCTTCCCACACACGCAGTTAGCCACAGGGCCTCACTACAGAACAGCAGCCAGCCCTGCTTCCCCACCCCCAGGGCTGTGGCAGCACACACTGCCCAATACGCAGCCAACACCAGGCAGACAAGTACAGGGCGCCCGGCCCACTGCGGCTGGAAATTGAGATGGAAGCTTCAGGAACGCTGTCCTCAATGAGGCCCCTATGTTTCTCTCAGGGGCAGAGGGACTAAAAGACAGAAAAGGGCAGGCAGGACCTTTGGGCCACACCCCAGGCTGGAAGCAGCATCCCTCCTCCTCCCTCACAGCTGTGCAGCAGAGCTGCAGAAGGGAGGCAGAAGGGAAGTATAACGGGGTAAACACAGAGAAAACAAGGACAAAGAAAGATAATTACGCTCTGGGGCAAGATTAATCAGAATTCTCAGGGTGCACTGCAATTTAAACAAACAGCCCTGCACTGCACCAGCGACACAGCCCCCAATGTCCGATGGGCTCATTAAGCAGCTGCCACAAACACGACCATGGTGGCACAGAGGAGCAGCCCAAGAGGATGCCACAGGGAGGGGGGATGGACTTGGACTCACAGGGCGCTCATCCCCCCAGCCTGGCTGGAAGGCGTGTGGCACAGATGGCCCCCGACACCGTGCCTCCTGCCCAGCTCAGCAGAGGGCACTGCTCCGCGTCCCTTTGTCCTGCCCCAGCCGGAGGCTCCCAGCCTCTCCAGCTGGGCTTATCCTGGCACCGATTCTAGGACGCAGCTGAGCCTTACTCGCAGGCTTGGGTGCTAGGATCCAAGGGAGGTCACAGAATGGGGCAGGTCACTGGACCAATGGCAAGCCGGCCTGTCACCCTAGCTGAGGCACAACCCCGCCCGCCCTCCAACCCCCAGCCTGTGCAGGGTCTCGGGTCTCGGGTCTCAGCACTCCCTCCACAGTCACTGGGTTCAGGGCCCAGAGACCAGCAGAACCTAGCAAGTAACCACCCATCTCCACACCCTCCGTTCTCTGCCAGGAGTCGAGTGGCTGAGCCCTGAACTCCCAGACTGAGTTGGCACTGCCCCAAGCCCCCCTCCAGAGAGCCGCCTGGGCAGCCCCAACAGGGCACTGAGGACACCAGGCACCATCCACACCCACACTCCAGCAGCCAGGTGCTCTCTCTCCACCCCCTGGGCAGAGCGAATCAGATGGTTCTCTGGCTCTGCCTTTCCCACGTGCTGCCGTGGCTCTCACAGTTGTTTTCGGAAACACAGACTCCACTGGGAGGATTTCTCCCTCATAAACACACATGTCAAAATCAATGTATCACTCGTCACCCTGTGTCCTCATCTTCGGCTTGGAAAACCTGGCCTCAGTCCCTCGGGCCAAGAGTCTCCTGACTGCCCAGGTGGCAGGCCCTCCGTCCCTTGCGGTTCTAAACTGCTACCTGGGAAAGAATCGTTGCTGCCCACAACTTCCATCTTGGCTACGCCTCAAAACCCTTCAACAGGAAGCTTCCCAGCAGCAGCACAGTAACAAAGCAACCATGGGACAGAGCCTAGGGTCTCGCCCAGCTCAGGGGCATCCTGCAGCGGTGCAGGGCCTCAGTGAAATGCAGAGAGGCTAGGAGTACATGGAACCTCTAAAACTGAATGGAGGTGGATGTGCTAAGCGTGGGCGGTTTTCTGGGGAGCGGGTGCATCAGATCTAAGAGTCTGAGATCTAAGAGGCATAAAAAGCCTCCAGGTGTGGGGAGCAGCCCCCATGTTTGCGGACCAGCCACAGGGTGCTGCCTGCCAGCTCAGCATGGTTCCACTCACCCTAGTCCTCTCCTTGAAAGCAGCTCCTGATAAAACTCACCCTATGCCCCTCTCCCTGCCCCACTCGCATCCCCCAAACCTACTCCTCCTGCCACAATAATCCCCTCCAATTTCTCACTGAGAGAAAGGGTAACAATTTCACTCCACCCGATGCTGAAAAGTTCACAAACCCACAATTCTAAAGGAATTTTAAAAAGATTATTGAGGAATTTGCCAAGAGATGTTGAAAGTGGCAGTAACTTCACAACTGTACCCACTGTCCTGCAGTTCAACTAGAGAAAGGGGAGGCAGCAAGGCGTGCCCTACACCAAGGTCAGGAGAAACCCCAAGCCACACCATCGAGGCGGGATTTTGTAATCTGCTGCCTGGACTGCATCAAATCACATGGTCCATCTTCCACACCACCTAAGGCAAACATTTCCTACACGAAGTTATACTGCTGACATCACTTTCAAAACCAAGAGCAGGCCGGGCGCAGTGGCTCACGCCTCTAATCCTAGAGCTTTGGGAAGCCAAGGTGGGCAGATCACCTGAGGTCAGGAGTTCAAGACCAGCCTGGCCAACATGGCAAAACCCCATCTCTACTAAAAATATAAAAATTAGTCAGGCGTGGTGGCTCATTCCTATAATCCCAGCTACTCAGGAGGCTGAGGCAGGAGAATCGCTTGAACCCAGGAGGTGGAGGTTGCAGTGAGCCAAGACCGTGCCACTGCACTCCAGCCTGGGTGACAAAGAGACACTCCGCTCCACCAAAAAAAAAAAAAAAAAAAAGTGAACGCACAGGTAAAGGGGCACTGCCAAGAGCCAAACACTGCTCTTTGCTCACATGCTGCAGGCTGCCCATCCCTCATCCCAAATGCTCGGGACGAAAAGTGCTTTGCACTTCAGATTTGTTCAGGTTTTGGAATATTTGCAAATACTTACTGGCTCAGCATCCCTAACCTAAAAATCCAAAATCCGAAACATTCCAGTGAGCATTTCCTTTGAGCATCTTCCCTATGCTCACAAAATTTCGGATTTTGGAGGATTGTGAATTTCAGATTAGGGGTACTTAAACTAGATGCACTGCCCACTCTTGGACTTGTGCTTTTTTTTTTCTTTGTAGATACGAGATCTCACTATGTTGAGGCCAGACTGGCCTCGAACTGCTGGCCTCAAGGGATCCTCTCACCTTGGCCCCTCAAAATGCTGGGATTACAGGCATGAGCCACCATGCCAGCCTCCCAGAGTTTTACCAGGTGCTTCCATAAAGAGAATCACACCAGCACACAACCTTCAAAAGACGAGTCAACACAGCAAGACATCTCCCTCTTGGCAAAGCACCTACAACCAAGGATGAAGAGGCCCCCCACCCGCCCAGCCTGCAGCGGTATCTGCATCCACCACGAGTCCCAACTCATGGAGCTCTCAACCTCAAATGACCTCCTCCAAGAAGCCAACTGCCACAGGCAACCACATTGAGTGGAGAGAATTCTAGATTCCTCCCTCCTCTGGGCCATGCACGATGCCAGGAGCAGAGGCCCCGTCCCTCTGGAGGAGTCAGAACCCCTGGAGGAGCCCTGGGCCTCCGCGCTTCCATCAGGGTGAAGAAGCTCCACTGTTAGGAACCAGGACACAGCGGGCAGGCAGACTGGACATCCCCTCTCTCCCAAGTTCAAAGTGAGACACTACCTCTGGACAGCAAGCTCACATTGAAGTAAGGTGACATTCCACCCACGTCTCCATCTTTCTGGCAACCTCAGAACTTCACAGCCGCAGCACTGTCCAGACTTGAAAGAGTCAGCGTCTTCAAGACACGAGTGAGCTCCCTGCCCGCTCACCCCCACCACCAGCCAGGCCTACGGCACACACGGCCAGACCCAGCCTCCCCTACCCTCTGCAGGCAGTGGCTACTCCTCAAATGGTGTCTGGTACCAGACATCAAAAGCCTTGGCACAGGGTACACCCTCTGCATAGTGAAGAATTAACCTTGCCTTTGGCCTCATCTCCAAGAGTAGGGGCCTTGGGCCCCACAGGCAGCCTAAGTACGTGATTTAGGGCAGGGGCCTGGGGCCACAAGGTGTCCACTCCACCTCTGGAGGGGCTGGGAACTAAAAGTCAGCCACCCCCACAGCATGTGATCAACCCCAAGGAAACCGCTGGACACCAAGGCTTGGGAAGCTTCGCCGTGTCTGTTGTCACACATTGGTGCCAGTAAACCCACACTGTCCACACCTCTGCTGTCCCAGTTGCTCTGGCTCAAACTTCCCGAAGTTTAAAGGCAGGAAGAGGTACAAGGAAACACTAGCATTTGAGCAGTGGAACAGTGCAAACAATGTAACAACTCAGCTACAGGGAATGACACAGTGTTGTCAACACTGCCCTGGCGGGGGGGAACAGGCTATAGGCTAGCACATGCCACCACTACAGTGTAACACATGCAAATCCTGTAATCCATCTGCAGAGAGGAGGAGGAGGGCCTGGCCCCAGTGCTCATCCCATACTCTGGCTCTGGGTGGTGAAATTCAGGGTGGTTTTTGTTCTTGCTCTCATTTTGTACTTCTCAGTGGTTTCCAATTTTCTGTACGGACCAAAACCAAAGGATAAAAAAGGCAAAAGGTAGCATGAGAGGACACCGAACTGTACTCCAGGGGAAGCAGACAAGTGAGAATTCACTCCCAACTTCTACAACCCCACTCACCATAGCTGAACGGGAACCCACACACTCCACTGTTGTCTAAGTAACTGGATCACGTCTGAGATCCGTGTACACATCGGCACGTGGATCTCAGCTCTGCACTTGTTCTTGACCCCAGGGCTTTGAAGTTTTGTCAGCTAAGGCAAGGGTATTGGAAAATGCTAATCCAGTCTCAGTGGTTACCGGTGCAGCTCACCTTACACACCTGTGCCACAGAAAGGCCGTGTGAGAAAGGCCATGTTGAGAGCCACACTTTGGGAGATGGGCTTATTTTGTAAAACTAAAGTGTCCAAATATAAAGAGCTCCTACAAATAAACAACACCCCAATGGAAAAACATAGGATATGGAAAAAAAAAAAGTTTACAAAACACAAATGATTCTTAAGTATATAAAGAGTTGCTCTTCTGGCCAGGCGCCAGTGGCTCACACCTGTAATCCCGGCACCCTGGGAAGCCGATGTGGGTGGATCACCTGAGGTCAGGAGTTCAAGACCAGCCTGGCCAACATTGTGAAACCCCATCTCTACTAAAAAAATAGAAAAAATTAGCCGGTCGTGGTGGTGCATGCCTGTAATCCCAGCTACTCGGGAGGCTGAGGCAGGAGAATCACTTGAACCCAGGAGGCGGAGGTTGCAGTGAGCCTAGATCGTGCCATTGCCCTCCAGCCTGGGCAACAACAGCGAAACTCCATCTCAAAAAAAAAAAAAAATGCTGACCACCAGTAGAGGGATAGTCAAGAAAACTGCTGTAGCTGGGCTCAGTGGCTCACGCCTGTAATCCCAACATTTTGGGAGGCCAAGGTCAGCGGATCACCTGAGGTCATGAGTTCAAGACCGGCCTGGCCAAAATGGCAAAACCCCATCTCTACTAAAAAGACAAAAATTAACTGGGCATGGTGGTAAGTGCCTGTAATCTCAGCTGCTCGGGAGGCGGAGGCAGAAGAATCGCTTGAACCCGGGAGGTGGAGGTTGCAGTGAGCCGGGATTGGGCCACTGCACTCCAGCCTGGGTGACAGAGCGAGACTCTGTCTCAAAACAAAGAAAGAAAGAAATCACAGAGCATATGGCCTAGCCCAGATGAAATGAATCACAAAGTCTGTGCTTTCACAAGACACCCAAGCGGCTCTTGTGCACTATGCCTATGCCAAAGCTCAGCCAGGGCCTTTACTTTAGGAAAAGAATTACCAGGCCAGGCGCAGTGGCTCACTCCTGTAATCCTAGCACTTTGGGGGACTGAGACAGGTACATCACCTTGAGGTCAGAGTTCGAAACCAGCCTGGCCAACATGGTGAAACCCCTTCTCTACTAAAAATACAAAAAATTAGCCAGACGTGGTGGCACATGCTTGTAATCCCAGCTACTTGGGAGGTTGAGGCAGGAGAATTGCTTGAACCTGGGAGGCAGAGGTTGCAGTGAGCTGAGATCACGCCATTGCACTCCAGCCTGGGAAACAAGAGTGAAACTCCGTCTCAAATTAAAAAAAAAAATTACCATCAGATTCCCTTAGATCATTTCATTTTTAACTTTTGGGAGTCCAAGCCCCCTTTGAGAATCTCATGTGAATTATGAAAGCTCTCTACAGCAGCCAGTGTCCGAAAGGCAAAATGAACTGTTATGTGCTTAACTGAATCCTCCAAACCACAACTCCTATGTTGAAGCCCTGACCTACCTAGGACCTCAGAATGTAACTGTATTTGGATAGGACCTTTACAGAGGTGAAACAGAGGTCATTGGGATAGCCCTGACCCCATCTGACCAGTGTCCTTTCAGGAACAGGAAATGAGGACATAGACACAAAAGGACGACTCTGTGAGGACATAGGGAGAAGACGCCATCAGCAAGCCAAGGAGAGAGGCCTCAGAGGAACCAGCCCTGTCCTGCCAGCCCCTTGATCTTGGTTTTCCAGCCCCTACAACTGTGAGAAAATTGTTATTTAAGGCCCCTAGTCTGTGGTATCTTGTTGGGCAGCCCAAGCAGACTAGGACAACTACTATCTTCTTTCAACACTGAGAGGTGAAAACCTGTCCATCCCTCCTTCCCACAGGTTGTCCAAGAAACCCAAAGTCAAGGCCAACCTACTAGAAAGCCCCTGCCACCTGCAGAGATCCCTGTGGAGGGGCTCAGAGCAGGACACCTCAAGGCCACCTTGAGGCATTCACCCTGAATCCTGAAAACACTTCCCATCTTCTCTATTCTAGGTCCTAAATGACTTACTCATGTGGCTATCTTAGCAAGAGGATGCCGTTCACAGGCCTTTCAAGATAAAGATGACGCGATCCACAGCAGTCAGGTGGAAGCAGCCATTTATTATCAGTTATAACTCAGACATGTAGGGACATGCATTTAAAAGTCATTTTCCTACTGGGAAACCATCACTGCCTATGGGAAAGGAGCCAGAAGGTGGGTAAGAAGGGAGACTGACGCATACTCTTTGGTTTAATTTTGTTGTGTTTTAAGTTTTTAAACCATGTGCATCTATTACCTACCTGATACACAAAGACACAAAAACATATTGTAAATCACATATACATAAAAACATATATAGTAAAACCCGTATACACAAAAACACATAGAGTAGAAATGATGCAGCGTTTCAGGGCTTTCTTTTTAACCTGACTGGAAGAGAGGACAGAGCAGGCATTCATTGCTTTTGATGCCACCTAGAATTTGGCTTTTTTTTTTTGAGACGGGGTTTTGCTCTTCTCACCCAGGCTGGAGTGCAACGGCATGATCTCGGCTCACTGCAACCTCCGCCTCCCAGGTTCGGGAGATTCTCCTGCCTCAGCCTCCCGAGTAGCTGGAACTACAGGCACGCACCACCATGCCCAGCTAATTTTGTATTTTTAGTAGAGACGGGGTTTTGCCATGTGGGCCAGGCTAGTCTCGAACTCCTAATCTCAGGTGATCCGATCCGCCTGCCTCGGCCTCCCAAAGTGCTAGGATTACAGGTGGGAGCCACTGCACCCAGCTGAATTTGGGTTTTTACTCTTCTCTTTGAAAATAAGATGAGGCTGGGAGCGGTGGGTCATGCCTGTAATCCCAGCACTTTGGGAGGCTGAGGCGGGTGGATCACCTGAGATCAGGAGTTGGAGACCAGCCTGGCCAATGTGGTGAAACTCTGTCTCCAGCAAAAAATACAAAAATTAGTCAGGCATGGTGGTGTGCACCTATAGTCCCAGCTACTCGAGAGGCTGAGATGGGAGAATTGCTTGAAACTGGGAGGCGGAGGCTGTAGTGAGCCAAGATCACACCACCGCACTCCAGCCTGGGTGACAGAATGAGACCCTTCTCCAAAAAAAAAAAAAAAAAAGATGAAATAAAAATCTTAAAGACAGGCCGGGTGTAGTGGCTCACACTTGTAATCCCAGCAGTTTGGGAGGCCGAGGCCAGCGGATCACCTGAGGTCAGGAGTTCAAGAGCTGGCCTGGCTAACATGGTGAAATCCCATCTCTACTAAAAATACAAAAAATTAGCCGGGCATGGTGGCAAGTGCCTGTAATCCCAGCTACTGGAGAAGCTGAGGCAGGAGAATCACTTGAAGCCGGGAGGTCGAGGTTGCGATGAGCAAAGATCGCGCCATTGCACTCCAGCCTGGGCAACAAAAGCAAAACTCCGTCTCAAAAAAATAAAAAAGGAGGAATAGGGAAGGCAGAAGAACCTTTCCGGACTTTGCTAAGTAAGAGGGCAAGGCATAGCGATATCTCCCGTTCTTGCCAGAGTTACTGGCCTCCCCATCCCCACGGATCCACTCCCCATCCACTCTTCAGATACTCAGACATATGTGCACTAAACCCACCTAGCTTAATACTATGGTACAGACCCCTCAACAGACCCCAAATCCCTATCACTCTCCAGGGCAGGCTCACAGCCTTGTTCCTGCTAATCACAAGGACAGAGGACTGCCCTGGAAAACAGGGGCACCAACACTGTAGGTGGAGGGACCAGCAGCAGGGCCCGGCTCTGTCTTCCGAGCCCACTGATCGGAGTCTGCTATCTAACTGTTCACCACCCAGCGTGGGACAGAACAGCACCCCTGCACCCTCCCAGAACTGCCGTGAGGATCAGATCAGCCAACACACATGTGGCACTGAAAGTGGTGTCTGGCACTGAACTGCGGCTCCGTGTCAACCACTTATCACCCTTATCACCATGTTATGGTCACTATTGCTACAGGCATGCAAGGATAAGGTGTGCATTCGACATCTTAAGAATCCAGCGTTAGCATCTCATACCTGACACTCAGACATTGCCATGGTTTTGTACGGAAAAGAATCAGACGCTTACTGTCATCGGTTAAAGCAAAATAGCTGCCAGACTTGGAGAAGGTGGACGCCAGAATCGCACCGCTCCCCTGGTCCAAGGGCGCGTCCTCCCTGAGGAAGAGAGGAGGAAGACGGTTAAGCTTCACCTAAGGAAATAAGGCTGCATTCCTTGTTGGCCAGCGTGGTAATTTCTAACATGGGAGGAGGTAGAAACTGTTAAGGGGATCACGTAGCCAAAATACAGACATATTAAAGGGACATGGGGAAGTTCAAAACAGCTCTAATTTTATCAGCATGAAGCCTAACTAAACAGAAAATCTCCCAGCATACATGCCAGAACCCAGAGAGCTAAGCTGGAAGAACCCTCAATGACACATGGCCCTCTTCCTCATGGGCAAGGACTAACCCAAGGCTAGAGGCAGGGATAAACTCACATTAACAATACTAATAACAGGCCAGGTATGGTAGCTCAGACCTATAATCTCAGCACTTTGGTGTTGCGAGAAGTCAGGGACCCCAAACGGAGGGACCAGCTGAAGCCATGGCAGAAGAATGTGGATTGTGAAGATTTCATGGACATTTATTAGTTCCCCAAATTAATACTTTTATAATTTCTTATGCCTGTCTTTACTGCAATCCCTAAACATAAATTGTGAAGATTTCATAGACACTTATCACTTCCCCAGTCAATACCCTTGTGATTTCCTATGCCTGTCTTTACTTTAATCTCTTAATCCTGTCAGCCGAGGAGGATGTATGTCACCTCGGGACCCTGTGATAATTGCGTTGACTGCACAAATTGTAGAGCATGTGTGTTTGAACAATATGAAATCTGGGCACCTTGAAAAAGAACAGGATAACAGCAATGTTCAGGGAACAAGAGAGATAACCTTAAACTCTGACCGCTGGTGAGCCAGGCGGAACAGAGCCATATTTCTCTTCCTTCAAAAGCAAATGGGAGATATATAGCTGAATTCTTTTTCTCAGCAAGGAACATCCCTGAGAAAGAGAATGCGCCCCTGAGGGTGGGCCTCTGAAATGGCCCCCTTGGGTGTGGCCATCTTCTGGTCGAGACTGTAGGGATGAAATAAGCCCCAGTCTCCCATAGCGCTCCCAGGCTTACTAGGATGAGGAGATTCCCGCCTAATAAATTTTGGTCAGACCGGTTACTCTCAAACCCTGTCTCCTGATAAGATGTTATCAATGACAGTGGTGCCCGAAACTTATTAGCAATTTTAATTTTGCCCCGGTCCTGTGGTCCTGCGATCTCGCCCTGCCTCCATTTGCCTCGTGATATTCTATTACCTTGTGAAGCATGTGATCTCTGTGACCCACACCTATTCGTACACTCCCTCCCCTTCTGAAAATCCCTAATAAAAACTTGCTGGTTTTACGGCTCAGGAGGCATCACGGAACCTACCGACATGTGATGTCTCCCCCGGACGCCCAGCTTTAAAATTTCTCTCTTTTGTACTCTGTCCCTTTATTTCTCAAACCGGCCGACGCTTAGGGAAAATTGAAAAGAACCTACGTGAAATATCGGGGGTGAATTTTGCCCAATATCTGGCTGAATTTCCCCCAATACTTTGGGAGGACAAGGCGAGAGGATCGCTTGAGCTCAGGAGTTCAAGACCAGCCTGGGTAACATGGCGAAACCACGTCTCTACAAAAAACTACAAAAATTAGGCAGCCCTGGCGCGGTGCCTCACACCTGTAATCCCAGCACTTTGGGAGGCCAAGGCAGGTGGATCACGAGGTCAGGAGATCGAGACCATCCTGGCCAACATGGTAAAACCTCGTCTCTACTAAAAATACAAAAAAAAAATTAGCCGGGCATGGTGGTGCGTGCCTGTAGTCCCAGCTACTCAGGAGGCTGAGTCAGGAGAACCACTTAAACCAGGGAGGTGGAGGTTGCAGTGAGCCAAGATAGCGCCACTGCACTCCAGCCTGGCAACAGGGCAAGACTCCATCTCAAAAAAAAATTAGGTATGTTGGCATGTGCCTGTAGTCCCAGGTACTTAGGGGGATGAGGCGGGAGATCACCTGAACCCAGGAGGTCGAGGCTGCAGGGAGTTATGTTTGTGCAACTGCACTCCAACCGGGGTAACAGAGAGACCCTGTCTCAAAAAATAATAATAACGATAAAACAAACTGAGCCACAATACCAATGATAACTAAAGAAAGCCACCATACGAAACACTCACATGCTCTACTTTTATATCTCAATTAGCTGAAGTTAACTTCCTACACCCGCCTTCAACCATTACTTCAAGGAGCCAGTAAGATGTGATTACTGACAGAAACTAAAAGTATTTAGAAAAGTCCTAACACTGTGCTTTTTTTTTTTTTTTTTTTGAGACGGAGTCTTGCTGTGTCACCCAGGTTGGAGAGTGCGGTGGCGCAACCTCGGCCGACTGCAACCTCCGCCTCCTAGGTTCAAGTGATTCTCCCACCTCAGCCTCCCAAGTAGCTGGGACTACAGGCGCCCACCAGCATGCCTGGCTATTTTTAGTAGAGATGGAGTTTCATCACATTGGCAAGGCTGGCTTTGAACTTCTGACCTCAGTCAGCACCCTGGCTTCCCAAAGTGCTGAGATTATAGGCATGAGCCACCGCACCCGGCACTAACACTGTACTCTTTTTTTTTTTGGGAGACAGAGTCTTGCTCTATTCCCCAGGCTGGAGTGCAATGCCGCAATCTCAGCTCTCTGCAACCTCCGCCTCCCAGGTTCAAGTGATTCTTGTGCCTCAGCCTCCCAAGTAGACGGGATTACAGGTGCCTGCCACCACGCCCAGCTAACTTTTTTATTTTTAGTAGAGACAGGGTTTCGCCATGTTGGCCAGGATGGTCTGGAAATTCTGACCTCAGGTGATCCACCCACCTTGGCCTCCCAAAGTGCTGGGATTACAGGCATAAGCCACCGTGCTCAGCCAACAATGTACTCTTAATGCCTAACCTAAAAGTTACTTTTACATGTCTCTCCTGAGGTGCTACTTATCTGCACCACTGTGTGACAGAAGCTAAGAATTCAGCAAGTAGGACAACAATTGCTTCTTAGACCCTCTGGTCCCATTATCGAACCATTAAAGCAGGCCCTGAAAAAGCTTCCCCACATCTCACCCTTTATTTTCTTGTGACTTCTTTTCTGCAGCACTGCAGTCATAGATGAAGAGGCTGTCATCATCACTAAAGAGAAATAACAATAATTTTAAAAGGAGTTATCATTAGAGAGAAATAACAAATTTTTTTTTTTTGAGACGGAGTTTCGCTCTCGTTGTCCAGGCTCCAGTACAATGGCACGATCTTGGCTCACCGCAACCTCCGCCTCCCAGGTTCAAACGATTCTCCTGCCTCAGCCTCCCCAGTAGCTGAGATTACAGGCATGCACCAGCACTCCCAGCTAATTTTTACTTTTTGTAGAAACGGGGTTTCTCCATGTTGATCAGGGTGATCTCAAATCCCCAACCTCAGGTGATCCACCAACCTCAGCCTCCCAAAGTGCTCACAGGTGTGAGCCACTGCGCCTGGCCCATGTGAGCCACTGCGCCTGGCCCTAATTTTTTTTTTTTTTTTTTTTTTTGAGTTGGAGTCTCGCTCTATCACTCAGGCTGGAGTGCAAGGGCATGATCTCAGGTCACTGCAACCTCCCCCTCCTGGATTCAAGCAATTCTCCCGCCTCAGCCTTCCCGGTAGCTGGAATTACAGGTATCTGCCACCACGCCTGGCTAATTTTTGTAGTTTTGGTAGAGACGGGGTTTCGCCATGTTGGCCAGGCTGGTCTCAAGCTCCTGACCTCAGATGATCTGCCCGCCTCAGCCTCCCAAAGTGCTGAGATTATAGGCAGAGCCACTGCGCCCAGCCTAACAATGATTTTTAAAAGAGCACTTTGTTAAAAAAAAAAAAAAAAAGTTGATTTTTTTTCTCTGTGGAACAAAAAATATTTGCACACTCATTAAATTAAAAGTTGTATACTTGACAAGAAAACTGTCTAGATACAATATTTCAGGGAACAGTTAACAAACTTTATTTGCTTAATCTCTTATTGGAGTACGTCATACTGCATAGTTCTGTGGGAAAAAAAAGTTCAGTAAAACAAATGAGGGATAAATACTCAACAGGAATTAATATGCTATTCTTTTAGGCACCACAAAATCTATGCGACATGGTTATAAGAAATTACGGGCCGGGCGCGGTGGTTCACGCCTGTAATCCCAGCACTTTGGGAGGCCGAGATGGGCGGATCACGAGGTCAGGAGATCGAGACCAGCCTGGCTAACACAGTGAAACCCCCATCTCCACTAAAAATATAAAAAATTAGCCAGGCATGGTGGCAGGCGCCTGCAGTCCCAACTACTCGGGAGGCTGAGGCAGGAGAATGGCGTGAACCCGGGAGGCGGAGCTTGCAGTGAGCCAAGATCGCGCCACTGCACTCCAGCCTGGGCGACAAAGCGAGACTCCTCAAAAAAAAAAAAAAAGAAAAAAAAGAAATTATGTTCTGATACTGTTGAGCGTTCAGTGGGATTCTGTATACAAATTTCAAAGAGCCATTACTATTTAGAAACATATCTCACCTACCTGAAAGTGTTCCCATGACCCCAGGCACTTACCAACATAAGAATCACCCATTTTCCATACTGAACCTAAACTTCGGTTTATCCCATCCTCACCCCCTGGCACGTATCTTGTACATATTTATAGCCTTTAAAGCGAGTGCACCAAAAAACTTTCCATATGGAACCGTGGACTTGTCTTCCAAGTCAGAAACTCCACCAGCCACTAGAATTTCCTCAAAATGCAAAGACTGAAGGTAAGCAAATCATGTCTAATATATCCACAGCTCACTCTGGCAGATATTAGACCGTGAGTCTCTAAAACAAAATCATCTGGGATATGTGACGGGTTTCTGAGTACAATTTTTGTGAGACCTAACTTAACATCGAATTGGCTTTCTAAAACCAAACGAACAAAAAATATACAGTATATCTGACAGACACGTCGTCCGTTTCAAATATGAAATCACAAATAACCTGGGAAAGGAAACGAGGGGCTGAAACTGACAGCACTACTAATTGCTCCGAGAGTCCTGAGTTAGGACTGTTCCATCAACAAACATTTACTAAGTTAAAAATCCCCTGCGTCGTCCTAGCACTGGCGATACACTAAGGAAGGAGAATAAAATTACGGAAAGCAAAACCCGAGCCGTGCGAAGGGCCACTAGGGAGGTGCGCACTGCGAGCTCCACGTGCACCCTTGGGTTGGGTAAGTGTCGGAGATGACTTGGAGCCCTAAGGAGCAATTAAGGCCAGGTGAGTGGATGCAGGCCGGGAAGAGGGAACAGACAACCCTGCAAAAAGAGGGAGCGCGCTTGGAGGTCAGTGAGCTCGCAGTGAGTAAGCCCCTCCCTTCTCACCAGGGAGACCCGAGACCCGCTTCTTCCCAGTTCTGCAGAGCGTGTTCGGCCGGGCCTTGCTGACTGGTCAGCGTCGCCCCACGTGCTCTACCTACCCGGTCCCCGCCGGCGCCGCGGAGACCGGAAGCGACCCGGCGGCGCTAACCGGGCAAGAACACCGCAGACCAGCCATCTAGTGCAAGGAGCGCGCCGGAGCCGGGGAGCGGACGCCGAGAGCGGACGGCGAAAGCGGACCCTCCAGGCGCAGAGACGCGGCCAGGCCGAGACTGCGGCGGAGGACTCGTGGGCTGGAGCGGAGTTCCCCGGGGTCACCCCAGAGTGGGTGCGACCAGGCGGTGCGGGAGAAGCGGGGTCGCCAGGACCCGACGCGCGCCCGCAGCCTGGTCTCCCTGTTCCAAGACCAAGGCCCCCTCACCTGCTTGCTATGGAGGTGGCCAGGAATCGGCTGCCGCCCCGCACCACCAACGTCTGCCCGCACAACGCCAGTCCCACAGAGCCCGCCATGTACCCGCCCGCCTCACCGCCATACACATGTGCCAGCCCAGAGCCTCTTCCTGTCCGCACCGGTCGGTGACGCCAGGCGCAGACGCCGAGAGATGACGTATACCCCACGTACCGCGCATGCTCAAGGACGAGCCTGCCTTGAGCATGCGTGAAAGGTGCTGTGACCGCCCTCCGGGTTGTGGCTGGTGGCCTTCGGTGTTTCGGGTTTGGCAGTTCACTCACCAAGGTGATCTGATGGAGTGCACTTCGCACGATTCCAAGTACTTGCCTAATGTTCATCCTTTCCTCTAGACGGGGTAGGGCTGGTTCTGGATCTTTTTCCGCGGTAGCTGGAGAGACGTAGGACCTGATGATGGCTACTAGATGCCTGGTAAATGATCCTTCAAGAAGTGAATGAACCGGGGGCCGTGGCTCACATGAAGTCAGCAGTTCGAGAGCAGCCTGACCAATATGGTGAAACCCCGTTTCTACTAAAAGTACAAAAATTTGTTGGGCGTGGTGGCGTGCGACTGTAGCCCCAACTACTTGGGAGGCTGAGACAGAAGAATTGCCTGAACCCGGGAGGCGGAGGTTGCAGTGAGTCGAGATCGCCCCCGCTGCACTCCAGCCAGGGCGACAGAGCGAGACTCTCTCTCAAAAAAAAAAAAAATGTCCAAGATGTGGTCATGGGTGAGGGTGTCTCGGGTGGCGTCAAGTCTGAGGTCGCTAGAAGTAAGCCTACTGAATCTTTGCACTTAGACAAGCCACAGATGCCTTAAAATCTCCGAACTGTAGTGATATTTTCAACCCAAACTATGGTTAGTTTCCAGTGTTCATCCCAAGATCCCCAAAAGCCTCTTACAATCCCAGCATCAGGCACAAAATCTAGGATCTCACGGTCTGTTTTAGATTGGCTTGTCCGGTGCAGCTCCTCTTGATCCAGAGACTTACAAACTAAAAAGATTAATTTTCTCTCCCGTGCACGCAATATATGATGGTGAGCCGGGACCAGATAACCACAATAAATACTTGCATGTGAAAATGAGAAGAGGAGGAGACACAGTAATCACTGGTCCAAAGCAATTCTGAAATCCTACTGGAAGATGTTTTCAGGCCCTACAAGAATAAGAAGTCTTAACCAGGCCCGAGTTCTGCTTCCTGGGAGTATCTCCCCAGGCTGTATCTCAGCACAGCTCTTGCCTCTGCCCTCTTGGGTGTCCCTCCTTTTCCAGCACCTTCTTGGCCATGTTGAAGAATGTGCCCTTTGAGAAACTTTCTCAACCTCCTTCCTGTCATTAGCAAATTGTGAGCCCACAGACCTTTTTTCACTCTAAACTGTTCTGTCCACATTTTGGCAGCTGGTGGTGCTTTGTTCACTACAAGTCCCTTAAAAGCTTTATGGGCTTCTCAAGAATCTGATTCAGGTGCTCTCCATGCCCAAGAAGCCACTCCCACTAGTCTTTTTTTTTTTTTTAGACGGAGTCTCGCTCTGTCGCCCAGGCTGAAGTGCAACCTCCACCTCCCGAGTTCACGCCATTCTCCTGCCTCAGCCTCCTGAGTAGCTGGGACTACAGGCGCCCGCCACCACGCCTGGCTAATTTTTTGTATTTTTCAGTGGAGACGGGGTTTCACCATGTTAGCCAGGATGTTCTGGATCTCCTGACCTTGTGATCCGCCTGCCTCGGCCTCCCAAAGTGCTGGGATTACAGGCGTGAGCCACCGCGCCCAGCCACTTGTTAACATTTAAATCATTGAGATCACCTTGACTTCAGCATTATTCTTAAGGCCATATTTTATTAGCGCCACTCTGAATTTGATCTTTGGCCCAGGTTATGACTTACTTTGAGAACTTGTTACCAACTATTGGGTCTAATAATACTTTCCCCAGCTTCAACCCAAAGTGTGCTCTAAATTCTGCTGGCCAGTTTGTTTGTTTGTTTGTTTTTAACCACACTCTTTTCTATAAGTGTCTCAACATATTCAAGCAAAAGAAACACAGGTTAATCTCAACATTATACTGATATGATCTTTTTCAAGTCCCAGAGTTCAGTAGTTGCCTTTTTCTCTGCCCATCTTACTGAAGGGCAACAATTTTACAAATCCTTCACCGTGACATAGAGTTGTTCACCATTTGTCCACCTCCCGTAGTTTTCCTCACCATTGTTCCAGTGTTCACTACCAGTTTCCCCACTGCTTTTCCAGACTTCTAGTCCAAAGCTAATGCCACATGTTACAGTAGCACCTACTGCTAGGTACAAATGTCTGTAGCATGCATATCTTCCTTGTAGTCCTAGATATAGATCAACAAGCTCATAAAAACTATGGCTTTCTTTTTTTCTTTTTTTTTGAGGCGGAGTTTCACTCTTGTTGCCCAGGCTGGAGTGCAATGGCGTGATCTCCGCTCACCAAAACCTCTGCCTCCCGGGTTCAAGCGATTCTGCATCAGCCTCCCAAGTAGCTGGAATTACAGGCATGTGCCACCGTGCCCAGCTAATTTTGTATTTTTAGTAGAGACGGGGTTTCACCATGTTGGCCAGGCTGGTCTCAAACTCCTGACCTCAATTGATTCTCCTACCTTGGCCTCCCAAAGTGCTGGGATTACAGGCGTGATCCATGATCCATGTTAGTCAGGCTGGTCTCAAACTCCTGACCTCAGGTGATCTGCCCGCCTCGGCCTCCCAAAGTGTTGGGATTACAGGCGTGAGCCACTGCACCCGGCCCAACTATGGCCATTTTTATAAATCATTGATTACATTAGCCTAGAGTGAGTGTGGGCTTTCTTTTTCAATTAAGAAACTTATGGATTGGCCGGGTGCAGTGGCTCACACCTGTAATCCCAACACTTTAGGAGGCCAAGGCGAGCAGATCACCTGAGGTCAGGAGTTTGAGACCAGCCTGGCCAACACGGTGAAACCCCATCTCTACTAAAAATACAAAAATTAGCTGGGCTTGGTGGCATGCACCTGTAATCCCAGCTACTCAGAAGGCTGAGGCAGGAGAATCACTAGAACCCAGGAGGTGGAGGTTACAGTGAGCCAAGATCACCCATTGCATTCCAGCCTGGGCAACAAGGGTGAAACTCCATCTCAGAAAAAAGAAAAAAAAAACTTATGGATTGTTGTGTTGTATTTCTAGTCCTGTCCTGAGCAAAAGGTATTAGGAACCTGAGAATCCTTCCATTAGCACAATAGAAAAATGGGCAAAAAGGCCAGGCACGGTGACTCACACCTGTAATCCCAGCACTTTGGGAGGCCAAGGTAGGAGAATCAATTGAGGTCAGAAGTTTGAGACCAGCCTGGCCAACATGGGGAAACCCCATCTCTACTAAAAATACAAAAATCAGGCTGGGCGCAGTGGCTAACGCCTGTAATCCCAGCACTTTGAGAGGCCAAGGCAGGTGGATCATCTGAGGTCAGGAGTTTGAGACCAGCCTGGCCAACATAGTGAAACCCCGTCTGTACTAAAAATACAAAAATTAGCCGGGCATGGTGGCGGACGCCTGTAGTCCCAGCTACTTGGGAGGCTGAGGCAGGACAACCGCTTGAACGTGGGAGGTGGAGGTTGCAATAAGCCGAGATCATGCCACTGCACTCCAGCCTGGGTGACGGAGCAAGACTCCGTCTCAAAAAAAAAAAAAAAAAAATAGAAAAATCAGCTGGGAGTGGTGGTGCGTGCCTGTAGTCCCAGATACTCAGGAGGCTGAGGTACGAGAATCACTTGAACCGAGGAGGTGGAGATTGCAGTGAGCCGAGATTGCGCCACTGCACTCCAACCCGAGTAACAGAGTGAGACTCTGTCTCAAAAAAAAAAAAAAAAAGAAAAATGGGCAAGAAGTTACCCTTTTTTTTTTTTTTTTTACAAACTGGCAAGACGACATAAGCATTGTCTTATGGTCCTTCAGTTAAAAAAAAAATTGTGTAAAAACAAAAATGGACAAAGACCCATTAATTTCATGGTGGTTGTAGTGGGTTGAAAGGTGGCCCCCTAAAATGTATGTCCACCCCTGGAAACTGGGGATGTGACCTTTTTTGGGGAAAGGGTCTTTTCTAATGTGATTAAGTTAAGGATTGCAAAATGAGAGCATCCTGGATTTGGGTGGACCCTAAATCGAATGTTATGTGTACTGAGAAGAGAAGGGAGAAGACAGAGGAGAATGCCAGATGAAGACAGAAACAGAGATTGAAGTTATGTGGCCATAATTCAAGGATTGCTGGCAACACCAGAAGCCAAGAGAAAGATGAGGAAGAATTCTCCCCTAGACCTTTCAGAAGGAGCGTGGCCCAGCCAACACCCTGACTTCAGACTTCTGGCCTCCAGAACTGTGAGAATAAATTCTTACTGTTGTAATCCACCTGATATGTGGTAATGTGTACATTTCAGTGGGTTTTAGTATATATACAGAATTGTGCATCCATCACCACAATTTTAGAACATTTTCATCACCCACAAAATAAATCTTAAACCCAGTAGCAGTCACTCCCCCTTTCACCCTCCCCATAAACCCCTGGTAACCATTAATCTACTTTGTTTTATGGATTTTGCTAGTCTGGACATTTCATATAATCTGGCTTCTGTCACTGAATATTAGGTTTCCAAGGTTCATGGATATTGTAGCATGTATCAGTACTTCACTGCTTTTCATGGCCGAATAATATTCCACTGAATGCATATATCACATATATCACATTTTGTTTATCTGCTCATTGGTTGATAGGCAGTTTGGGATTTCCCACCTTTTGGCTATAATGAATAATGGTGTTGTGAACATTCCACTGGGAATGGAATTGTTGAGTCATATGGTAACATTTAAACTTTTCAGGAACTGGCCAGGTGTGGTGGATTGAACCTGGGAGGTAGAGGTTGCAATGAGCTGAGATTGCGCCACTGCACTCCAGCCTGGGTGATGGATCACACCTGTAATCCCAGCACTTTGGGAGGCCGAGGTGGGTGGATCACAAGGTCAGGAGTTCGAAATCAGCCTGACCAACATTGTGAAACCCCACTTCTACTAAAAATACAAAAATTAGCTGGTCGTGGTGTTGCGTACCTGTAATCCCAGCTACTCAGGAGGCTGAGGCAGGAGAATCACTTGAACCCGGGAGGCAGAGGTTGCAGTGAGCCGAGATCACGCCATTGCACTCCAGCCTGGGCAACAGAGCCAGACTCCACCTCAAAAAAAAAAAAGTCCTTTTCAGGGACCGCCAAGCTGATTCACAAAGTGGCTACAGCACTTTATAGTCCCACCAGCACTACATTGTGGTTCCAGTTTCTCCACATCCTCACCATCACTTGTTATTATGTCTTTTTTGTTTGTTTTTTTCCGACAGAGTCTCACTGTGTCCCCCAGTCTGAAGTGCAATGGTGCAATCCAGCTCACTGCAACCTCCCTCTCTGAGCTTCAAGTGATTCTCCTGCCTCAGCCTCCCAAGTAGCTGGGATTATAGGCACATGCCACCACACCCAGCTAATTTTTGTATTTTTGATAGAGACGGGGTTTCACCATGTTGGCCAGGCTGGTCTCGAATGCCTGACTTCAAGTGATCCGCCCGCCTTGGCTTCCCAAATTGCTGGGATTACAGGCGTGAACCAACGCATCTGGACACATATTATGTTTCTAAATAGGTGTGGGTCTCTCATTGAACTGTTATATTCTACTGTCAAATTGTCTCTCCATGAATAAATACCACACAGACCTAATCACCCTAGCAGCGTATTAAGATGTAATAACTTCTAGGGCAAGTCTTCACCCTTTTTTCCTCACATTTTCCCCCTTCTCCTCCTCTCTTCTTCCTCCTCCAAGAAAGCCTTGGGTATTCATAGCCCTTTATTACTTCCATATAAATGTTATAATTAGGGCCTGGCACGGTGGCTCATGCCTGTAATCCTAGCACTTTGGGAAGCCGAGGCAGGCAGACCACCTAAGGTCAGGAGTTCGAGACCAGCCTGGCCAACATGGTGAAACCCCATCTCTACTAAAAATACAAAATTAGCCGGGCATGGTGGCACGTGCCTGTAATCCCAGCTACTCTGGAGGCTGAGGCAGGAGAACCACTGAACCCAGGAGGCAGAGGTTGCAGTGAGCTGAGATCGCACCATTGCACTCCAGCCTGGGCAAAAAGCGCAAAACTCCATCAAAAAAAAATATATAGATAGATAGATATAAATTAGGTTATCAATTTCCCCCAAAATCCCTGCTAGGATATTGATTAGAATGTAATTGAATGTATTTTATATATATTAAATCTGTCCCCAGGCTGTTCCCCAGGCTGGAGTACAGTAATACAATCACAGCTCACTGCAGCCTTGACCTCCTCGGCTCAAGTGGATTGTCCCATCTTGGTCTCCTGAGTGGCTGGGACTACAGGTGTACATGACCATGACCCATTAACTTTTAAGTTTTTTGTAGAGACGGGGGTCTTGTTCTGTTGCCCAGGCTAGTGCCAAATCCCCAGCTTCAGGCAATCCTCCCACCTCAGCATAGATTTTTTTTTTTTTTTTTTTTGAGACAGTCTTGCTCTGTCACCCAGGCTGGAGTACAGTGGCATCATCTCGGCTCACTGCAACCTCCACCTGCTGGGTTCAGGCGATTCTCCTGTCTCAGCCTCCCGAGTAGCTGGGACTACAGGCATGTGCCACCAAGCCCAGCTAATTTTTGTATTTTTAGTAGAGACAGGGTTTTGCCATGTTGGCCAGGCTGGTCTCGAACTCCTGACGTCAGGCAATCCCACCGCCTTGGCCTCCCAAAGTGCTGGGATTACAGGCATGAGCCACCGTGCCCAGCCTAGATTTTTTTTAAGAACATTCACGTTTACAATATTTAGGAGCACCTTTTCCTCTTGATTTATTAATGTCTTACAATAAAATATTATCATCTTATTCAGAAAGCGTATGCACAAAATTTTAAATTTTATTTTTAGCAAAAAAATAGGCGATTTTGCTAGTGTACATGGGATCCTTTTAAAATTTTGTGTTTGTTGTTGGTGTCTAGAAATACAATTGACTTTTGTAAATTGTTCACACGTCCAGCAGTTTTGCTGAATTCTTGAATTCATTTCAATGATGTTTCTAGATGTTCCATGGGCTTTGCTAGCAAACACTGCCAGTTTGCCCACCACTTTGCCAGCGTAAGGCCTGTGCCCCCAGATATATTCCCAGCCTTTTGGGGAGGAGCGGGGAGCCCCTGCAGGCTGTGCTTCTCAGCCTTTGGGTCATTGCCCGCCGAGCTTTACATTTGTTTACATTTCTTTTTAATGCTAATGGTATCATGTGTGGTCTGTAAGTGTCTATATGTGTAGTTTTAGTAAGTCTTAACTTTTTATAAACCAGCAGCCTCCTGGCCGGGGATAGCCAATAGCCCCAGCCCACTGAAAGCCTGGTGAGCAGAAAGGGAAGAGAAACAAGGGTGTTCATTCACTGGTAGGATGTGTTTCCTGAACGGCTCCTGCTCCTGCTGGACAAGCCCACAGAGGGCCCAGCTTCCAACAGGTGAGCCTTCATGCCCCACCACTACTTTTTATTTGATTTGATTTTATTTTTAGACGGAGTTTCACTCTTGTTGCCCAGGCTGGAGTGCAATGGCGCAATCTCGAGTCACTGCAACCTCTGCCTTCTGAGTTCAAGTGATTCTCCTGCCTCAGCCTCCCGAGTAGCTGGGATTACAGGCAAGCACCACCATGCCCGGCTAATTTTGTATTTTTAGTAGAGACGGGGTTTCTCCGTGTTGGTCAGGCTGGTCTAGAACTCCCAACCTCAGGTGATCCGCCCACCTTGGCCTCCCAAAGTTCTGGGATTACAGGTGTGGGCCACGGCGCCTGGCCTAATTTTTTTTTTTTTTTTTTTTATTTTATAAAGAGGCAGAGTCTCACTATTGCCCAATCTGGTCTCAAACTCCAGGGCTCAAGCAATCCTCCTGCCTCAGCCTCCTAAAGTGCAGAAATTACAGGCATGAGCCACCACATCTGGACCCAGCCTCTACTTGTTACTGCAATATGCAATTTGGAGCGACTTAACTGCTCACGAGGAAATGTCTCGTGTCACACGGCATTTTAAGTAGATACTTAGAGCACTTGAGCTCACCACAGTAGCAACAGGAGGTGGTTGTGAAAGATTCCAGTAGTGAGGTATGTGCTAACATTAGTTTTATGCAGTTGTGATTGAATACTGCATCTTTACATTTACGTTTCTCTCAACTGTGAATGCTGCCATGTGTGGTCTCTGTTTCTGTATAAAAGTTTTAATAAATTTACCAGCCTGGCCAACATGGTGAAACCCTGTCTCTACTAAAAATACAAAACTTAGCCGGGCGTGGTGGCGTGTGCCTGTAATCCGAGTTACTCGGGAGGCTGAGGCAGGAGAACTGCTTGAGCCCGGGTAGCAGAGGTTGCAGTGAGTGAGCCAAGATCGTGCTACTGCACTCCAGCCTGAGTGACAAAGCAAGACTCCGTGTCAAAAAAAAAACAAAAACAAAAACAAAAAAAGTTTTTATAAATTTTAATATTTTATCATCAATTTGAGTATATTTTAGGTAGTAAATGATAAAATTAGTATCTACATATATTTTATGCATTCATGACATACCATTTTCTTAATTTTTCAGTATTTCTAGGCTATGTGGTTCATCCTAGTTTTGACAAATTATTTCATTCCTACAAAAAATTTTTCAATATATTTGTTGAAAAAAGCTACATATAAGTGGACCCACATAGCTCAAACCCATCTATGCCCTACAAGTGTCAACTGAGCGAACATAGATAGATACATAGAGAGCTAGATATAGATATAAGTATCTATATTATGAATATCAGCCAGGCACAGTGGCTCACCCCTGTAATCTCAGCACTTTGGGAGGCCAAGGCCGGTGTACTACTTGAGCTCAACAGTTCCAGACCAGCCTAGGCAACATGGTGAAACCCTGTCTCTACAAAAAATACAAAAATTAGCCAGGTGTGGTACTGTGCACCTGTAGTCCCAGCTACTTGAGAGGCTGAAGTAGGAGAATCACCTGAGCCTGAGAAAGTCAAGGATGCAGTGAGCCGAGATAGAGCCACTGCACTCCAGCCTGGGTGACAGAGTGAGACCCTGTCTCCAATAAATAAATAAATCAATAAATATCATACATATGTGTTTCCTATTGGTTTTTTTTTTTCTGGAAAACCCTATCTATCACACTGGCCAAATTTTGAAGTATTTGAGCTCACAATAAATATACAGTATAAAGGTTTATAATTTTTTTTTTTTTTTTTTAGAGACAGAGTCTTGCTCTGTCACCCAGGATGGAGTGCAGTAGAGTGATCTCAGCTCACTGCAACCTCTGCCTCCTGGATTCAAGCAATTCTCCTGCCTCTGCCTCCCGAGTAGCTGGGATTACAGGTGCCCACCACCACACCCAGCTAATTTTTGTTGTATTTTTAGTAGCGACAGGGTTTCACCACGTTGGCCAGGCTGGTCTCGAACTCCATACCTCAGGTGATCTGCCCGCCTTGGCCTCCCAAAGTGCTGAGACTACAGGCATGAGCCACTATGCCCAGCCTCTAAATTTATCTTTGATTGCATCTGATCTTTATTTAATCTAGGGTTCAATCTATATATATATAGATTGAAATTGTTCAAGCAATTCTCCTGCCTCAGCCTCCCGAGTAGCTGAGATTACAGGTATATGCCACCATGCCCAGCTAATTTTTGTATTTTTAGTAGAGACGGGGTTTCACCATGTTGGCCAGGCTGGTCTCAAACTCCTGACCTCAGAAGATCCGCCAACCTCGGCCTCCCAAAGTGCTGCGATTACAGACTTGAGCCACTGCGCCTGGCCAATTTTTGGTTTTTTAAAACTTGAGATGTCCTGAAACACAGGAAGTATATGTGTTTTTTAACTTCAAACTTAAGTAAGAATAGGCCTTGAGACATTTTTCCCCACTCAAAACCCAGGCTGGCTCTACACATTTCCTTGCTAGCAGATTGCTTTGCCCAGGGTCACCCATCACTGACATGTAGCCCTGCAAGGGTGGCAACTTCCTCTGGCGATTTCCAGCCCACTCCCAAGTGTTCTAGCCCCAAGGTCTCATGTTCTCTGAAGTCTGTTACACCAGAGCTCTGGCTGCTGAGACCAGTGCATGCTTCCAGGGTGGCACTGCTGCCTGTGATTTCTTGCTACTTCTCTGTTTTTTTTGGATCCCTAGAGATATCCTTTACTTGATTATATGGTCATTTGAAATTATGCCTGTAACCTTTTACCCAGAATTACTACATGATTTGGAGCCCAAGGGTTTTCCATAACTTTTTTTCTTTTTAATTCGAGAAGGAGTTTCGTTCTGCTGCCCAGTCTGGAGTGCATTGGCACCATCTCAGCTCACTGCAACCTCGGCCTCCTGGGTTCACAGCTCCCGGCCAGTTTTCCATAATATCTAGTGACCAAATATTGCCAGAAATAGAACTTATTACTTGTGTTTTAAAACACAATTTTAGGCCCATGTGCAATGGCTTGTGCCTGTAACCTAGTGCTTTAGGAGGCCGAGGTGGGAAGATTGCTTGAGCCCTGGAGTTTGAAACTGTAGTGAGCTATAACCAAGCCACTGCACTCCAGCCTGGGTGACAGAGTAAGAACCTAAAAGAAAAAAATATATATATTATATATACCAGAATACAGAGCTGAGGCATGCATGCGAATGGTGTGATATTTGAGTATTTTTATTTTCCTCTTTGGCCCAAACACCTTGGAGTTAAATGTTCAGAGTATGGATCCAAGTGATCCTGTTGTAATCCAGTTATCCTAAAAAGAAGTTCGGCCAGGCACGGTGGCTCACGACTGTAAATCCCAGCACTTTAGGAGGCCGAGGTGGGGGATCACAAGGTCAAGAGTTCGAGACCAGCTTGACCAACATGGTGAAACCCTGTCTCTACTAAAAATACAAAAAAATTAGCTGGGCATGGTGGCACACGCCTGTAATCCCAGCTACTCGGGAGGTTGAATCAGAAGAATCTCTTGAACCCAGGAGGCGGAGGTTTCAGTGAGCCAAGATCGCGCCACTGCACTCCAGCCTGGGCAGCAGAGCGAGACTCCGTCTCAAAAAAAAGAAGTTTAACTGACCCTTGGGAGACACAAGGGGGAGCCTCTAGTAGTTCAGGTAGAACTTTGTGTGATCTACAAAGAAAGGAATATAAACAAACATACACTTTTAAGGTTTTGTGTTAAAATGCTGGGTACTACTTGCTAGAGCTACAGGCAGAGTTGATGGTGCCCACAGAAAGACTCTGGGCAGAGAGTTAACTGGAGGAACAGCCTCTGCTGTCGGAAAAATCTAGTCTACTATTTTCTAGCTGATTGGAAAATACAATAATGTATTTGGCCTCTGCTTTTTTTATTTTAATGCAGCACCTTATATTTGCTTCTTGCACTTGGCCCTGTCCTTTCTCTTTGGCCAAACACAGTTTAGGCCACAGTTACCTCCCAACCAGGCTGCATAGGCTTCCCAGCCTTCCTGCTCCCTCTAGTCTTAGGCACTGGCCTCACACATGGTTGCCCTAGTTACCTTTCGAGGCCCTAATCACTTCCTTCAAAAACCATCAAGATGGCTAAGCATAGTGGCTCATGGCTGTAATCCCAGCACTTTGGGAGGCCGATGCAGGCAGATCACTTGAGGTCAAGAGTTACAAACCAGCCTGACCAACATGGTGAAACACTATCTCTACTAAAAATACAAAAATTAGATGGGCATGGTGGCGGCGCCTGTAATCCCAGCTACTGGGGAGGCTGAGGCAAGAGAATCACTTGAACCCAGGAGGCGGAGGTTGCAGTAAGCCGAGATTGCCCCTGCGCCACTGCACTCTAGCCTGGGCAACAGAGTGAGATTCTGTCTCAAAAAAAAAAAAAAAATCAAGATGGTTCATGCCCCCTCAACCATAGGTACCCCACCTTTACCAACCTGGCCGGTGACCACGCCAGAGGAGGTCTTTTCTTTTTGTTTCTTCTTGAGTGTTGCAACTCCAGCAAGATGTCAACATCTGCCGCATGTGCCCGCTGGTGGTGGTGTGGAAGTGGGGAGCTCCAGGTCCATGAAGGAGGGTGACGTGGATCTTCCAATTCCAGATCAGGATCCCCAAATTTGTTACTAAGCTGTGAATTATTAAGCACACCTCACAAAGGCGAGCATGACCTTTTCCCTGGACACAACAGAATGAGCCTAGTGGTGAAGAAAAAAAAAATCTGGCCGGGTGTAGTGGCTCACGCCTGTAACCCCAGCACTTTGGGAGGCCGAGGCGGGCGATCATTTGAGGTCAGGAGTTCGAGACCAGTCTGGCCAACATGGTGAAACCCCGTCGCTACTAAAAATACAAAAATTAGCCGGGCGTGGTGGCTCATGCCTGTTGTCCCAGCTACTCAGGAGGCTGAGGGAGGAGAATCGCTTGAACCTAGGAAGTGGAGCTTGCAGTGAGCCTAGATTGTGCCACTGTACTCCAGCCTGGGCAACAGAGCAAGACTCTGTCTCAAAAAAAAAAATTTAGGCCAGGCACAGTGGCTCACACCTGTAATCCCAGGGCTTTGGGAGGCCGAGACGGGTGGATCACGAGGTCAGGAGATGGAGACCATCCTGGCTAACACGGTGAAACCCTGTCTCTACTAAAAATTACAAAAATTTAGCCGGGCGTGGTGGCGGGTGCCTGTAGTCCCAGCTACTCGGGAGGCTGAGGCAAGAGAATGGCGTGAACCCGGGAGGCGGAGCTTGCAATGAGCCAAGATGGCGCCACTGCACGCCAGCCTGGGCTACAGAGCAAGACTCCGTCTCAAAAAAAAAAAAAAAATTTAAACAAAAAAAAAATCTTTTGGCATTTTTTTTTCTCCCTTTAGGGACAAAGGATCCCTTCTCATGATTATCCTAAGATCTAAGGTTATTCTTTTTGCCTCCCAGGGTGGATGGTGGCAGATGCCCTTGCATTTACTTGATAGCAGACTCCTCTTTGATAAAGGCCTTTGATAAAGGCCTCATTCCGCCAGTTTATCTTGCCACCTCAATGAATCGCTAGCTGTGTCAGGAATCCCTACACAATCCATTTAAATGACTGTGGCAGGGCCTCTTCCCCTGTGGAAGCTGAAGGTGGCACGTCCATCTCCGATGAAATGCGAATGGGGCTCTGGGCACGCGGCGGAAGGCAGAGAAGAGGCAGAGAAAGAAGCTAATAACTAATTACACCGACTCCACAATTACGACTAACGTTGGGGACGAACTCTTTGCTAAATAAACATTTAGGTGAAACAAAGCTTCCATTTCCAATCGGCCTAACTCTGGTATTAGCGTTGGCAGGGGCCATGCAGGAGGGGCAGTGAGCAGTGGTGGCCGCGTTGCCGACAGAGGGTGAGGGAGCTGGGCGCGTGGTGTGGGCGCCGAGGTCCCGAGCTGAAGAGCTTTAAAACCTCTCAAAACACAGAACTATCAATCAAGTAGGACCAGACTGTGCCCCCAGGGAAGGTCGCAGATTTAAGGCTGCGAGGACAAGGGCAAAGAAGTGCGAAGCGTTCGGGTGGACATGCAAGCCGGCCCAGCGCAGACGCCTGAGAGGGGTGCCCAGCAGCCCCCGCAGGTCTCCGCCGCGCCCCCGCCACAGCGCCCAGGCGCCCGCAGGGCACAGGGATCGGCACCAGCCGGTGACGTGTCCCTCACGCTGCTGCCTGTGATTGGTGGTCCCGATCCGGGGCGTGGCCCCAAGGGAGGCACTTAGCCCTACTGGGGATGCGCGCGCAGACCCACGGCCTCTGCTCCGCCCCCAGCTGGCCTGTAATTGGCGCAGTCGGCCCAAGGGGCGGCTGTTCAGGCGCGGGTGCGCGCGCAGCTGCTGTGGCCCTGCTTGGTGCGCCCGCTGTCACCGCCATGGCTGCCCCGTGTTTGCTGCGGCAAGGACGAGCCGGGGCGCTGAAGGTAAAGGAGGAGCCAGCCTGGGCTGGCTGCGCGGCCCCGAGCCTACGTAGGGGATGGGGTGAGGGGGCGCGGTGCTGGTCAGGTCCGGGCCTGTCCGCGACCTCTAGCCGTCCTAGTTGGGCCGCTGACCCCGCTCCCTGGGCCCAGGACTGACCGCCACGGGGCCAGGCCCGGATGTGGCCAGCGAGCGTCCCGCGGTTCCCCCGAGCCGGTCCGCCGCCGCCGCTGCCCGAGGCCCAGGCCGAGGCTGGCGTGCCCCGTGCCGACGGGCGCTCCCGAGGGCTGCATGCCTGGGCGGCAGACTCGGGTGGACGTTCCCAGGTGATGCTGCCGCGCGGCTGGGGTCAGCCGCTGTGCGGCTCCCGCACGGCTTCTCTGAAGGACAGTGACTTCTCCATTTAGCCAAGAGAGGAAATGAGGGAACTTTCAGGGACCTGGTTAACTTGGTAACTTACTGACAGCCGTTGAGAAGCCAGCTGACATGACCTGACCTGTGAAAAGGAGAAGAAGGGCTTTCTTTTCGGCAAATAAAAAGCTAAGGCCAAGGCCGGGCGCGGACACTTTGGGATTTTGCCTGTAATCCCAGTACTTTGGAAGGCCGAGCCAGGCGGATCGCTTGAGTTCAGGAGTTCGAGACTAGCCTGGCCAACATGTCGAAACCCCGTCTCTAAAAAATACAAAAAATTAGTCTGGCGTGGTGGTGCATTCCTGTAATCCCAGCTACTCGGGAGGCTGAGGTGGGAGGATCCCATGAACCCGGGACGCGGAGGTTGCAGTGAGCCGAGATCATACCACTGCACTCCAGCCTGGGGGACAGAATAAATAAATAAATAAAATAAGGCTAAGACCACTTCACTCTCTTACAAATTTTAAAATGGCTGTTATTACAAAAGCAGTAACTATTCCCTGCAGAATATATATGCGTGTGTGTATATATATATATAAATACATATTATATATATTATATATAAATATATATTATATATATATTTATATAATATGTAAATATATATTATATATTTATATAATATATAATATATTATATAAATATATATTATATAATATATATAATATGTTTATATAAATATATATTATATATTTATATATTTATATAATATATAATATATATTTATATATTATATATAATATATATCATAATATAATATATAATATATATATATTTTTTTTTGAGACAGAGCCTCACTCTGTTGCCCAGGCCCAGGCTGGAGTGCAATGGCACCATCTCAACTCCCTGCAACTTCTGCCCCCTGGGATTAAGCGACTCTCGTGCCTCAGCCTGCAGAATAATTTAAAAGTACAGATAGGGAAATTCATTGACAGTCTACCATTACTCCTTCAAGCATCTAGTTCCTAACGATTTCTATCAGCTTTTATATGTTCACATAAGCACATGTACTCATGCTTACAATCATGAACATACACGTTTTCATGTTTATATGTGCACATACAGGCACCTCTGTTCTGTATCCAGCATCTAGAACATTGTACTGTCTAGCACTTAATAGGCCTTAGTGAGTATATGCTGAGTGAGTTGGCATAATATAAAATATCACATTTATATTGTAGACACTTTTGAAGCAGTTTTTATATACCTACATCATTTTAGTGGCCAGATAGTATTTCTTCTACTCTATTTTCTAAGGATAAGAAAACATTTTACAGAAAGAAACATAGGGCCTGGCAGGTGGCTCATGCCTGTAATCCCAGTACTTTGGGAGGCCAAGACAGGTGGATCATTTGAGGTCAGGCATTCGAGACCAACATGGTGAAACCCCATCTCTACTAAAAATACAAGAAGAGCCAAGCGCGGTAGCTCACACCTGTAATGCCAGTACTTTGAGAAGCCAAGGTGGGTGGATAACCTGAGGCCAGGAACTCGAGACCAACCTGATCAACATGGTGAAACCCCGTCTCTACTAAATACAAAAACTTGGCCGGGCATGGTGATGCATGCCTGTAATCCCAGCTACTTGGGTGGCTGAGACAGGAGAATTGCTTGAACCCACGAGGCGGAGATTGTAGTGAGCCGAGGTTGCGCCACTGTGCTCCAGCCAGGGTGACAGAGCAAGACTCCATCTCAAAAAACAAAATACAAAAACATTAGCCAGGTGCGGTGGTGCACACCTGTAATTCCAGCTACTTGGGAGGCTGAGGCAAGAGAATCGCTGGAACCCAGGAGGCGGAGGTTGCAGTGAGCCAAGATTGAGCCACTGCACTCCAGCCTGGGAGTCAGAGTGAGACCCTGTCTCCAAAAAAAAAAAAAAGAAAAGAAAAAAGAAGAAACGTGGTATTTTGTAGGTTAATAAATAATTGGAGACTACAAAAAAAATGCACTGGAGAACGTCTGGTTGAAGTTTTATTAAACCAAATATTAATAGTGATTGTCCTTGAACTCGGGTGTTTTCTTCTTGCAGCCTTTTTGTATTTTACAAAATGTCCATAATATACATACATTATGAAAACTGTAATAACCATTAGAAGTATACCATGTGAATGTTTTGCACTTACATGTAGTGGTAATATGTAATATTCATATGCACGGTACCTACATGCACACAATCCCAGCACTTTGGTTGTTTTTCTTTTTTTTTTTTTTTTCCTGAGACAGTCTCACTCTGTTGTCCAGGCTGGAGTGCAGTGGCGTGATCTCAGCTCACTGCAACCTCCACCTCCTGAGTCTAAGCAATTCTCCTGCCTCAGCCTCTGCAGTACCTGGAACTACAGGCATGCACCACCGTGCCTGGCTAAATTTTTTTTTTTTTTTTTTTTTTTGCGACAGAGTCTTGCTCTGTCGCCCAGGCTAGAGTGCAGTGGCACGATCTTGGCTCACTGCAAGCTTCACCTCCTGGGTCCACGCCATTCTCCTGCCTCAGCCTCCCAAGTAGCTGGGACTACAGGCACCCGCCACCATGCCCGGCTAATTTTTTGTATTTTTAGTAGAGACGGGGTTTCACCGTGTTAGCCAGGATAGTCTCGATCTCCTGACCTCATGATCCACACGCCTCGGCCTCCCAAAGTGCTAGGATTACAGTCGCACCGCGCCCGGCCTTTTTTTTGTATTTTTAGTAGAGACGGGGTTGTCCAGGCTGGTCTCAGAACTCCTGACCTCAAGTGATCCGCCCACCTCAGCCTCCCAAAGTGCTGGGATTATAGGTGTAAGCCACCGCACCTGGCCAATCCCAGCACTTCAGGAGGCCGGGGCTTCAGGATCGCTTGAGGCCAGGAGTTTGAGGAAGCCAGGAGTTTGAGACCAACCTGGGCCACGTAGCCAGATCTCGTCTCTATAAAAAATAAAAAATATTAGCCAGGCATGGTAGTATGTGCCTGTAGTCCTGGCTATGTCAGAGTATCGCTTGGACCCAGGAGTTGAAGGCTGCAGTGAGCCATGATTGTGCCACTGCACTCCAGCCTGGACGACTGAGAGAGACCCCTGACTCAAAAAATATATATATATATTCATATATAGTACCAGCTATTATAATGGCATTACTCTAAACATCCATATTCATTAATTCTTTTGTCAGACTATGCTCCAGGAAGCCCAGGTGTTTCGAGGACTTGCTTCTACGGTTTCTTTGTCTGCGGAATCAGGGAAGAGTGAAAAGGGTCAGCCACAGAATTCCAAGAAGCAAAGTCCACCAAAAAGTAAGATTTTGATGGTAGTCATAAGGGAAAGAGAATGCAAAAAGAAAATAGATTAGTCAGCCTTCGAAGCACGACAGTGAGTTTTACTAGCTACGTAATTTATGCTTCTTCCTTTTCAGCAGTGTCCAGATTATACAAGACACAAGATCTATAACAGATTTTAGACCAAACATTTCAGTCATGTCGTAGTCTTTGACTGAATATTTAGCCCTGAAATGGTTTTTCCTGTATTTTCTAAATGCCAAACCCCAACCTGAAGTGAGTGATGCCTTGGTAAAGGCTCTGTGGCATTTAGATGGCCCCGGCACAGTGAGCTTGCCAGAAAGCCACCTTACTTTCCATCCTCTGATGCTGAGTTGTTTGTTTTGTTTTGTTTTGTTTTGTTTTGTTTTGTTTCAGTCTCTTTGAGACCCATCTGTGGTTTTCCAGGCTTTGCTTAATCCCAGTCCAGGACTAGCTGGGACTACAGGCATGTGCCACCACGTCTGGCTAATTTTTTGTATTTTTAGTAGAGACAGGGTTTCACAATGTTAGCCAGGATGGTCTCAATCTCCTGACCTTGTTATCCACCCGCCTCGGCCTCCCAAAGTGTTGGGATTACAGGCGTGAGCCACTGCGCCCGGCCTAAATCTTTAATTCTTTTTTTTGAGATGGAGTCCTGCTCTGTTGCCCCTGCTGGAGTGCAGTGGCGCAATCTCGGCTCACTACAACCTCCGCCTCCTGGGTTCACACCATTCTCCTGCCTCGGCCTCCTGAGTAGCTGGGACTACAGGCGCCCACCACCATGCCCAGCTAATTTTTTACATTTTTAGTAGAGGTGGGGTTTCACCATGTTAGCCGGGATGGTCTTGATCTCCTGACCTTGTGATCCGCCCGCCTTGGCCTCCCAGAGTGCTGGAATTACAGGCGTGAGCCACCGTGCCCAGTCCTAAATCTTTAATCATTATATGGGGTTGTAGAATAGTAATTGAGTTTGGTCTTATTTTCATCAATATACTATTTCCTCAGTTTGAATGTTTGAAAGTATTTAGATTCTTTTGTTTTCTTCCTCCTTGGTCTGTGCACAGAACACTGGTAAGTTTTTAAATATTTGTATTTATACAAAGAGAGTGCCAGCCCCTGACTGCCTCTCACAGTGTGTGGACTTGAGGCTTGGATTCCACGGGAATGTTATTTAGTTTTGTGCTATGACTCCTGCCTCGTTTTTCAATCATTGTTTTTTTCTCTTCTTCCTTTTATGTTATTTGTTTTAAGAGAGGGGCTCTGGCTCTCTCTCCCAGGCTGGAGTGCAGTGGCACAGTCATAGCTCACTACAGCCTCAAACTCCTGAGCTCAAGCAATCCTCCCACCTCAGCCTCCTGAGTAGCTGAGACTACAGGCACATACCACCACTCCTGGCATATCCCTGGCATGTTTTGTTGATGTTGTTGTTTATTTTTTGAAATAGAGTCTTGCTCTGTCACCCAGGCTGTAGTACAGAGGCACAATCATAGGTCACTGCAGCCTCGACCTTCCAAGCTCAAGTGATCCTCCCACCTCAGCCCCTGGAGTAGCCAGGACTACAGGTGCACACCATCACACCCTGGCTAATATTTTAATTTTCCATACAGATGAAGTCTCACTGTATTGCCTAGACTGGTCTTGAATTCCTGGGCTCAAGCAATCTCCCTGCCTCAAACTCCCATAGTATTGGGATTACAGGTGTGAGCCACTGTGTCCAGCCTACCTGGCATGTTTTTGACATTCTCTAAATGTTTACTGATGAACAATTAGTTGAATTTCATTGCTAACATTATCCTCTCCTTTGGTGAATTTTAGTCTGTGTCTGCAATCCTACATCATAGACTTATGAATTTGGATTAAATGGATTTTAAAATATCATGGCAGAGCCAAAGAGCCCCCTTTTTAGATACATGCGTCTGTGTGTGAGTGGAAACGGAGTGCTTCATTCTGTGGCCATCTGGGTTGTGGTTTGGGGAGGGGAACACTGACCTGGGAGCGAGCCTTGGGCTCTCATGGAGCTCCTGCCTCTGTCCTTGACGGGCCCTGCAGGCCTCTGAGCCTCGGTTCCTTTGTGCTTAAGCAGGATGATCATGCCAGCCTTGCTGGGTGGTTGTGAGACTGGCTGCAGTGGGATACACGTAGCTACTGCACACACTGCAGAGAGCTTTCAGGTGGGAGGACAGTTTTCAGAACTAAGCTCATCAATACACAGAACAGTTGTATCTTGTTTTTTTTTGAGACAGAGTTTTGCTCTTTATGCCCAGGCTGGAGTGCAATGGCGTGATCTCAGCTCACCACAACCTCTCCGCCTCCCTGATTCAAGCAATTCTCCTGCCTCAGCCTCCCAAGTAACTGGGATTACAGGCATGCACCACCACGCCTGGCTAATTTTTTGTTTTTTTGTTTTGTTTTTGCGATAAAGTCTCACTCTGTCGCCAGGCTAGAGTGCAGTGGCACGATCTCGGCTCACTGCAACCTCCGCCTCCTGGGTTCAAGCCATTCTCCTGCCCCATCCTCCCGAATAGCTGGGACTACAGGTGCCCGCCACCAAACCCGGCAAATTTTTCTGTTTTTAGTAGAGACGGGGTTTCACCATGTTGGCCAGGTTGGTCTCCATCTCTTGACCTCGTGATCCGTCCGCCTTGGCCTCCCAAAGTGCTGGGATTACAGGCGTGAGCCACTGCACCCAGCCAATTTTTTGTATTTTTTAGTAGAGACAGGGTTTCTGCATGTTGGCCAGGCTGGTTTTGAACTCCCGACCTCAGATGATCCTCCTGCCTCAACCTCCCAAAGTTGCTGGGATTACAGGCATGAGCCACCGCACCTGGCCATGTATCTCATAATTTTTAAAAGAATTCCTGTACAGGCTGGGCGTGGGGGTTCACGCCTATAATCCCAGAACTTTGGGAAGCTGAGGCGGGAGGATCAGTTGAGTTCAGCAGTTTGAGACAAGCCTGAGCAACATAGTGAAAACCTATCTCTAGAAAAAACTTTAAAAAGTAGCTGGGTATGGTAGCGTGCACCTGTGGTCCTAGTTACTCAGGAGGCTGAGACGAGAGGATCATTTGAGCCCAGGAGGTCGAGGTTGTAGTGAATTATGATTGCACCACTGCTGCACTCCATCCTGGGTGATAGAGTGAGACCCTGTCTCGACAAAAATAAATACTGAGTCTGGGTATGGTGGCTCACACCTGTAATCCCAGCACTTTTGCAGGCCAAGGCGGGCCGATCACTTGAGGTCAGGAGTTCGAGAACAGCCTGGCCAATATGGTGAAACCCCTGTCTCTACTAAAAATACAAAAATTAGCTGGGCATGGTGGCGGACGCCTGTAATCCCAGTCGCTCAGGAGGCTGAGGCAGGAGAATCGCTTGGACCCAGGAGGCAGAGGTTGCAATGAGCTGAGATTGTGCCATTGCACTGCTTCTTGGGTGTCACAGCGACACTCCATCTCAAAACAAACAAACAAAAAATCCCTGTACAAAGAAAAATAAATAATGCTTGTAAATGGATACGTGCAGGCCCATATTTTCCCCTGAAGTGTTGGTAGTTGGTAAGTGTAAGATACAGAGGAACTTTTCACCCTCCATGGCACATTGCCAGATCAAACCTTTCTCAGCCAGAAGTGGCTTTGGAAGCTCTAACAGAAGTTTCCTGCATGCAAGTGAGGTACCCAAAGCTCTCATCCTTGGAGTCACATCTCTAGTCAGAGTGTCTGCCACAGGACAAGACCCTGGCGCGATGGGACATGCTGTGCCTTATTTCATCAGAGGTGTCCAGCTTTCCCCAGCACATGCGTTCTCCCTGAGGAAGGCTGCCGGCACAGATATCAGGGGCTGGATGTTCTTGGAGGTGCACCTTGGGGAACCGCTGGGCTCTCTAGCTTGCTGTTTCCTTGAATCCAGTACCCAGGCCTAATTTTGCAACAGTCAGTAATAAATTGTTGACTGAGTAATTTCTGTGTAGCTTTTTGAAGAGTATGTCCAGAAGCCACAGTTAATTATCCATTTGAAGTCCTTGTTTCAGTTTTAAAAGTAAGGAATATCTGGAAATAGAAATTTCACGTAATTTCTATTTACACACAGTGTAAATAGTGGCTCAGTAAAAAAATAGGCACAGTGGCTCACTTCTGTAATCCCAGCACTTTGGGAGGCTGAGGTGGGTGGATCACCTGAGGTCAGGAGTTCGAGACCAGCCTGACCAACATTGTGAAAACCTGTATCTACTAAAAATACAAAAAAAAATTAGCCGGGCGTGGTGGTGCATGCTTGTAGTCCCAGCTACTCGGGAGGCTGAGGCAGGAGAATCACTTGAACCCAGGAGGTGGAGGTTGCAGTGAGCCAAGATCACGCCATTGCACTCTAGCCTGACCCAAAAGAGTGAAACTCCATCTCAAAAAAAAATTACCCAGGCGTGGTGGCACACAACTGTAGTACCAGCTACTCGGGAGGCTGAGGCAGGAAGATCACTTGAGCCCAGGAGGCGGAGGTTTCACTGAGCCGAGATTTGCACCACTGCACTCCAGCCTGGGTGACTGAGCTAGACTCCATCTCAAAAAAAAAAAAAAGAAAACGAAATTTTACGTATCAAATTATAACAAGCAGTGCCAGGCACTGTTCTAAGCACTCTTCCCATATCTCATCTTCCCCAGTCCTCAACAACCCAGGGAGTAGATGCTACTGCTATCCCCATGTCATAGACAAGGAAGTTGAGGTCTGGAGGGACTGACCTGCCTGAGTCATGCAGTGTCCACACAGGTGTCAGCGGAGAAGCCTGGATTTGAACCCAGGCATTCTGGCAGTGCGGTTTATATTTTAATCACTGTGCTGTCTTCCTTCTGAAAATTCTTGATTCTCATGTGTTTATTTAAAAATAAAATGCCGGGCACGGTGGCTCACGCCTGTAATCCCAGCACTTTGGGAGGCCAAGGCGGGCAGATCACCTGAGGTCGGGAGTTCGAGTCCAGCCTGACCAACATGGAGAAACCCTGTCTCTACTAAAAATACAAAATTAGCTGGGTGTGGTGGCGCATGCCTGTAATCCCAGCTATTCGGGAGGCTGAGGCAGCAGAATTGCTTGAACCTGGGAGGCAGAGGTTGCGGTGACTGGAGATCGTGCCATTGCACTCCAGCCTGGGCAACAAGAGTGAAACTCCATTTCAAAAGAAGAATTAGATAAATAAATAAATAAAATAAGTAAAAATAAAAAAAAACTTTTTATAGTGAAACACTTGTAGAGGTTTCCATTACCATATAAAATTTGAGTAACTTTATTCTCTAATGTAATGTTTAAATGCACCTCTGTTTCTGAATGTGCCTTGTTTCCAAAGTTAGTTTTGTGATATTTTGACAAGATGTGCAAGTATTTTAAGGTTGCTAATCTATGTTTCACACCCTAACCCTTTTTACTTTTGATAGGGGGATCACTAAAAACTTGAAGGCCATGCCCTCACTTTTCAACTAAGCAGAAAAGAGATTCAGGAAATTTGAGTTCTATTTTGAGGTGACAGGGAAGCAACAAGGCGAATTCCTGCTTTCACTAATTACTAGTACAGTATTTGTAAACCTTTATTTTACATAGTTTGTTATGGTCTCTGAGAGAAGAGAAACAGTCTCTGAAAGTCCCCATCTCAGGCTGTGAGATAGGCCTACACAGCTAGTCTTAGGTCGGTAGTTTTGTGTTTTATTATACAGTCATCCTTCAGTATCTGAGGGGAATTGGTTCTAGGCCACCCCTCCCACCAGGATTCCAAAATGTGCAGATGCTCAAGTCTCTGATATACAGTGATGCAGTATTTGCATATCATCTAAGTACATCCTCCTGTATACTTTAAATCATCTCTAGATTACTTATAATACCTCATACAATGTAAATGCCATGTAAATAGTTGTTGTATTGTTTAGGGAATAATGTCAAGGAAAAAAGTTTGTTCATGTTCAGTACTAAAGCAGATGATTTTCTGAACATTTTCCATCCTCAGTTGGTTGCTTGGTGGGTTTCTATGGGACCTGTCTTAGGATGATTGCATTGAAGATACTGTCAGTAATAAGTAATGTGTCATGAAATGTCTGTAATTTTGACTGAGTTTTAAGTTGTTTTGTTAAATAACATTCCTCTTTATGCCGTTTCCCAGATGTAGTGGAACCAAAGGAGAGGGGCAAGCTCCTAGCCACCCAGACAGCAGCTGAATTGTCTAAAAACTTATCTTCACCCAGTTCTTACCCGCCAGCTGTGAATAAGGGCAGGAAGGTAGCTAGTCCCAGTCCCAGTGGCAGCGTGCTATTCACAGATGAAGGGGTTCCGAAATTTTTGTCAAGAAAGACTTTGGTAGAGTTTCCACAGAAAGTTCTGTCTCCATTCAGAAAACAGGGCTCTGATTCAGAAGCTCGTCAGGTGGGTCGGAAAGTGACGTCGCCTTCGTCTTCATCCTCTTCCAGCTCCTCTGATTCTGAATCTGATGATGAGGCTGACGTTTCAGAGGTCACTCCTCGAGTGGTGAGCAAAGGCAGAGGGGGGCTTCGAAAACCAGAGGCCTCTCATTCCTTTGAAAACAGAGCCCCCCGAGTTACAGTATCAGCAAAAGAGAAAACCTTGCTGCAGAAGCCGCATGTGGACATTACTGATCCAGAGAAGCCCCACCAGCCAAAGAAGAAAGGGTCCCCTGCTAAGCCATCAGAAGGCAGGGAAAATGCGAGACCAAAAACCACAATGCCCAGATCTCAAGTAGATGAAGAGTTTTTGAAGCAAAGTTTAAAGGAAAAACAATTGCAGAAAACATTTAGATTAAATGAAATAGATAAAGAAAGCCAAAAGCCATTTGAAGTTAAAGGACCCTTACCTGTCCACACAAAATCAGGGTTGTCTGCGCCACCGAAGGGCAGCCCAGCGCCTGCTGTGTTGGCAGAAGAGGCCAGAGCAGAGGGGCAGCTGCAAGCCAGTCCTCCTGGGGCGGCAGAGGGGCATCTGGAAAAACCCGTGCCAGAGCCCCAGCGCAAGGCGGCCCCTCCCCTGCCCAGAAAGGAAACCTCAGGGACGCAGGGAATAGAAGGCCACCTGAAGGGTGGACAGGCAATCGTGGAAGATCAGATACCACCAAGCAATTTGGAGACAGTTCCTGTTGAGAATAACCACGGTTTCCATGAAAAGACAGCAGCGCTGAAGCTTGAGGCCGAGGGCGAGGCCATGGAAGATGCAGCCGCGCCAGGGGACGACCGAGGCGGCACACAGGGTATACCTTGACTCGCGCTCCCAAGTGCACCCTGTCCCTTAGGGTAGTGAGGCAAAAGAACTAATTTACATATGCTTGTAGAGCAGTGTTACAATTAGTCAAATTCTGTACTAGAAATATGGCCTGTAACGCTGTCTCAGCCAGGCAGAAAAGTATGTCTTAATTATGGACAATCCACATCTTTATATTTAGAATCCCTAAAATATTTAACGTTCTTTTTTTTTTTTTTTTTTGAGATGGTGTCTTGCTCTGTTGCCCAGGTAGAGTGCAGTGGCGCGATCTCTGCTCACTACAACTTCCATCTCAAGCACTTCCCCTGCCTCAGCCTCCCAAGTAGCTGAGATTACAGGCGCAGGCCACCACACCTGGCTAATTTTTTTTGTATTTTTAGTAGAGATGGGGTTTCACCGTGTTGGCCAGGCTGGCCTCGAACTCCTGACCTCAGGCAATTCACCCGCCTCGGCCTCCCAAAGTGCTGGGATTACAGGCATGAGCAACCCCACCCTGCTTAACCTTCATCTTTTTTTTTTTTTGAGACAGAGTCTTGCTCCATCTCCAGGCTGGAGTGTAATGGTGCAATCTTGGCTCACTGCAACCTCTGCCTCCCAGGTTCAAGCCATTCTCCTGCCTCAGCCTCCTGAGTAGCTGGGATTACAGTCCCCCACCACCATGTCCAGCTAATTTTTGTATTTTTAGTAGAGACGGGGTTTCACCATGTTGGCCAGGATGGTCTCAATCTCCTGACCTCATGATCAGCCTGCCTCGGCCTCCCAAAGTGCTGGGATTACAGGCCTGAGCCACCGTGCCCGGCCCCCAACCTTCATCTTAAAGAGTATGTCCTTGGCACTCTTCACTATTTCTTAACCGGTATAATTTTTGAAAACTGGCAGCTTAACATTGTCACCACTGACTTTTGAAGGTGTCCAAGTGTTCATTGATGACCTTGTGGGGCATCTCGCTAAGTGAAAAGGGGAGCCTCCGGTTTAACTTGCATAGGTGAAGAGCAGTAGCTAGTCGCTTGGCGTGAGAGTCTTTGGGTAAACTAGATGATTGCTTTCAGCATCCTGTGCACAGGGCAGATTCATAGTTCAGGAATTAAAGCAGTAAGTGTTGTACAGGTCAGCCGCTGCATACGCATCCTTTCCCCTGGACAGCGTTTCCTTCTCTGGTTAACTGAAAACACATGTGGGCTGCTTTACTCTTCTAGAAGACATTTTATGAAGGGTTTTTTGTTTGTTTGTTTGTTTGTTTGTTTTTGACATGGGTTTTGCTCTTGTTGCCCAGGCTGGAGTACAATGGCGCAATCTTGGCTCACTGTAACCTCCGCCTCCTGGGTTCAAGTGATTCTCCAGCCTCAGCCTCCAAAGTAGCTGGGATTACAGGCGTGTGGCACCACCCCCGGCTAATTTTTGTATTTTTAGTAGAGACAGGGTTTTACCATGTAGGCCAGGCTGGTCTCGAACTCCTGACCTTAGGTGATCCACCTGCCTCGGCCTCCCAAAGTGCTGGGATTACAGGCATGAGCCACCGTGCCTAGCGTGTGGAGGCTTTTAAAGGGCAACAGTATTTATTCCTATGATGTTACCATTTTTTTTTTTTTTTTTGGAGATGGAATCTCACTCTGTCACCCAGGCTGCAGTACAGTGGCGCAATCTTGGCTCACTGCCGGCTCCACCTCCCACGTACAAACGATTCTCCTGCCTCAGCCTCCTGAGTAGGTGCCACTACAGGTGCCTGCCACCACGCCTGGCTAATTATTGTATTTTTAGTAGAGACAGCGTTTTGCCATGTTGGTCAGGTTGGTCTCGAACTCCTGACCGCGGGTGATCCACCTGCCTCTGCCTCCCAAAGTGCTGGGATTTCAGGCGTGAGCCACTGCGCCCAGCTATGTTACCATTTTCTTGAGCACGAAACTTGATAAGATGCAATGCGCTTTAGGTGGGTCGTGGCAAACATGAAAAGGCAAGCTTCCGTTTTAGAATCCATGGCTCTTCTTGAAGACTTCTCTAAAGTGCATGATCCCTAACAAGCGCGGCTCCGTCCTGTGTCTGCTCTCCATCCTCTGTACCGCCGCCCCTTGCCTTATGTGCCTTACATGACGCCTTCTTGTTCTTGGTTCGTTGTGCGACAGGATCTATGTGTTTTCCCCCCTCTCCGTCTGCTCTTTGATCAGTACGCCAAGTGCCGGTGCTTGCCAGACTTCCCAGCCCTTAGGAACTGCATTTCCTGATGCTGCTGCTTTCACTCCTCCTGCTCGAAAATGGAGACGAATAACACAACTCGCAGGATAAAAACAGAATTGGGAGTTTTCAGACTGCAAACCTTTCTGAAGAGAAAGTTCTAATATTTCACGGGTGTGTTGTTTCTTAACTATCTTCTGTGCGCATGCGCAGAGCCCACCTTGCAGAGCCGTGTCTGTATGGGGCCGCGGTCTCACTAGGCAGTCCGTGCCCCAGTACTGGCCTTCCAGGTAGAGTGGTTTTAGATCAGAGTTTTGTAACCCACGTCTTGGTCAGTTATCACCCTCCCTATAGTAACTAAAATAGTACGTTCTGCTTTGAAGGTGTCCCTACACCACACCGAAGATACTCACCTTGTGGAGATTGGAAGGATGCCAGCTCTTTAAATGAGACATCGTTTTTGCTTAACGTAACTTAAAAATGAAAAACAGAGCTTTTGATATTAATTGAAATAGTGAGAAAATAAATGTATTTAGGTTATTTTTTTGTGGAGCATGAATGGAAGTTAAGACAGACCTAATGACCTGATTTACAGAAATTGAGTCAGTACAAATCTTAACCCAAATATCAGCCTGTGTTCCCGTGCTGGTTTTGATTTTGCCATTATGTTATATTGTGTGTCCTGCTGCAGGAGACCAGTACTTCTTTTGCCTCAACCCCTACTTGTAGTTTCGAATTACCAAATGTTTAAATGCTGTGTTGTTGTTATTAGAATTTATCTAATTTTCTTGTATCAGAGATTCAGAAGGCTCCTTTAGTTTAAGCTTTTCAAAAAAAATTTTTTATTTGACAGACGTGCTCTGTCCCACAGGCTGGAGTGCAGTGATGTGATCTCAGCTCACTGCAACCTCCACCTCCCAGTCTCAAGCAATCCTCCCACCTCAGCCTCCTGAGTAGCTGGAGACTACAGGTGTGCCACCATGCCCTACTAATTTTTTTTTTTTTTTTTTTTTGAGACAGAGTCTAACTTTGTCACCAGGCTGGAGTGCAGTGATGCAGTCTCAGGTCATTGCAATCTCTGCCTCCTGGGTTCAAGCAATTCTTGTGCCTCAGCCTCCTGACATAGCTGGGATTACAGGAGTATGCCACCACACCTGCTAACTTTTGTAACTTTAGTGGAGACAGGGTTTCACCTTGTTGGCCAGGCTGCTCTCAAACTCCTGGCCTCAAGCAATCTGCCCGCCTCAGCCTCTCAAAGTGCTAGGATTACAGGTGTGAGCCACTGCTACTGGCCCCTGCTAATTTTTTATTCTTTGTAGAGACAGAGTCTCACTATTTTGCCCAGAATGATCTAGAACTCCTGAGCTCAAGCAATCCTCCCACCTCGGCCTCCCAAAGTGCTGGGATTATGGGCGTAAGCCACCATGCCCAGCCCAGATTTCTAATAGAGGTAGATTTTATCATGCATCTCTAAGTTACCTGAAAGTCCTGCTATAATTGTTCTAGGCATTTTCAAACTTTTGAGAAGCCTAGAAGTATACAAACTAAGATGTTAAGACACGTTGTATGGCCTGGCATGGTGGCTCACGCCTGTAATCCCAGCACTTTGGGAGGTCGAGGCGGGCAGATCACTTGAGCTCAGGAAATCGAAACCACCCTGGCCAACATGGTGAAACCCCGTCTCTACTAAAAATACAAAAATTAGCCAGGCGTGGTGGCAGACGCCTGTAATCCCAGCTACTTGGGAGACTGAGGCAGGAGAATCACTTGAAGCTGGGAGGTGGAGGTTTGCAGTGAGCTGAGATCGCACCGCTGCACTCCAGCCTAGACAACAGAGTGAGACTCCATCTCAAAAAAAAAAACGCATTGTAATAACTATTCCATTTCTTAAATTGGAAGGCTGTATGTTTTAGAATAAACTTCCAAGTAATATCTTTCTTTTTCTTTACTGTGGCTTTTGTAGGCTTTTCTTTTTTAATTAGACAATTTGTTCCTCACAGATAGGGTTGATGAAGAACGCTTGGTAGGTAAGCACCTGTGTGTGAGCCGAGTCATTCATAAAGAACTGTTCACAGATAGGTTGATGAAGAATGCTTGGTAGGTAAGCGCCTGTGTGTGAGCCGAGTCATTCATAAAGAGCTGTTCACAGATAGGGTTGATGAAGAATGCTTGGTAGGTAAGCACCTGTGTGTGAGCCGAGTCATTCATAAAGAGCTGTTCACAGATAGGGTTGATGAAGAATGCTTGGTAGGTAAGCGCCTGTATGTGAGCCAAGTCATTCATAAAGAGCTGTTCACAGATAGGGATGATGAAGAATGCTTGGTAGGTAAGCGCCTGTGTGTGAGCCGAGTCATTCATAAAGAGCTGTCCTTGTGTTGGTCTCATGGGCATCGTGTTTCCTCCGCAGAGCCAGCCCCAGTGCCTGCTGAGCCGTTTGACAACACTACCTACAAGAACCTGCAGCATCATGACTACAGCACGTACACCTTCTTAGACCTCAACCTCGAACTCTCAAAATTCAGGATGCCTCAGCCCTCCTCAGGCCGGGAGTCACCTCGACACTGAGGGCCCTCGGTGTGAAGATGAACCTTCCACCGTCTTCACTGCATCCTGGAGTGCAAAAATAAAATCCACTCAAGAGTCACAAGGCCCGCTGTGCATAATCGGTTTCACTTTTACCTTTTTTTTTTTTTTTTTTTTTTTGAGACAGGGTCTCACTCTGTCACCCAGGCTGGAGTGCAGTGGCACATTCTCGGCTCACTGCAACTTCCGCCTCCTGGGTTCAAGTGATTCTCCCACCTCAGCCTCCCAAGTAGGTGGGATTACAGGTACTCACCACCAGGTCCAGCTAACTTTTGTATTTTTAGTAGAGACAGGGTTTCACCATGTTGGCCAGGCTGGTCTCGAACTCCTGACCTCAGATGGTCTGCCCACCTCCGCCTCCCAAAGTGCTGGGATTACAGGCGTGAGCCACTGCGCCCGGCCACTTTCACACTTTTTACAGTGAGTGGTGAATTAGCAACAGTAACACTGATTATCCAACATATATTTTGGAATATCTACTATGTGCAAGGAATTTTTCTTAAACTCTAAGGTTATGAATCACTGGGCAAATCCATATAATTAGAGAATTTTAAGTGCTTTAGAGCGGTGTGATTCTACTGTGCTCAGCCTAGTCAATTTCGCATTAAACTGATTATCAGCTGAGTATCAATAATGTAATAGTGACTTCTTTTATTTTTTTTGAGATGGAGTCTCTGTTTCCCAGGCTGGAGTCCAGCGGCACAATCTAAACTCACTGCAACCTCCGCCTCCTGGGTTCAAGTGATTCTCCTGCCTTACTTAGCCTCTTGAGTAGCTGGTACTACAGGCTCACGCCACCATGCCTGGCTAATTTTTTTTGTATTTTTAGTAGAGATGGGGTTTCACCATCTTGGCCAGGCTGGTCTTAAACTCCTGACCTCATGATCTACCTGCCTCAGCCTCCCAAAATGCTGGCATTATAGGCGTGAGCCACTGCACCCAGCCAGTAATAGTGACTTCTAATCCTACAGCCCTGGTTTTTGATCATTAGAAACAGGAGTTTTGGCCAGGTGCAGTGGATAATTCCTGTAATCCCAGCGCTTTGGGAGGGCGAGGCGGGTGGAGCACCTGAGGTCAGGAGTTGAGACCGGCCTGGCCAACATAGTGAAACCCCATCTCTACTAAAAATACAAAAATCAGCCAGGCATGCTAGTGGGTACCTGTAATCCCAGCTACTCAGGAAGCTGAGGCAGGAGAATCATTTGAACCTGGGAGGCGGAGGTTGCAGTGAGCAAGATCGTGCCATTGTACTCCAGCCTGGGCAACAGGAGTGAAACTCAATCAAAAAAAAGGAACAGGAATGTTACTAATTTTAACTACTGCATTGCAAACAAATTGTATTGCAGTATTTTACCATCAGAAAAGGAAGGGAATTGTTTTGTTTGCCTCTGTTAGATATTTTATATAAACTTGAGGACATTTTCATTGGTGAGATTCGGAAGAGGTGAAGTTTCTTGCAGTACAGGGACGAAGTAGGAAGAGGTGAAGTTTCGTGCAGTACAGGGACGGAGTAGGAAGAGGTGAAGTTTCGTGCAGTACAGGGACGGAGTAGGAAGAGGTGAAGTTTCGTGCGGTGCAGGGACGGAGTAGGAAGAGGTGAAGTTTCGTGCGGTGCAGGGACGGAGTAGGAAGAGGTGAAGTTTCGTGCGGTGCAGGGACGGAGTAGGAAGAGGTGAAGTTTTGTGCGGTGCAGGGACGAAGTTGCTCCCCGCTGGCCACAGGCACTCAATGAGCTATTTTACCTATTTAGGGTTTCTGGGTTGGCCAAGTAACCTCCCATCCCTTGTGATAGATAACTTTAAGTCACACCTTTGGGGGCAATGTGGGGGGCTCCTGTGCATCACATGGAGCACGCTCCCCCAGCACTCTGCAGAGACAGACCCCCAGTCTGACTTAGAGAAAGTAACCAATGTAGGTGAGGGCCAGGGCACGGTGGCTTACGCCTGTAATCCCAGCACTTTGGGAAGCCAAGGCGGATGGATCACTTGAGGTCAGGAGTTTGAGACCAGCCTGGCCAACATGGTGAAACCCTGTGTCTACTAAAAATACAAAAATTAGCCAACTGTGGTGGTGCGTGCCTGTAATCCCAGCTATTCAAGAGGCTGAGGCAGGAGAATCGCTTGAACCCGGGAGGCGGGGTTTGCAGTAAGCCGAGATCATGCCATTGCATTCAGTCTGGGTGACAGCGTGAGACTGCATCTCAAAAAAAAATTTTTTTTTTTAAATATCAAAATTGAAAACTAGTATTGTGGTCATCTGCCTCAAATTGTGTTACCACACGGGAGACTTAGCAACTCAGCCAGATTCTTCTAAACACATTTTTTATAATAAAAGTGGTAAAACTACATTACCAAAAAGAAAATAGTAAACTTACCTAAAATCCACTATGCTAACCCACCCTTTTTTTTTTTTTTTTTTTTTTTTTTTTTTTGAGACAGCCTCACTCTTGCCCGGAGGAGTGGTGCGATCTCAGCTCACTGCAGCCTCGTCCTCCCAGGCCCAAGCAATCCTCCCATCTCAGCCCACTTTGTAGCTGGGACTGTAGGCACTGGCCACCATGTCCGCCTAATTTTTCTATTTTTTGTAGAGACAGGGTTCAAGAGATCTGCCTGCCTCGGCCCCAGAAAGTTCTGGGATTGCAGGCGTGAGCCCCCATTCCCAGCCATTAACATCTTACAGGATTCCCCAGTGGTGGTGGTAGGTGTAACCATTTTAATGTACCTACAACTTTTCTATCCTGCTATTTGCATTTTTTGGTTTTTCATTTAATAGTTCTCAAGCTGGGATCCGTGGAACTACTGTGATGGGCGGTGATGCTTTGGAAATGGAAATTCCCTTAATATTAAAATGAACATGAATATATTTTGATTTGCATATATTTTTAAGATAAAGCATGAGACTTGTATAAAGTTCTTTCCTGGCTGGGCGCGGTGGCTCATGCCTGTAATCCCTGCACTTTGGAAGGCTGAGGCAGATGGATCACCTGAGGTTGGGAGTTTGAGACCAGCCTGACTAACATGGTGAAACCCCCTCTCTACTAAAATTACAAAATTAGCCGGGCGTGTTGGTGCATGCCTGTAATCCCAGCTACTCAAGAGGCTGAGGCAGGAAAATCACTTGAACCCAGGAGGCAGAGGCTGCAGTGAGTGGAGATTGCAGCATCGCACTACAGCCTGGGCAACAACAGCAAAACTCCGTCTCAAAAAAATAAAGTTCTTCCCTTAGAACTAGTCCTGTTGGGCTAGTCTTTCTGGGATTTTGGTTTACTCTCCTCCACCCATTGGAAGGGCTTAAAACCGAATAGCCAGCACCAAGCACAGCTCTGCATTTTGTAGCTATCACTGCAGATGATTTCTTGATAGTCCATCTGGTGGCAATACAGTGGTCACCCAAGGGGCCATTGTTTGGGTCTATGTGATTTCCCACGTTCTGTTGGAGGCCGGGCGCAGTGCCTCACGCCTGTAATCCCAGCACTTTGGGAGGCTGAGGTGGGCAGATCACGAGGTCAGGAGATCGAGACCGTCCTGGCTAACACGGTGAAACCCTGTCTCTACTAAAAATACAAAAAATTGGCCAGGTGCGGTGGCTCACGCCTGTAATCCCAGCACTTTGGGAGGCTGAGGTGGGCAGATCTCGAGGTCAGGAGATCGAGACCATCCTGGATAACACGGTGAAACCCCGTCTCTATTAAAAATACAAAAAATTAGCCGGGCATGGTAGCGGGCGCCTGTAGTCCCAGCTACTTGGGAGGCTGAGGCAGGAGAATGGCGTGAACCCAGGAGGCGGAGCTTGCAGTGAACCGAGATAGCCTCACTGCACTCCAGCCTGGGCGAAAGAGCAAGACTCCGTCTCAAAAAAAAAAAACAAAAAAAAAATTAGCCGGGCGTGGTGGTGGGCGCCTGTAGTCCCAGCTACTCGGGAGGCTGAGACAGGAGAATGATGTGAACCCGGGAGGCAGAGCTTGCAGTGAGCCGAGATTGTGCCACTGCACTCCAGCCTGGGCGACAGAGCAAGACTCCGTCTCAAAAAATAAATTAATTAATTAAATTAAATAAGTGGGTGTTTTAAGTGCTCAGCTTCCTTGGTTCTACCACCTTCTCTCCCTGACCCTCCTTCCCTTTCCCCCTGACCTTGGCCTTTATTCTAGAACGGATCTGAAGCAATAGGATATAAAAAATTCACAACTGCTAAAACAGTGTTCCTTCTAGTGTAATTTTCACCCTTAGAGACCTGTCTGTAATAAACATTATTTGAAATGCCTACTATATGCTAGGCACTATGCCTCGGCCACGGGTTCAGACGTGATCGAGACAGCCTGCCTTCTCTGAGTGTATGGCCTGGGAAAGGGGGCAGCTGAGAGACAGATGCATGGCGATGTGCCGGATAACAGACGTAGAAGGCAGAGGCAGGGGAGCTGTCTGGGGAGAGGCAAAGATGGGGATTCATCAGAGAAGGCTTTGAAGGACATGATGCCTAACCTGGATGTCGAAAGGGATTTTGCCAGGAGCACAGGGCACTGGTGGAGGGAGCCCTGCGGGGCAGTCCTCAAGGCCTCCGGATGGGTGTGAGAGGCACCGGGGCTGAAGCAGCATCTGGGTTTGAGGAAGCCACAGCCCCTTGGCTCTCCACTGCAGTCTCAGAGCAGCCTCAGGCTGAGTAAGTGGCTGAGGCCAATCCTTTAGGAAACGGCACCACGCCTGGCTAATTTTTGTGTTTATACTAGAGTCAGGATTTCACCATTTTGGTCAGGCTGGTCTCAAATTCCTGGCTTCAAGCTATCTCTCCCCCTCAGCCTCCCAAAGTGCAGGGATTACAGCAGGAGCCACCGTGCTGGCCCATATATGCCATCTTTCAACTGCCTGTATTCAGAGACTCTCACCTCCTCAAGCCCTTCGTGGGAGGAAAACTAGACAGTGAAATCCAGCCAAACAAGAGATGAACTAACATTAAAAATTCAAAAATTGGGCCAGGCACGGTGGCTCATGTTTGTAATCCCAGCACTTTGGGAAGCCGAGACAGGTGGATCACCTGAGGTCAGGAGTTTCAGACCAGCCTGGCCAACATGGCGAAACCTCGTCTCTACTAAAAATACAAAAATTAGCTGGGCATGATGGCGGGCGCCTGTAATCCCAGCTACTTGGGAGGCTATGGCAGTAAAATCGCTTGAACCTGGGAGGCAGAAGTTGCAGTGAGCCAAGACCACGCCCTTGCACTCCAGCCTGGGCAACAAGAGCGAAAGTCATCTCAAAAAAAAAAAAAAGAAAAAAATCAAGAATTGAAGGCCACAGTAGTACTGGGGGAGACCTTAGAACCTATTTGCCTGTGAATTAAGGCTAAACAACTATGGAGATTACAAGACAGAATGAGAGTGTTATAAACCCTAACAAGTAAACAGAAGATAAACCAAGAACCTGGAGGACACAAATAGGAACTTGGGAGGTAGCCCAGGAGAACTCCTCAGCTCATCCTTCAGAGCAAATGAGTCAGTACTGTGCGGAATAGACACTTGGCAGGATGGAGATGAGAAATGTAAAATAGAAACTTGGAGGCCGGACGTGGTGGCTTACACCAGTAATCCCAGCACTGTGGGAGGCCGAAGTGGGCAGATCACCTGCGGTTAGAAGTTCGAGACCAGCCTGGCCAACATGGTGAAACCCCATCTCTACTAAAAACCCAAAAATTAGCCAGGCATCATAGCGCTGGCCTATAATCTCAGTTACCTGGGAGACTGCGGCAGGAGAATTGCTTGAACCTGGGAGGCGGAGGTTGCGGTGAGCCAAGATCATGCCACTGTACTCCAGCCTGGGCAACAGAGTAAGACTCCATCTCTAAATAAATAAATAAAATAAAATAAAAAGCAACTCTTGGCCAGGCACATTGGCTCATGCCTGGAATCGCAGCACTTTGGGAGGCTGACATGGGAGGGTCACGAGCTCAGATGTTCGAGACCCGCCTGGGCAACATAGTGAGACCCTGTCTCAAAATAAATAAATAAATAAAAATAAAGAAGCAACTCTTTTAGCATTATAAGATAGGGCAGAGGAAAAAAAGAAAAAAGAAACAACTCTTCTTACCAAAAAAGGTTGAAAATATCCCTTCTGTTGTCCCCGCCCACAATGTCTTAAACCTAGCAGGTGCTGACCTAAAGGAAGAAGCAGGGGTGGCCAGGCGCGGGGGCTCACGCCTGTCATTCCAGCACTTTAGGAGGCCGGGCGCAGTGGCTCACGCCTGGAATCCCAGCACTTCGGTAGGCCGAGGCGGGCAGATCACAAGGTCAGGAGATCGAGGCCATCCTGGCTAACACGGTGAAACCCTGTCTCTACTAAAAATAGAAAACATTAGCTGGGCATGGTGGCAGATACCTGTAGTCCCGGCTACTCAGGAGGCTGAGGCAGGAGAATGGCATGAACCTGGGAGGTGGAGCTTGCAGTGAGCCGAGATCACATCACTGCATTCCAGCCTGGGCAACAGAGCGAGACTCTGTCTCAAAAACAGAAAACAGAAGCAGGAGCAAAACTCGTGCAAGTGGAGATTCTCTGGGCCAAGTTTATGGACTGCAAGCCAGGAGCACTGACTCAAATGGCCCCGAATATCCATGCTGTGATTAGCTGCAGTTACAAGTGGCATTTTGTTGTTTTGTTTTTGTTTTTTTGAGAAGGGGTCTCACTCTGTCCCGGCTGGAGCTCAGTGATATTTTGTTGTTTTTCTTTTTTTGAGAAGGGGTCTCAGTCTGTCACCCAGGATGGAGTGCAGTG